>NC_000011.10:78328423-78631453 GCF_000001405.40 Homo sapiens
CAGTTCTTCTGTAATAAAACTGACAAAAAGTCTATTAAAAATGACATTACAGACTTATAGTAGATTTACTCATAATAGCCAAAAGCTGGAAACGGCACAGGCATCCATCCGAAGGAGAATGCATAAACAAAGTGGTATATTCATGCAATGGAATATTACTTAGCAATAAAAAGGAATGGTCTATAAATACATTCAACAACATGGATGGATCTCAAAAAGTATTATACCAAATGAAAGAAGCCTTACACAAAAGAGTACATACTGTATGATTCTGTTTCTATGAGATTCTAAAACAGGCAAAACTAATCTATGGTAGAAAAAAAATCAGAATGATTGTTTCTTCTGGAGGGTGGGGGTGGGGTGAGAATTGTTTGGAAAGGGGAATGGGGAAACTTTCTGGAACGATGGTAATGTTTTATATAGTCTGATAGGAGCTTTAGTTACATTTTTGTCACATCTCAAAGAACACTTCAGATTGACATTTCACTCCATGTACATTTTACCTCAAAGAAAAATACTCAACAGATGTGGAACTCTAGGGAATGATATGCATGCTAAAGTATTTAGGGAGAAATATGCTAATGTCTGCAATTTACTTTAAATGCTATAAAAAATAAGATGCACAATGGGTGGTCAAAGGAATGGATAGACAAATAGATAAGTGATACAGCAAGCATAGTAAAATATTAATGACAGAATCTAGATGGTTGATAAATAGGTGTTAATTGTAAAATTCTTTCAATCTTGCTTTATGTTTGAAATTTTTCATTTAAAAATGTTAGCAAAAATGAAGAACATTTTTGGGGTTTTGTGTCTGGGTTGCGTGGCTAGGAGAAAGAGAGTAGAGAGTTTATAAGGCCAGTCTTGTAGGCTCTTTATATTAATTAAAAATCCCTTACACTTAACTTTTTACAAGAGTACAGATGGCCCTTTCATATTTATCCTCATTTTATCCCCCAATACGATTTATGTATCTCTCATCTGTGTTCCTTTTAGCATTTATAATATCACTTTGTAACTGTTTTCATCTCTGTATCCCCCTACTAGACCATCATGAACTCCTTGAAGGCAGGGCCTTGTCTTTCTTTTTTGATGTGTTTTTGATGTGTTCATAGTAACTGACACATATAGTAGGCACTCACTCAAGCATTTGTTGAGAATACCCTAGGTACTCAACAAGTACAAGGCGAGCTGGCTGCTAGGGCAACCAGACCATTTTAGAGGCCACAGGGAAATGTGAAGATTTCCCACAGAAAAGCATGATTTTATGGAAGCAGTTTTGTACTTGGAAGGTGTTATAACTAGAAACACAGAGATCTGTTTGGATTTTCTCAGCTAGCATGTATCTCGCCATATTGCTACCTGAAATACTTTCTAGATGAAGTTGGTTGGTATGTACGATAGGTTGGCCCACTCAACATCAATTCCATTCCCCTTCTAGTTAGAAAATCTGGAAAACTAAAAGTCACCTTTACCAAATTTGTTTGCAGGCAGTCTGCCAATTACTTGCATTCATATAAGACTGGTAAGGTGGAAATGAGGCTAAGACCATTTTCCATTTCTCTTTTGGCTATTTCTCGTTTCTACTGGCAAAAAAGGATATAGACGTTTGATTGTTTTATGCGGCTGAGGTATTATCCAGCCTCCTGAGTGCCATGGGGCAGGTTCATTAGTAGCTTCTCAAGTCTGACCTCCCATACCCGAGACCACAGCTATGGGGTGTGGGTGGGGGTTAAATGGATCACCAGTGGTGTCCTAGGAGGTCACCTATGGAGTTCTTAAACTAGAACATGCAGCTCTAGTTCTTCCTATCATTTGGTAAGCATCTAATTCCTTGTATTAAATTCCTTCCTGTTTAAAGTATCTGGAGTGGTTTCCATTTCTCACAGTGATCCCTGGGTATAAAAATAAAGAAGTTTGAGTGACAAACAGCAGGTCTCTGGGGACAGGAAAGAAGGGAAATACAAGGCTTTGCGTTTTGGAGTTTTTCACAAGTATCCATTCAAGAAAATGTTGAACCTTACTTTGGGCCAAGCACTGAGCTAGGGGCTGGAATCAAGAAATAGTGGTTTGCTTTGAGATAGGAGAGTCATGTCAACATGTGAAAGAAGGGCCCGTAGTGATAGATGACAGAGAAGGAAGTGATGGTCAGAATGAGAATCCAGGTGAAGGGGTAGATTTATCTGGAGAAAAGGCTTACTCTTAGACCTCTAAAACCAAATAGTGACTATATACTTAGCATCTTATGCATAGCGTATTCATTTATATTGTCTCATTGTACATTTCCTCTTCCCACCCCCTCCTTTTTTGGTTAACATTTGGGTGCTTCCCATATGTTATTTTCTTAATGGAAATATTTTTCTTCCCATAACGTATTTTCTTAATGGAACTGTGGAACACCCTATGAAGTAGAAAGGTATTAGTTCTAGAATTTGCCTGAGATCTCACAGTTATTAATAGTAGAACCAGGCTAGGTGCAATGGCTCATGGCTGTAACCCCAGCACTTTGGGAGGCTGAGGTGGGCAGATCATTTGAGGTCAGGAGTTCGAGACCAGACTGGCCAACATGGTAAAACCCTGTCTCTTCTAAAAAATACAAAAATTACCAGGGCATGGTGGTGGGCACCTGTAATCCCAGCTACTCGGGAGGCTGAGGCGGGACAATTGCATGAACCCGGGAGGTGGAGGTTGCAGTCAGCCGAAATCGCGCCACTGCACTCCAGCCTGGGTGACAGAGACAGACACCGTCTCAAAAAATAAATAAAAATAAAATAAATAAATAGCAGGACCAGCACTCCAACTCTTTTGATCCAAATTCTCCATTCTTTTTTTTTTTTTTTTGAGATGGAGTCTCGCTCTGTTGCCAGGCTGGAGTGCAGTGGCACAATCTCGGCTCACTGCAATCTCTGCCTCCCAGGTTCAAGCGATTCCCCTGCCTCAGCCTCCCCAGTAGCTGGGACTACAGTTATGCACCACCACACCCAGCTAATTTTTTGTATTTTTAGTAGAGACGGGGTTTTACCATGTTGGCCAGGAGGGTCTCGATCTTCTGACCTCCTGATCTGCCTGCCTTGGCCTCCCAAAGTGCTGGGATTACAGGCGTGAGCCACTGCGCCCAGCCCCGAATCCTCCATTCTTAAGGGATAACAAATCCAGAATTTCAGTTCTCCAAAAGATATAATGTGTTTAAACACATTGTGCAAACATGAGGAGTTGCTATCCTTACCACAGAAAACCTCTTTCTCTAAGCTTGAAGTCCTCAGGATAAGAGGAATAGTGCCCACGCTGCTCTGGGCCTAGAAAGGGATTACAGAGGTCCCAGGCTGGCTCAGATCAGACCAAACTCACAATAGACCAAGGGGATTGGAAAACAGAGACACAGATGGAAAACCAGTGGCTGCCACCACAGCCTGGTCACTAAGGCAGCTCTTTATCTCCTATGCCATTGTTTATAGCCCAGAGGACACCATCCGGACCTCGTAAATGAAAGTGTCCATTGGGAAGGGGAAAAAAAACACACATGCCCCCTCCACACACAAAAGGGCATTTGTGTTGGGCAACCCAAGAGGCAGACACACACCAAGGGCTTGCCCCTCCTCCCTTTGCCTCTAGGAAAAGACAAGAAAGGCAGCTTTCTGGTACTCTACAAAGTGGGGAGCCTGTGGCGGGGAACAGAACAAACCCCCTCCAAAACTGCTGACTTGATTCATCCCCAAACTGACACAAGGCGGGAGGAAGACTTCAGGAAATGGGCAGATTATGTCCAAGAAAAGATTTCCTGCAAGCAGTTAATGGGAAACTTACATGAAAAGCAGGACTAAAAATACACAGGCTATTGGAAACCAGTGGTGAGGCCCCTGGTTTTTAAAGAAGTGACTGAGGAAGCCACCAGGCTTGGGACTTTCCCTGCCCACCAACCTAGGGAGATCAACTTAACACTGGCTTTATTTGCCTGGGGGAGAAGCTTATAGGGTACCTGGTATGATTTAAATTTCCTTTCAATATTGATCAAGTCCTCACTGTGTCTGAGCTTTCTATTCATATAAGCTATGATAGCACAAAAAGAAGGTAAAAGCCCCAGTGTCCTACACACATATCCTGACTCAAATGATGAGAGAAACGGATCAGTAGTACAAATGACATCCTATGTTTAAGTGAATTTTGGTTATCAAAAAATAAACCTCACAACTTAAGTAAGAGTCTAATGGGATGCAGCAAGAGGTAGCAATGGCATGCAGGAAATTTATCTGCACTTGAAGGCATATGTGAGTAATGACAAATCATAGCTCTGGCTTGAACAGTAGGGAAACTAAAAAGTAACATTTAGGAGACCAAAAAGTAACTATTAAGAAGTGTTGTTTATTGACTTTGAGAAAGAACCTTTCTAGGTGCTTAGAGGAAGAAGCAGGCACATGGAGTTCCCTCATGCCCTAGAGTCTGAGCAGAAATTTGAAGATATAGTTTTTGTTTTTTTAAGAACCTTCCCCTTTGCCTTGTCTTATACCTGCAGAGCCTAATTTTGCCAAATATTTATTGAGCCCCAACACTGGTGTATCCCCTATAGCAGATCAAGAATCTCTTATAATTTAATGGGAAAGATGGTCCTTCAAATGACAGAAGGAGGAGGATAATGCTGGGCTTTGTTTCAGAGCCTGCCTGGGACATGTGGTACCATCAGTATACTCTTGATCCAGTGCTTTACAGTCTTCACCCGGAAATACTGGGCTCCAATTACAAAGGAAAATCTTATCACTAACCATCTTCCAATAATACACATACTGATAAGTCCTTCTTCTAGGATTATAATGAATAATTTGAGTCCAAAGATCTTTTGGTGACTTTTTTTATTTTTTATTTTTAGAGAAAAAGTCTCGCTCTGTCACTCAGGCTGGAGGGCAGTGGTGCGATCATGGCTCACTCCAGCCTCGAATCCTGAGCTGAAGCAATCTTCCTGCCTTAGCATCCCGAGAGCTAGGACTACAGGAATGCACCACCATGCCCAGCTAATTTTTAAACAATTTTTATAGAGGTGGGGGGTCTCACTATGTTACCCAGGCTAGTCTCAAACTCCCGGCCTCAAGAGATCTTTCCATCTTGGCCTCCCAAAGCGCTGGGATTACAGGTGTTAGCCACCACCCCCTGCCCAGTGGCATATTTTTATACACAGTGGGAGCCAGATGTGAAGACAGACTGAAAAACAAAATGTAGGTGGTCCTGTGTGATTAGTCTAGGGAGACTGGGCAGGGAGAACAGTAAGTTTTTCACCATGGGTGATCTAAAACTTTTTGTTGTAAAATCCCATAGATACTTACTGCTGCTCTTATCTTCACTGATTTCTTGGCAGCATTTGAGACACCTGAAGGCTCCTCTCCTAAATCCTTTAGATTACCTGACACCACAATTTCCTGCATTTCTATCCTCATTTTCAGTCATCATAAGGATCCTTTTAAGGTCTATGATCCCTGGGATTTCACCCTCAGTTTTCTCTTGTCTTACTCTATATATTGCTTGCTGATTCATATTTCTCTCATTGTACCAAGTACTCCTAGACTGGCATCTCCAGACTATATCTGAGACCCTCTTGAGCTGTCATGAGTAAAGGTGATAAGTTCATCTCCTTTTGGTTCCTTCCTATTTTCTACAACAGAAGGGAGGACTAATAATAATTTTTTTGATGGTTATAATTTTGTAACTTTTTTAATTTAATTTTTGTGGGTACATAGTAGGTATACATGAGATGTTTTGACACAAGCATGCAATGTGTAATAATCACATCATGGAGAATAAGGTACCCATCCCCTTGAGCATTTATCCTTTGTGTTACAAATAATCCAATTATATTCTTTCAGTTATTTCAAAATGTACAAATAAATTATTATTGACTATAGTTACCCTGTTGTGCAATAAAATAGTAGGTATTATTCATTCTTTCTATTTTACTTTTGGTGCCCATTAATCATCCCCACCTCTCTTACCACCCCTCACTCCCCTTCCCAGCCTCTGGTAACCATCCTTCTACTGTCTATCTCCATGAGTGCAATTGTTTTGATTTTTAGATCCCACAAATAAGTGAGAACATGCAATGTCTATCTGTCTGTGCCTGGCTTATTTCACTTAACATAATGATCTCTAGTTCCATCCATGTTGTTGCAAATGAGAGGATCTCATTCTTTTTATGGCTGAATAGTAATTGTGTATAAGTACCACATTTTCTTTACCCATTCAACTGCTGATAGACACTTAGGTTGTTTCCAAGCCTGGGCTATTGTGAACAGTGCTGCAACAAACATGGGAGTGCAGGTATCTCTGTGTAAAATACTGATTCCCTTCTTTGGGGTAAATACTCAGCTGTGGGATTGCTGGATCACATGGTAGCTCTATTTTTTGAGGAGCCTCCAAACTGTTCTCCCTAGTGGTTGTACTAATTCATGTTCCCACCAATAGTGTAAGATGGTTTCCTTTTCTCTACATCCTCGCCAGCATTTGCTATTGCCTGTCTTTTGGATAAAAGCCATTTTAATTGAGGTGACATATCCCATTGTAGTTTTGATTATGTATCTCTGATGATCAATGATGTTGAGTACCTTTTCATATGTCTGTCTGCCATTTGTATGTCTTCCTTCAAAAAATGTCTATTCAAATCTTTGGCCCATTTAAAAATCAGATTAGACTTTTCCCTATAGAGTTGTTTGAACTCCTTATATTTTCTGGTTATTAATCCCTTGTCAGATGGGCAGTCTGCAAATGTTTTCTCCCATTTTGTGGGTTGTCTCTTCATTTTAGGGATTGTCTCCTTTGCTGTTCAGAAGCTTGTTAACTTGATGTGATCCCATTTGTCCATTTTCGCTTTGGTTGTCTGTGCTTGTGGAGTTACCACTTGCCATTTTTTTCTAGACCAATGTCCTGGAGATTTTCCCCAATCAGTTCTTGTAGGAGCTTCATAGTTAGAGGTTTTAGATTTAAGTCTTTAATTCATTTTGATTTGATTTTTGTATATGGTGAAAGATAGGGATCTAGTTTCATTCTTCTGCATACGGATATCCAGTTTTCCCAGCAACACTTACTGAAGAAACTGTCTTTCCTCCAGTGTGTGTTCTTGGCAGCTTTGTTGAAAATGAGTTCACTGTAGGTATGTGAATTTGTTTCTGGGTTCTCTATTCTATTCCATTGGTCTATGTGTCTGTTTTTTTGCCAGTACCATGCTGTTTTGGTTAGTATAGCTCTGTAGTATAATTTGAAGTGGGTAATGTGATTCCTCAAGTTTTGTTCTTTTTGCTTGGGATAGCTTTGGTTATTCTGGGTCTTTTGTGATTCCATATAAATTTTAGAATTGTTCTATTTCTGTGAAGAATGTCATTGGTATTTTGACAGGGAATGCATTGAATCTATAGATTTGGGTAGTATGGACATTTTAACAATATTAATTCTTCCAATCCATGAGCATGGAATATCTTTCCATTTTCTGGTGCCTTCTTTAGTTTTTTTCATCAGTGTCTTATAGTTTTCATTACAGAGATCTTTCACTTTTTTAGTTAAATTAATTCCTAGGCATTTAATTTTATTTGTGGCTACTATAAATGGGATTACTTTTTAAAAAATTATTTTCCAGGTCGGGCATGGTGGCTCACACCTGCAATCCCAGTACTTTGGGAGGCGGAGGGAGGCGGATCACTGGAAGCCAGGAATTCAATACCAGCCTGGCTGACATGGTGAAATCCTATCTCTACTAAAAATACAAAAATTAGCTGGGCATAGTGGTGCACGCCTGTAGTCCCAGCTACTGAGGAGGCTGAGGCAGGAGAATTGTTTGAACCTGGGAGGTGGAGGTTGCAGTGAGCCAAGATCGCACCACTGCACTCACTGCACTCACTCCAGCCCGGGCGACAGAGCGAGACTGTCTCTCAAAAAAAAAAAAAAAAAAAAAAAAAAAAAAAAAAAACACAACAAGAATTATTTCCCAGATTGTTCACTGTTGACATATAGAAATGCTACTGATTTTTGTATGCTGATTTTGTATCCTGCAACTTTACTGAATTTATCAGTTGTAATAGTTGTTGTTTTTTTTTTTTTTTGGTGAAGTCTTTAGGTTTTTCCAAATATGAGATCATATCATGAGCAAACAAGGATAATTTGACTTCCTGGGAGGAGGGATAATTAACGGGCACCTTAAATCTCTAAAACCTTGGTAAAGTGCTTTGTTTTATAAAATAGATAATAGTTAGAATTTTGTGTTTTGTCTATGGATGTCTACACATTATTTTAGACCCTGGAAATACAGGTGCCACAGCTGACATTTTATTTGCTAAATTTCAACAATAACCATCATCAAACAGTGAAAAATGAACAGGAATAAATAGCATGGGAACATTAAGTGGCCAAAGGGTATGAGAAAAATGTTAGGAAATTCTTGTTATCTGTGCAATTAGAAACAAAATAAACCAAAGAATTGAATTAATGACAAGAAGTGATATATATTGAACTAAAATATGTTAGCATCTAGTCATTTCTATTTCTAAAATATCATAGTAAAGGGAAGAAAAGCCATTGTATTCAACTGCTCAGAAATCTGACTGTGAGTACTCCAGCATCTACCTACCTTTGACTATGGACTTCTGAAGACTATAGTACTAGCACTAGCAGGGAACAACATTCAAAGAACCTTGGACTGGGCAACCAGCCTTGCGATTAAATGCTTCTTGCTCAATGTTCATCTAATACCTTTGGGTTCCAAGATCTCAACACATTCTTAGCATTTGGTCTCAGCAAAAGATCAGATAATCATTTGCTTCTCAGCGTAGATTTCAGTTAGTGGGTTTGATTTCCTCATCTAGTACTATTTGCCTCTTAAATCAAATGTCCAAAAAGAAATAAGGACAGGGCAAAAGGCAATATGCAAAAGGCACCAGAAGCTACTATGCGGGGGTTTCCTTTTTGCTGTAGTCTCAGAAATGGCAGGGAGGGGTCAGAAGTTTTTGCCCTATTAGGAAGTAAGGCAGAATTCCCCACAGTGATGTCACAGACAAGACTTAGTTAAGGAGGGGCTAGAAAGTAATAAAAGAATGGAATGATATGTTTTCTCCCCTGACAACCCACACCGTTCTCTTAGAGGCAGGGAAAAGAGAAAGAAGGTGGAAGTTGGAGAAAGAATGGTAGAGTATTAGGCAAAGAAAATAAAAGTCTTCCCTCATAGAAGAAGAAAGCATCATTCTAGTAACTCCCCATCCCTACCCTATCTCAAGTGCAGCTAATGGTGAGAAGTAGAAAATGTTTTGTCAATAAATGAATCACAAATGAGTTCCTCTCTATATTCCGTAAGACACATTCTGTGTAGATCCTGTAATTAAGGAGTTCCAAACTTAGCTAAGAAGCCATGTACATTTTTAAAATATAAAGCAGCACAAATACAGCATTAAGTCAGAAGTAATATTAGGAGTTTAGAGGCATGAACAACTGCTGTAGCTCAGAGTGGTTTGAGAAAGCTTTGTAAGCAAAAGACCCGAGGCCAGGCCAGGTCAGTATGAAGGCCTGGACTACATTATCCTTCCTAGTTCATCTTCTTTCTTTGGCTCAGTCAGCAAGGAACTTCTAAACATATAAAAACAATACACCATCAAATGTCTTACAAAAGTACTCCATAAAGTATAAAATGTTAAGTATGTTACCTGACTCTTCAGGAGAGCAGGATGAAGTGAATTATCTGTTACCATCACCATCATAAGAGCATTGAATGTTCAATGTTCAATTCAATGCCAGACACTGCACTGTTGGCTGGATAACATAATGCCTATTCATAATCCCTTTTCCTTGTTTGTCCTTAATTAGAGAGTCTAGGCAAACAGAATGTTTACTTTCCTGGTAACTGGAGGTATCCACATGTCACAGTTCTGAATAATAAGACATAAGTAGAAATCTTTTGGAGGTTCCTGGGAAAGCTTTTGCTTCTCTTGCTACCATGAGGCTGAAAGCCCACACACTAGATGGCTGGCTGGGAAGACAGAAGAAGCATGCTTGATTGCAACACTGACTGTCTACACCAAAGGCAGGAACTGCTTATTCTAGACTTCTTGTAATGTGAGAAAAATCAACTATTTAACACACTATGCGCTTTCTCTTACATAAACTGAAAATATTCCTGAGATAAATGCTTACCATGTGCGTGGCCAAGGTTATAAAGTAGGTAGGTGACAAAAACAGAATTCAATCCCATTTCTGACAGACCCAAAGCCCTGACCTTAACCAATACACTAACAAGGATACACACAGTGTCAAAAAAACCAGATATCTTAATGACCAGTACTGTGGTTGTTCTGGTTTGAAGGACCAGTCATCCCATGATTGTCACAGCCATTCTCCTCATAAAACTTTACATTCTGGGAACACCTTAATAATATGCTCCAAAAACAATGACTCCAAATTTCACTGGGTTTTAGACTAAGGGCAACGAGACTGAATTTACTGATTCATACATACTGGTCATCTTCTCCTGATTCCCTGTACACCCCCACATTTTTTTTTTTGAGACAGAATCTCACTCCGTTGCCCAGGCTGGAGTGCAGTGGCGTCATCTCAGCTCACTACAACCTCCGCCTCCCAGGTTCAAGCAATTTTTGTGCGTCAACCTCCCGAGTAACTGGGATTATAGGCATGTGTCACCACACCCAGCTAATTTTTTTTTTATTTTTAGTAGAGATAGGGATTTGCCATGTTGGCCAGGCTGGTCTTGAACTCCTGGCCTCAACTGATCTACCTGTCTCGGCCTCCCAAAGTGCTGAGATTACAGGCATGAGCCACTGTGACAGGCCCTGATTCCTTTCATGACAAATCTATGACACTCTTCTTTCATTTTGAATTTCTTTCACACTTGAAATCCAGAAAAATATAACATTTGCCTAGCCAAACTT
This sequence comes from Homo sapiens, assembly GCF_000001405.40. Lineage (NCBI taxonomy): Eukaryota > Metazoa > Chordata > Mammalia > Primates > Hominidae > Homo > Homo sapiens. The sequence continues at coordinate 78,339,325 of NC_000011.10, forward strand.
GCCCTGTTCTCTTTTCTTTTTTTGCACCCATTTGGGGTTTCAAGATGGTCACAAGTCAGTCCTGCCCTTGTTTTTCATACAATAGACAAGTGTCATTTCAACAGACTAAGCATCTGATAACACTTAAAAAATAAATAGCAGACTATATCTGGAGAGCCGCTTATGCCCTACAATACAACAAATTGGAAGATCATTCAGTAATATTTCAAAGCCCCACACAACACTGAGCTGATGGTGGCAGTGATCAACTGTTGACAGCTGTTAAGGTTCTCATGAAATGCACTCCTCATCTGTGGTTATGACTGGCCATTACATAGGAGGATTAATGGGGCTGCTTTTGACTGTCATGGAAAGTGTAAGATATGTTCTTTATGTAGATCCCTAAGAGCAAACATCCCCTCTACAGAGCTGATAGGTCACCTGCCTCAACCAATTAGCTAATTGTCTGAAATCACTCCTCATAGATCACGGAAAACTGACTTGTGAATAAACTCTGTTCATACAGAAAGCAAGAGCCTTTTGTTTCCTTTTGAAGACCTTATTCAACTCTAAGGCCCCTTCCAACCACAAAATTCTAAATTCTACAAATGTGAACAATCAGCTCCAATGAATGAATCCTTCCAGCTTTATGGCAAATGAGTGCTTTTTTGACTACGGGTTGTTTTTCTTTTTAAAGAGAAAATTGTTTTTTAAATGTAGCTTCCTGACTGCACCAGGTGTGAAATGGTAAATAAAAGAACAAGCAGTTGTGTTGACCATCTTTGGTTGTTTCCTTCAAAGCTTACCAGACTGATGTCATTCTGGATGTTTTCTATTCTGCTTACCAAGCTCGGTTTTCCTAGAAAAAGTCTGTAGAATGACTGCCCTAATCCTAATCAAAACATACCATCATATTCTAAAAGCTCAGGGCTATCTGGGAGATTGGTAGCTAGCTCTCACTGAATAAAGAGGAGTGAGTAGCCCCTTTTTCGTGGATAATTCTAGGAACTGGCAAGACAGTCTTTCTCTTTGGCCTCCTGGATGAACAAAGATGGGCTGAGAATCAATGATGTTGCCCTAAGTGACAAGATGCCTTTATTCACACTGTGCATACACCCTCTCATGGACCCTTATTTTTCTGCTCCCAAATATAGTATTTTGTTCAGATTTCTACCCTTTCCTGTGTCATTCCTCCTATCACTTTGAAATCTTTCTTCAAAAGTCTAAAATTCCACAAATGAAGATGAACAAAGGGAAAGCTTATATCTGTCTCATCTGGGAACCCTGGAAAAGCTACACTGCTTATGTGAAGAGGAAAAAAAAAAAAAAAAGATGGGCAGGAGTTTAGTAAGACTGGGGGAAGAGAGAAAAGGAAACTCCCCAGGAAAGGAAGAAAACAAAGTATTTACCACGTGACAGATACCACCATGATAAGTACTTACACATAAATTCTCATCTGTACCTCACAACCTCACAACAGATGACCCTAGGAAAGGGTGTATCTCTCAAAGCCTTTAACCAGTTTAAGAAATTTGCCCAAGGTAAATCTAGGTCTCAAACCCAGATCTGGCTCAAAATCATCTCTTTCCTCATCACAATGGTGATCAGCCGCATGGAAGCAGGAAGGGATAAGCCTCATTTAAGGAACAGTAAACCTCCCTCCCACCTCCCTACTACCATGCCCAAGATATTTTTCATCTTCAGCAACATTCAAAGATGCTCTTTCTTGATGCCTATAAAATGAAGTCAAGTTCATGTGCCTGGCATTAAAGGTGACTCCAGTTCAGCTAGAAGCTCCTGATTATATCTACTATCTTACTTTACCCTGTACCCCATGACTTTATTCTTGAGTCTATGGTTTCACATCTCTCATCCAATAAAGGAAGCACATGCTTTTATTGGATATATTCATTTATTCATTCAACATTTATTGAATGCCTATTATGTGTCATTTCTTCAATACACTTTTATTGAGCAATTGCTATGCTCTAGGCATATTGGTAATATTGGTAAATGGTAAATATCGGAGAATGACAACGAGATATATTTAGGGAATAAGTATAGAATACTAAATGCTGGTGTGACAGGAGATACCAATGTAATCCTCTTGAATAATCATTGCCTTTAGATGTGCTGAGCTGAATCACTAGTAGACCCTGGGATTAAGGCTTAGGTATAGTTTAAGTTCAATTCAAATATGTCATCAAATTGAGATGATGAAAGAAGCAACCATAATGATCCTGCACTAGGGTCATCAGCTCCAGGACTGCCAATGGTTTCTTAAAAGATATCATTTAATGCCTATCCTCACGAATCTCATCAAGTAGTCAACAATTTCACTTTGGTTACACCTAATGTCACTCTTGGGGTCTTGTTTAAATGGTGACTCCTAAAGAACAAATATTCAGAACCTGCTAGGTACTTGCCCGCCATACTCTTTGTTTCCCAAAACTCACCTTTTCATGATGATACCAAAGGTCTAATTCCCTCACTTGTCTCTCTATTGCTAGCCTCGCCTTTGTCTCAGTTACTCCTCTCTTCAGGGATCTTCTTCATCCCACCACTTCTCAAAATTTCTGATCCAAGTTATCATCTGAATGGCTAAGTGCAATGTTTAAAAATGCCTCAGAATCTCCACCAGCCTGTGTGGAAGGGAGACAAAGGCCAGTGTGTGTTGTGTTCCCCTCCCTATGGACAACAAACTGTGCCTAATGAATTCTGGCCAGAGCCAAAACAATGAAATTATTTATCTCCACCTCCCCTATTGATGCACAGCAGAAATAAATATAAGGATCACCACCTTCTGTGCAAATGCAAATAAGTATACTCGCAGAAACAAAAATTTCAACCTACAATTTCAGTTTTCCTCACCTTTTGCTTACACTCTAGTGAATGCTATCAACGGATCTGCCCTGAACCTACCCTCTGTGCCTCTTCTCAAGATCATTCTCACATCGCATTATTCCCAGCCTTACTCTCTGTTGAAATTAAACTCCTTCTTCAAGGCTTACCTTAAATGCCACCTCCTCTAGGCTGTTGTCCTTGATCTTTAAAATACAATATAAACCCTCCCTCCTCTAAACCCCTTCAACACTTTGCACTTTTTTTTTTTTTTTTTTTTTTTGAGACGGAGTCTCGCTTTGTCGCCCAGGCTGGAGTGCAGTGGCACATCTCGGCTCACTACAAGCTCCGCCTCCCGGTTTCACGCCATTCTTCTGCCTCAGTCTCCCGAGTAGCTGGGACTACAGGTGCCCGCCAGCACGCCTGGCGAATTTTTTGTATTTCTAGTAGAGACGGGGTTTCACCATGTTAGCCAGGATGGTCTCCATCTCCTGACCTCGTGATCCGCCGGCCTCGGCCTCCCAAAGTGCTGGGATTACAGGTGTGAACCACCGCGCCTGGCCTGCACTTCTTGTTAGATATCACAAAAAGACTTGTGTGGTAGCTTCTTTTTTTTGTAAATTGGTTTTGAGGCCCAGGTTCACATCATTTAGACATCCTCCATAGTTCCTAGTACAGAACATGTATTTAGTACAAGTAGGAGGCTCTTAAGCACTTGCTGAAATAATAAAATACTACTTTCAATGAGCTTTTCCATACATTACTTCAGGGTATGATTATCCCAGTTTTACAAATAAAAGAGGCCCAGAAAAGTTTAGTGATTCAGAAAAGAGGCCAAATTTTCCACAGAAGCTGAGATACAAGACCCACATAAGGGGTTCAGATGTGAATGTAGGTACCCTTGAGTAACTGCTCCCACCTTTTATTGAATAACCCACTAAGAATATAAATTAGTTACTTTTTTGAGGAATCAACTTGTCAATATCTATATCAAGAGTCAAGAAATTCATAATCTGAACAGTTTATCTATTTCTAGAAAACCACCATGAGAAAATATCTAGAGATGTAGACTGACTTACACATGAAGATAACCACTGCACTGTTGTTAAAAATAGTGATGAGATGAGTAAAATCTTCTGCTTCCCCGTTGATAGACTGAAAATTCATTTTCCTCCCAAACCCCAAAGAAGTGGCAATGTAGTACAAGAAGGAATAATGTAATTAGGGGAGGGAAGGAGAGAGGGAGAGAGGGAGGGAGGGAGGGGGAGGGAGGAGAGGGAGACAGAAGGAGGGAGAGGGAGAAGGAGAGGGAGAGAGGAATAAGGGCAAAAAGACAGACTAGAAATTTTTAACTATTTTCAAAAGATGGAAATAGATGGGATTATATTGGTAAATGTACATTATTGTAGACATACTACAATGCTGATGTATCATAATCCACCCAAAGAAGCCAGGTTCAGGACCATGGGGAAAGGCTGTATGCGGCAGCCACTGCTGCTTCTTGGGAATTACAGCAGCACTGTCAAATACAAATGTAGCGTGAGGCACATATGTGATTTTAAAATTTATAGTGGCCACATTTAAAATGTAAAAAGAAACAGGTGAAATTAATTTTAATATATTTTAGCCTAATATTTCTAAAATATTATTTCAATATATAATCAATATAAAAATAGTATACATATTTATCTTTACTTTTGTACTAAGTCTTTAAAATCTAGTGTGTATTTGATACTTGCAGCACATCTCAATTCAAATAAGCCAGATTTCAAGTACTCAACAGACCAGGTAGCCAGAAGGTACCATACTGAATAGCACAGAATTAGACAACAAGGAGAGTAACGGCAGGAAGAGGAGGAGAAATCAAGGTGATGAGTTGAAGGACTGTCTATAGAACAGCTAGGCAAAACATTTTAGATATGCAAGGAGTTACAAAGTTTAACTCCTGTGTACTCTTTCTGAACAAATTACCAGGGATGATTTACAGCAAAATTAAAAAGGGTTTTAAGAAGTAGGATGACATGGCATGTGAGAAAGATTTAACTCAGGATTTCAATGAAGGCCTTGAAATTAGAACAGGAACTCTGAGGACTTAGAGAAAAATGTGTCAAGATGAAAGTCATTTTCCTATAACAAACAGTATGATTAAGAAGCTAAGTGATCTTAGTCATAAGGTAATGGCAGATGCTGTTTTTCTTCAATCAGGAAAAAAATCTCCAATTAAGATAAAAAAGGCAATTAAAAATTCCAAGGTAAACAAAAAGCAAAGACAAGGTATAAATGCAAAGGAAAGACAATGTGGCAAGTGACGGAAAGAGAATCTATTTGATCTTGATGTTTGGAATATTCTCTTTTAAATATTGCAGGCTTAATATCATCAAACTTTATTTTTGTCCTATGGGTCAAATTATGAAACTCAGCTATGCTGTGAATATTTACATGACTATAGTGTTGCAAAGAATATTCATTGTTTAATTCTTAGAATCAATCACAAACAAAACCTAAGATATTTCATAGATCTAACTGTAAATGTTATTCATCTACACAGTGAACACTTCTAAGAGAAAAAAAAATTAATTCCTTCATCTTACTTGTTGGACAGTCAAAATATCCTGTATACAGTTATAGAGGGAAAAACAGAATTTTAGGCATAAGACAAGTTTGCCTAAAGGCTTTAATGATTCAACAATATCCTGTTTTTTTTGAAAATCTAGGAAGACAAAGGGTCTAATGTCTTGGTGGCACAAAAGTGGTTTAATGAGTGAGTCACACTGCAGCCATTAAATTATCCTCAAATTTTATAATAAGCATTGTTAAGCTTATAACATTAAGTGAAATAAACTGTACCCAGGCTGGGTGCTGTGGCACACGCCTGTAATCCTGGCACAGGAGGGAGGGAGGGAGGCGGGTGAATCACTTGAGCTTAGGAGTTCAAGACCAGCCCGCGCAACATGGCAAAACCCCGTCTCTACTAAAAATACAAAAATTAGCTAGGTGTGGTGGCACGCACCTATAGTCCCAGCTACTTCGAAGCTGAGGTAGGAGGATTCCTTGAGCTCAGGAGGCAGAGGTTGCAGTGAGTAGAGTATCGCACCATTGACTCCAGCCTGAGCAATGGGAATGAAATCCTGTCTCAAAAACAAAAAACTGTACCCAAAATTGTAGAGACAATATGAAGACTGGGCAAATAGATGAAACTAGAGCTATATTTATCTGTTAGAGTTATATAATCACCTGGCTTTAGAAAGGCAATCCTGCGAAGGTTTAGGAATTTAGTTGAGAAGACAAAAGTGGTAAAAGGAAGTCAGGTGTAAGTGCTTCTAGTTGGTACTAACTCTGATCTGTCTCTCTGTAGCTAACTCCTGTTCCTCAACACACACATTTTGTAATTCATTAAATATTCAAAGGTTCAGATTCTCAAGGCTACCTGAATAATTTAGGGTGGTCTCAGCACCATTAAACTGTGCAGAATAGTCAAGGGAGAGGCTTCTTAGAAGAACTACGCCTTGAGCTGCATCTCAAAGAATGTACCAGTTTGAAAATGTTAATTTGAGAGTCCACAGAATTTTTAGTAGGCAAAAAGGAGGCAGAGGCCAGCAGCCCAGACTGAAATGCAAAGAAAATTCTCATGGAACAGAGGAAAATGATGCCAGCTGGAAGGCACGGTAACCAGAAGATAGTGGGAGACACCGACTGTCCTCATCCTACCAGCTGACACAAAGATTGGTGTTTCTCAGGGCTCTGTTTCCCAAGACAGAGGTATAACTCTCCCAAATTTGTTATCAGAGTTTCCCAGTCTCTCCTACCAATTTATATTTGATCCTCTCCGTATTAGACAGATAAACTGTCTTTTCTCCTCCACTCTTTTCCTAAGTCTCACTGTTGCCCATGAGATAAATTTCTCACTAGCAAATAATTGCATCACAGAGAACAGAGTTTGCTTACAGAGACCCAGGACAATCAACTCGACAGCTGTAAAAAATTAAAAATAACTTTAAAAATAACAGGCAGAATGACTACAATTCTTCACCCTTCATGTCTGGACTTTGAAATCAAACTGCCCGGATTAGCCAAAGTGAAAGGAATAAATCTGTTAAGGCACCTTAAATAGGGCTCCATATTCAAAACATACCCTTTATAAGCTTCCAACACCCCCTTATTCAGACTTTTTATGAGTATCATCTCACATCCTTACTCTTCAGAAAGAGATCTAATAAAAGAACAGGAGGAAATAATATAAGCACACACATGTGCCAGAAACTGAGTAACAAACCCATAAAGTACTTGTTATTCCCATTTTACAGAATAGGAAATCGAACTTCATAGAGACTGGGTGATTTGCTAGCTATGTAAATACTGGAGCTGGGATTCAAATGTAGGTACTTCTCACTTTAAAGCTCCATATTCTTCCCACCTACATCATGCTGCCTGAGAAGAGAAGAGAAGAGAAGAGAAAGGAGAATTTACCAAATCTACATTAATGAGAAGCAAGAACAGAGAGGTATGGGCTGTTCTGTTTACATCCCCTCCATATATATATATATATATATATATATATATATATATATATATATATAATTTTTTTTTTTTTTAGGAAAAGAAACAAAATATTCCTGCTAGGTAAGACTCAGAGACTCTTTCAAGATGACAAAAGTGAATAGCCTCAAATAGACCTTTCTTTTTAGAGGGGGGCATTAAGTATCAGAGCCAGGGGAGCTCTCTCATGATTCTGTCATGGCTCAAGGAAAATTTTAAGAAAAATACTGTTTACCTAGTATGACCAGAGCATCTAAGAGAATCCAGAAGGAGTGGTGAGGCAGAGAAAGGGAGGGAAAGCAGACTGACTCACTATTTGTTTTCCAAAAATAAAAAATCAAACCAAACATAGCAGGAATGAACCATCCAACTGGGTGATCTAAGGATTAACTGTCCATGTGGCCAAACGTTTAATTTAATCTTTCTGATGGACCAGCTATAAAAGAGAAGAAGAGCTCAGTATAAGACTCCTTATCAAGAGGGCACCAAAAAAAGTTGTATTTAAAGCTTTTGAGATACAGACCTAAGCAAATGGCTTGATATGAAACCCCTGGTTCTAGTTTCCAACATGCTTGCTGTGGCCAACTTCATAAGGTTGGGTTTGGAGATATGAATGTCCTCCGAGTGTCAACTACCATCTCACATTTTTATATCCTCCTCATAGGGTACAGCTGGGCGTTTTTATATGGGTCCAAACTGACATTGAAAACAATGCCAACATAATAAGGTAGAAAGAACATGGGCTTTGGAGTTGGGCAATCATGGACTTGAGCCTTGGTTGTACGATTTGAACAAGTTAATACTTCTGAGACTTCTTTTCTTCATCATTAAAATAAGGATAATTATCTTAGAACATTTATTTCTTGAGAAATAAAGTTCCTGATACATAATAGACACTTACCTAAAAGATAATCCCCATGTTAACCCTTGCTTCACACCATATACAAACATTAACTTGAACTGGATTATAGACCTAAATGTAAAAGCTAAAACATCTCCTACAAGAAAACATAGGAGAAAAATCTTTGTGACCTTTAAGTAAACAAAAAGCATAAATCATAAAAGAAAAACTGAAAACTAAGCTTCATCAAAATTCAAAGCTTTTGTTCCTCAAATGATACAATTAAGAGAAGGAAAGGGCATGACACAAACTGGGAGAACATACAGTTGAACCTTGAACAACATGGGGGTTAGGGGATGGCTCCCTCCCATGCAGTCAAAAATCCATGTACAACTTTTGACTCCCCTGAAACTTAACTACTATAAACAGTGGAATAACACATACTTAGTATGTTATATATTATATATTGCATTTTTACAGTAAAGATAGAGAAAAAAATCATAAGGAAGATTAAAATGTATTTAGTATTGATTAAGTGGAAGTGGATCATCATAAAGGTCTTTATCTTCATCTTGACATTGAGTAGGCTGAGGAGAAAGAGGAAAAGAAGAGGTTAGACTTGCTGTCTCAGCAGTGACAGAAGCAGAAGAGGTAGAAGGGGAGGAAGGGGAGGCAGGAGAGGCAAGCACACTCAGTGTCACTTTTACTGAAAAGAATCCAAGTATAAATGGACCCATGCAGTTCAAGCCCATTTTGTTCAAGGATCAGTTGTATTCACATGTTTTCACAGATTGAAGGAAATGTTTAATATATTTCTATCTTACAAAGAACTGGTATCCAGATCATAAAAGGAACTTGTACAACTCAGTAAGAAGATAAATGACACAATTTTTTAAATGGGCAAAAGATTTGAACAGATACTAGACAAAAGAAGATAGTATACAAAATGCCAGTTGGCACATGGTGCTCAACATCACTAGACATCAGGGAAACAAATGAAAACCACAATGAATACCATGACCTATAAACCCATTAGAATGACTAAAATTAAAAAGGCTGATCACACTAAGTGCTTCTGAGATTGTAAAGCAACTGGAAATCACATACACTGTTGATAGGAAAGTAAAACAATACAGTTTGGAAGTTTCTCAAAAAGTTTAACACGTATCTACCATATGACTGAGCCATTCAACTGCTGGGTATACCTGGGAGAAATGAAAATGTATGCTCCACAGAAAGATTTCCAAGTGAATGTTCATATCAGCTTTATTTAAAAGAGCCAGAAACAAGAAAGAACCCAATGTCCATCAATAGGTGGTATATCCACACAATGGAATACTACTCAGCAATAACATGGATACATGCAACAACATGGACACATCCAGAAATCACTATGCTGAGTGAAATAAGCTGCACAAAAAGTGTACATACTGTACTCCTATAAAATGCAAACTAATTTAGAGTGACAAAGAACAGAGGAGTGCTTGCCTGGGGCTAAGGGCAAAGGAAGGGAAAGACTGCAAAGGGGCAAGAGGAATCTTTTGGGGATGATGCCAATGTTCTACATCTTCAATGTAGTACTTGTTTCATGAGTACGGACAGACACCTATGAGACTCATTAAATGTACACAGATATAGTTCACTGTGTGTAAATTATCCTTTGAAGTTGATAAGGAAAAAAGTAATTTCCTTTGCCACTCCTGCTGCCACTGGAAACAAGTTAGCAAGCTACTACCTCCCATATCTCACGATCACTGGGAAAACAGGAAGCTGTATAGAAGTTGGTGAGAAAATGAGTGGTATTGCAAAAAACATTTGATTATTAATGAGGTGTCTGGTACTAAGTTACAAATCATCTTACTTAATTCTAACACTTTTGATGAGGTAGGCACTATTATCTCTATTACAGATGAGACAACAGGCTCAGAAAGTTTAAAGAACTCATTGAAAGTCACCCCGATGGTAAATGGTAGATTTGGATTCAACAATGTATGCTGGCATCAGACCAGATAAACTTACCTTCGAATGCTATTATTCCCTACAGTGCTTAGGGCATCCTCAGAAAGGAAAAGCCCTGATAGCCTAGGGACAAGAAGAGCTGCTAGAGATTTCCTTCATCAGGACTGAGAAATCCTCTCAAGTCAGGGAGTTTTTTTTCTTTTAAAAAATTTTTTTTAAGTCGGTGAGTTTTAGCAGCCTTTTTCAAAGCAGCTTGGGAGAGTGGGAGGTGGGGTACACCTCTGCTTCTGGAGCAGAGGAGAATCCTCTCACTTGGCTCCAGCATTTGCTGGTATTTTGTTAACTTTTGGCTCCTCCATGTTCACCCACCCACTGGTTTCCCAGAGTAAAAATGCCAAAATATCTTGGCTGAACAGGCGAATGGATCACAGATGACAGAGGTAAAAAAAAGAAAAAAAGAAAAAAAAAAGAAAGACAATCAAGAGGTTCTGTAATATGCTTCTTTTTAAAGGTAAAAGCAAATTGCACACGTCCTCATTCTTATTCTCTTTGAGTTGGCTGTCTTGTGAAACATTCTGTTGTCTATATTTTCATTCATCACATTGAAAAAAAAGTTAGGCAAATGGGTCATGCTGAAAGTTTAAGTAAATTTACCGTCTTCCTATTTCAGACCAGCTGTAGTCCATCTCCCCTGAAGCCTGGCCAACAGATCAAGGAGAACATGGCTTGAGCTGCAAAAACAGACCAGAGAGAGAAACCCTGGGAAACTAGGCTCTAGCGGGTAGCTCAGGAGGGGAACCCACACTGCAGAGGAAAAGTAAAGAGGCCTGGGTGCCGGGATTAACTCTAATCATCCGTGAGACTCTGGCAAGACATGCTCTCCCTCAGAACCTCCAAAGACTGGAGTGATCAGGTTTTTCAACTTTTAACAAAGGCCCAGCGTTTCTAACCAAATATAATCTCCCTAAACCCTCAGTTTCTCATGCACTTCCTCTTTGAGGATTGCTCTGCTGCCTGTTTATTCCTCAGAAACCAAGTTTCACTTTCTGAAATCTGTTATAAAGCCAGGCGACTTTTCATTGTTACACTATAAATTATGATACCAAATAAAAACTTCTAAAAAGTATATACAAGGATAATCTGAAATTCAGCCATAAGCCTGAGTGTGTGTCATTGAGAGTTAGGAACTAAATGCTCTAAAACAAACTGTGATGTTTTCTGGTTGTTCCTCATTTCCATTCCTGACTTAGCCTGAACTGCAATTTTACTAAAGCTCCTTTGCTTCCCCTTCACACACGTTAAGAATTCACCACAGGAACATGTGCTTTTGTGCTCATTGAACTAAAGCCTCCTCCCCAAACTATGCTCTGCCAAGTTGTTTCCGGTAAGCAACTTTGGAAAATAAAAATTCCCTAGACATTTTGAACAGTGGTTTGAGAGGAAGACACACAACCCGACAGGGGAACTGAAACATTCCCCCTTGTGTCCACTTCTGTCCTGGGAGGATGGGGGAAGGAAGTCGTGGAAGAAGCTTTTTAGAGGAAACAGACTCGCAGGACTTTTGCTGCAAACAATTGGGTACTGTATCCAGCTGTTGACCGAGGCAACTGTCAGCTCAAAACCATGCAGAGAACAAGGGAGCCAGAGTTCCTTCTCCTAAAATACGACAGGACTACACTTCTGTTTCACATGTCATAGCCTAGTACCTGTATTCTAGCCCTTGAGCCCATTCTCAGTATTAGAAGGGGCCTTCGGCATCATTTACCCAGTGGCCTTTTTTTTTTTTAATAAGTGGAATTATTTATTTCTACATACAAGATTTCGTATAGAAGCATAACATAGAAGTAAAAGCAGAACTGCTCTAGGGGGCAGGGGATGCAGGCAGAGAGCTCTGCCAGCTGAGCTACTGTCATCCCTTTCATCAGGCACCTCTCTGGATTCCCAGGTGGCCCTGGGTCTTTGTTTATAAGGTCTTTGTTGATTCTCAGCCTGGGATTCATGGTACTTGTGGAGAGTACAGATGAACACACAAATGACCATGCCCTTCATTTGATTCAGTAGAGGGGTGGTATGAGCTTTCGTTCTCACATCTTCTCCTTCAATAATCTCATTAACTCCCAGTGCTTCATTTACCATTTCTACGTGAAATAGTCTCACATTGTACATTTTTAGACACTATCTCCCTACTGAAAGCCAAGCATCTAAAGCATACTGCTGGGAGAAGACAAGCAGGGAGCTAGGTAAGTAGATAGGGAACTGGAAGTCTGGCAGCAGAATTCCAAGTGTTTGGTCCCCAAATCCAGGACCAGGACTCTAATTCCAAGGAGACTGGTGAGAGAAAAGAATAATGGGAGTCTTTAAAGAATCAAAGTACAAAAACTTGTACTTTGACAGGGACTTGACCAAAAGGAACCAAGCAAGAGCCAATTCTAAAAAGAATTGGGGGGCCAGGTCGAGCGCAGTGGCTCACACCTGTAATACCAGCACTTTGGGAGGCCGAAGTGGAAGGATCACTTGAGGTCAGGAGTTCAAGACCAGCTGGGCAGCACGGTGAAACCCCGCCTCTACTAAAAATACAAAAAATTAGCCAAGTGTGGTGGTGGGCACCTTTAATCCCAGATACTTGGGAGGCTGAGGCAGGAGAATCACTTGAATCCGGGAGGCGGAGGCTGCAGTAAGCCGAGATGGCGCCATTGCACTCCAGCCTGGGCAACAGGACTGAGACTCCGTCTCAAACAAACAAACAAAAACACACAACCACACAAAACAACTGGGGGCCAAAGTCAGACGGGGACTAGCTTTAAGGCTGACTTGATGCCGACTCCCAGAAGCCTGGATCAGGCTCTTAAATCTCATACCACGTCATCCCCGTTACATGCAGGATGACTTCACAGAACCCGTCATAAGGCACTAGAGGACAGAGCTCAGCAGGGCTTCACAGCTCGGCGTGTCTGTGCCCTGCTTGCCTAGCAAGTTGAAAGCATGTGATAAGCTGAAAGGATGCAGACCAGACACTCCTAACACTTTTTGGGTCACTCACTGAGAGACCAAATAGCCATTTCTCCCTTCACCCTTGTTACAGAATTCATATTTTGTTCAGAGGACTGGTGGAGATCTGATGTTATCAGGGAAGGTAAATCCCCTCCCTTTGCCCCAGGGGCTGAATCAAAAGCAATTATACAAATCCCATTCCTCATTGATGGGAATGATCTAGAGGTGGGCATGTGACCTATTGCTAGCCAAAAAAAACATAAGGGGTTTTCTGAGGGAAAGTGCCTGATTTTCCTGGTGACATGCTTGAGCCACTGAAAGAATGCTGAAACTTCCAGCCTCTTACTTTGCTAAATGAATATCAAAGTCCTTGTGATTTAAGTCACTATTAGTCAGATTCTCTGTTAACTGCAGCTAAAAGTTCTCCTGACCTGCTGACCCACTTGATAATCAGATTAAAACTGTGAGTCCTATATCCTGCAACCTCTATTATATGGGTACATAGAGTATTTTGCCTATAATTTTTTAAGGTTCACAGACTTCAGATCAAGAATCCTTATGCAAGACCAGTAGTCCTCAAAAAGTGGTCCCCATACCAGCAGCATGAGCATCATCTAGGAGCTTGTTACACGTGTATCTTCTCCAGCCCTACCCCAGATCTACTGAATCACAATCTCTGGGAATGGGAGCCAGGAGTGGTGGCATGCACCTGTAATCCCAGCACTTTGGGAGGCTGAGGTGGGCGGATCACTTGAGATCAGGAGTTGCAGACCAGCCTGGCCAACATGGTGAAACCTCGTCTGTACTAAAAACACAAAAATTAGCTGGGCATGGTGGTGTGTACCTGTAATCCCAGCTACTCGGGAGGCTGAGGCAGGAGAATCACTTGAACCCAGAAAGCGGAGGTTGCAGTGAGCCAAGATTGTGCCATTGCACTCCAGCCTGGGTAAAAGAGTGAGACTTTGTCTCAAATAAAAAGAAACACTGGGAGAAACTGGGGATGGGGCCCAACAATGTATATTTTACAGACTAATGATACGATTCATGATAAAATCTGAGGACCACTGCTTTGAGCCCAGCATTATTCAATAGAACTTCCTGTGATAATAGAAATGTTTACATCTGTGCTGTCCAGTATGGTTTCCACTAGCAACATATGTCTACTGAGCACTTGTGGCTAGTACAACTCAGAAACTGAATTTTTAATTTTACTTGGTTTTAATTTATTAAAATTTAAATAACTGCCTATGGCTAATGACTACTGTATTGGACAGTGCAGCTCTAGATAACTTGGTTTTATTAAAATTTAAATAACTGCCTATGGCTAATGACTACTGTATTGGACAGTGCAGCTCTAGATAAACATAAGGTATTTTATATTATCAGATAACTCCTGGTACTGAACTACAAAATAAAGAAGTGGTTCTCAAACTTCAGTATGCATCAGAATCACCGGAAAGCTTGGTAAAACACAGACTGAAGGCTCCCAGCCTAGAATTTGTGATTCAGTAGCTCTGGCTTGGGGGCCTGAGAATTTGCATTTCTCAGGGGATCTTACGTGATGTTGGTGCTGTTGGTCCAGGGATGGCACTTTGAGAACTACTGAAATAAGGAAAACTTGCTGTCTTCCTATAACCTGTACCTTGGGCCCAGCAGGTGCTTATTATTGAAAGAATGATGGCTACCCTCTAATAAAGGAACACTTTTGGAAGTGTCTACTGTGTTCCAGAGACCATGATTACCTCCTCATAATCATCAGGTGGCAGGCTGTACGTTTTGAAAGAGATTCACAGAAAGGTTTGCTCAAGGCACTCAAGTCTTATTGCTTACTTCTCTGTATTTTAAAGTATTAATTCATAAATTGTTTAGATCTAGGCAAGTTTGTGAAAGAATATGTGATACTAGTACAGACCATATGTACTGTACTGTATCATATCATATGTATTGTATCATATATGACATATATATTATATATATATACATACAGAATTGCTGAAAACTAAAATGTTCAAGAGTTAAAAAGGCTTTTGACACTGCAATGGTGGCATGAACGACAACAGGACTGGTCATCTGGAGTGGGGGCTAGGCTTTCTCTAACACCACAAAGGAAATCATCTATGCCAAAGACCTGGTCTGGACAGCAATACAGCTTTCAAGCATTAATGGGAAAGGCAAGAATCAAGGACAAACACACAGGGGACTTTTCTGAAGGTCAAAAAAGCAACAATAAATACCAAACCCAGAAAAGCTTTTAAATCTGACCTTTTCCTGTGCTGAAGCCATTCGCCTTCCAGCATCTTCAATCTAATAGACTGAAGTGGGCTGAAATGGCTCTTAGGAGAGAACTGGGGCTAGTCTTTTCCTTAATGCTGCCTCTTCACCACTACTCAAGCAGCAGCAGCATTACTGGTAATTACATCATTATACCATAATGGAACACATGCGGTGCAAGTGAAACAGCCTGGCGGCTCCCCAGTTGAGGAGAGAAGAAAAGGACTCCACTTTCACTGTTCAATTTCTATTAACTCTCTAGGTTCTGGCTTATTTTCAAAGGCAAACCACCTTTATGACATTTCACAATCTTAAAACAGAGACCACAGACGTGGAGCTTACTTAAAGATCAGGAGTGAAGTTAATGCATTAGTGTAATAGAGATCCTCCACGGGAATAGGGATTAGGAGATGTGGGTCCAGTTCTGGCTTTGCTAAAAGCACTTTATGTGACTTGAGGGAAACCATATTTACATCTTTTAGGTTTCAGTTTCCTCATCTATAAACAACAGCAAAGTTTCTGGGCAGGGGATCCCAAAACGTCCCTGTGGGCAATTTGAGATTGGCACGAATGATCACAAGAGCTCTCCCACCCAACTGTAACCTTCTGTTATCAAAAAAGATTCCATGAACAGGAGAGACAGGAGTGAAATAGTATTTGGAAGGCCAACTCTATTTGATCTTCACCAGTTAACCAGATGAGAATTCTTGCCTCTACTCTGACCCATGTATCAGTGTCAGGTCATCTTTATCAACATCCACAGCAACATTTCAAGAGACCAAGCTCAGGCGGGGCATGATGGCGCATGCCTGTAATCCCAGTGCTTTAAGAGGCTGAGACAGTAACATCACTTGAGCCCAGGAGTCCGAGGCTATAGTGAGCTATGATTGCGCCACCGCTCTTCAGCCTGGGAAACAGAGAGAGACCCTGTCTCACTTAAAAAAAAAAAAAAAAAAAAAAAAGACCAAGCTCAGAACTCATTAAATGATCACAGGTCTTCTCAGAGAGAGAAAGTACACAGAAGTACCAAGTATACTGAGATTAAAATGAGGCAACTGAGGTTCTTGATGTCACAAACTCCTTATAGGACCCTGGCTGGGTCAGTCACTTAACCTTAGCCAACTCATCTTTAAGACACAGTGGCTGGGTGTGGTGGCTCGTGGCTCATGCCTGTAATCCCAGCCCTTTGGAAGGCCGAGGCAGGTGGATCACTTGAGGTCAGGAGTTCAAGACCAGACTGGCCAACATGGTGAAAGCCCGTCTCTAATAAAAATACAAAAATTAGCTGGGTGTGGTGGTGTGTGCCTGTAATCCCAGCTACTCAGGAGGCTGAAGCAGGAGAATCACTGGAACCTGGGAAGTGGTGGTTGCAGTAAGCCAAGATCATGTCACTGCACTCTAGCCTGGGTGAAAGAGCAAGACTCCATCTCAAAAAAAAAGAAAAAAAAAAAAAAGACACAGTGGTGGAAGGGGTGATGTTTAGAAATTAGACCCCTTCAGCTCAAGCAGTTTATGATTTTGTTATCTCTGTACAAGTTTCAAATGCTACTACTGGATATTGGGGCACTTGAGGGTGAGAGGTTAGTACTAACAACATGGTAACAATGCCAAATCCTGCAAGACAGAAATGTTTATGTTTTCTTATAGTATTCTTAAGGTTTTCTCACATGCAAGGAAAAAAATATTACCTATAGCAGACCTCAAGAATCAAAACATGCAAAACTACATATTAATTGTTTCATATCTCAGAATCTTCCCTTTTTAGCATCCCAAAAGAAAGTCAAATTATGTTCTTTCTGGTTGTCTTCTGGTCCACCTATAGTAGGTATAAGACTTTGGTTTTGAGCAATTAAGTTAGCCTAGATACCATGAATGACACTCCCAAAGAAAACAACTTAAAAGCTAAATAAAATATTCTTAAATAGTAATTTTGAAAATGAGTCATGCTGTCAAGAAGTAAGGAATCTGTAGAGAACAAAAGTTAAATGAAAGCAGGTGGAAGCAACCTGAATATTCACTGACAAAGAGTGGATTAAAAAATGTGGTTTATAGATACAATGGAATATGATTTCAGCCTTAAAAGGAATGGCATTCTGAAATGTTACAATATGGATGAATTTTGAAGACTTACGCTAAGTGAAATAAGCTGGTCACAAAAGGACAAATACTGTATGATCCCATTTATATAACATACCTAGAATCAAATTCATAAGGACAAAAAGTAGAACAATGGTTGCCAGGGATTAGGGGTTGGTGAGTAGGGGGTAATAGGGAGTTTCTGTTTAATGGGTACACAGTTCCAGTTTTGTAAGATGAGAAGTTCTGGAGATGGATGGTGGTGATGGTCATGCAACAATGTGAATGTATTTAATGCCACTGAATTGTTCACTTAAAAATAATTTTGATGTTATATATGTTTCATTCACCACAATAAAAAAAATAAGTGAAAGCAGAAATTCTGGAAAGAAAGAGAGCACTAAAACCATTTTTTGCCCTGAGGTTATTTATGTAACAAACACTAGTGACAATTGTGATGACTGTTTCAAGTGTGGGCAATACATCTACAGCACTGAAAGGAACCATAAAAAAACTGACCTGTCTTGACCACTAGAAAAGAAGTAATGTCTTTTGGTTCCAAAAGCAATGGCAACAAAAGCCAAAATTGACAAATGGGATCTAACTAAACTAAAGAGCTTCTGTACAGCAAAAGACACTACCATCAGAATGAACAGGCAACCTACAGAATGGGAGAAAATTTTTGCAATCTACTCATCTGACAAAGGGCTAATATCCAGAATCTACAAAGAACTCAAACAAATTTACAAGAAAAAAACAAACAACCCCATCAAAAACTGGGCGAAGGATATGAACAGACACTTCTCAAAAGAAGATATTTATGCAGCCAACAGACACTTCTCAAAAGACATTTATGCAGCCAACAGACACATGAAAAAATGCTCATCATCACTGGCCAGACAAATGCAAATCAAAACCACAATGAGATACCATCTCACACCAGTTAGAATGGTGATCATTAAAAAGTCAGGAAACAACAGGTGCTGGAGAGGATGTGGAGAAATAGGAACACTTTTACACTGTTGGTGGGGCTGTAAACTGGTTCAACCATTGTGGAAGACACTGTGGCAATTCCTCAAGGATCTAGAACTAGAAATACCATTTGATCCAGCCATCCCATTACTGGGTATATACCCAAAGGATTATAAATCTTGCTGCTATAAAGACACATGTACATGTATGTTTATTGCGGCACTATTCACAATAGCAAAGACTTGGAACCAACCCAAATGTCCATCAATGATAGACTGGATTAAGAAAATGTGGCACATATACACCATGGAATACTATGCAGCCATAAAAAAGGATGAGTTCATGTCCTTTGTAGGGACATGGATGAAGCTGGAAACCATCATTCTCAGTCAACTATTGCAGGGACAAAAAACCAAACACCGCATGTTCTCACTCATAGGTGGGAATTGAACAATGAGAACACTTGGACACAGGAAGGGGAACATCACACACCGGGGCCTGTTGTGGGGTGGGGGGAGGGGAGAGGGATAGCATTAGGAGATATACCTAATGTAAACGACAAGTTAATGGGTGCAGCACACCAACATGACACATGTACACATATGTAACAAACCTGCATGTTGTGCACATGTACCCTAGAACTTAAAATATAATAATAATAATAATAATAATAATAATAATAATAAAGTGACCAAAAAAAAAAAAAAGAAGTAATGTCTTTCCTAAAAGTCTGTAATCAAAATCTGGCTCTAATGCAAGTTTGTGATCAAATTCATGATACTTCAAGTGAAGATCTAAAAGTAGTCCAGGATTAATAATGTCCTGAGGCTACTGGAGGCAGCAGCCTCTAATCCATTCTGGTAGAATAAATGTTTAACCTAGGCCTCAAATAGCTTCCACAGGTAAAGTCCTAAGGAACACTTGCTGTTAAAAGTAAAACAAAAACATATATGGAAATAAGCCATAATACCATAATGAATGACAGCCAGGAAAAACTGATGACAGAATCGTATCTTCAAAGACTTCACATGTTGGAATTAGAGACAGAATATAAAATTTTTAAGATTTAGAAGAGAAGCTTGAAAAAATTAGCAAACGAGAGTATAAAAAAGAACTAAATACTTTTGAAAACAAACCAAACTGAATGTCCAAAAATGAAAATTACAATTGAAATGAAAAAGTCCATGGTCAAGTTAAACAGATTAAATAGAGCTAAAGAGTTAGTCAACTGGAAGAGCAATCCAAAGAAATTCCATAGAATGTGACCAAGAACTAAAGATATGAAAAAATCAGAGTTTAAGAGACGTGGATGATAGAGTAAGAGGGTCTAACATATATCTAATCTTGTAACTGAAGTTCAATAATTAAATAAGAGAGGATGGAGTATTATTCTATGCCTGCCTTTGGCTGGTATGTTTTCAGAACCATTGAAAGAATACCAAACCGCATATCCAGTAAGCTAAACAAATGTCAAGCAGGATAAATAGAAACCACATATGGTAATGAAATTGAATACCAAAGACAAAAAAGAAGACATTAAAAGAGAAACAAGAGATCACCTGCAGAAGAATGGCAATTAGACTATCAGCTAACTCCTGAACAGCAACAGTGAAATCTAGAAGATCACAGAATAATTTTTCAATGTGCTAAGAAAAAATAACTTTCAATGCAGAAGTCAATAGCCATTCAAACTCAATGAATGCAAAATAAAGATATTTTCAGACAAAAAAACAGAAATTGCCACAGACAGACTCTCACTAAAGGCAATTCTAAAGGATATACTTTAGGAAGAAAAATAATCCCAGATGGAAGGTCTGACATAAAAGAAAACAAAGACGAGCACAGATATTGATAAATACATGGGAAATCTGAACACTTCCAGTGTAAAACAAGAATATTATTTTAAGTGGGTATAAATAAATAAGATAGAAAATACCGGCCAACAATAACATAAGTTAGGAGGAGTGATTCAAGTTTAGGTATGCTAAGATTCTTACATGATTTGGAAGAAGGGTGTAGTGCGTTGAATGGTCCCTTCCCAAAAGATATGCCCATGTCCTAATCCCTGGAACCTGTGAATATTACCTTATATGACATAAAATGTGATTAAGTTAAAGGTCTCAGACCCTTAGGCCATATAAGATAATATTCATAGGCAGCACTTCTCTTGGAGAATTCAGGGAAACTCTAAATGTAATCATATGTATCCATATAAGACAGAGATAGAGGAAGAACAGACAGAGGGACAGAAGAGAGAGGAGGAAGAGACAGTGTGACCATGGGCAGAGATTGGAGTGATGCAACCATGAACCAAGGAACATCTGGAGCCACCGGAAGCCAAAAGAGGCAAAAGATTTTCCCCAGTGCTTTCAGAAGGAACACAGCGCTGTAACACCTGGATTTATTCTCTCCTGAACTGTAAGACGATAAATCTCTATTGTCTTAAGCCAACAAATTTGTAGTCATTTGTTACAGCAACTACAAGAAACTACTAAGGGCCTGGCATGATAGCTCAAGCCTGTGATCCTAGCATTTTGGGAGGCCAAAGCTGGCACAGTACTTGAGACCAGCCTGGACAATATGACGAAGCCCTGTTTCTGTATTTAAAAAAAAAAAAAAGAAGAAGAGGAGGAGGAAAGAAAAAAGAAACTAATACAGAGAGTAAATATACTGCTATACTTTAGGCCAAATTAAAAAATTAAAATGTATGTGCTGATAAAGAGCTCAAATCTCCCTAAATGAATTTATTAATTTAACATAAACTCAGTAAAAACACCATTTTTTTGGCCAGGTGTGGTGGCTCATGCCTGTAATCACAGCACTTTGGGAGGCTGAGGCAGGTGGATCGCCTGAGGTCAGGAGTTTGAGACCAGCCTGGCCAACATGGCGAAAACCTGTCTGTACTAAAAATACAAAAATTAGCTGGGGGTGGTAGCATGTCCCTGTTAATCCCAGCTACTCAGGAGGCTGAGGCTGGAGAATCGCTTGAACTTAGGAGGCGGCAGTTGCAGTGAGCCAAGATCTTGTCACTGCAGTCCAACCTGGGCAACAGAGCAAAACTTCGTCTCAAAGAAAAACAACAACAACAACAACAACAAAAAACCCACCATATTTGTTCTAAATAAGAGAATACAATTGTAAAGTTCATAAAGAAAAACAAGAATAGCAGAGGACACTATTACAACCATATGGTAAAACACACCTCATTAATCAAAACAAAGCGTATTGCTATATATATTTTATAAGTATACAGACTAATGGAATTTAATACTTAGTGAGTTCACAAATGGTTACTAATGCATAAAATGCTTAGATTATGATAGAAGTAGCACCTCAAATCCATGGGAAAGATTTAATGACACTGTTAAAAATAAAGCTGAAACAAAGTTGAACCTGTACCTCTAAGCATAGATCAGGAAAAATTCCAACTGGATCAGATTTAAATGTAATATAAAATGAAATTATAAAACATAGTACATTTCTTTTATAGCCTATAAGAGGGAAAGTCTATTACCTAAAATCCAGAAACCATAACAATGATTGTTATAGTGACTACACAGAAACCTATAAATCTAAAAATGAAAACTATTTTCAAATCCTGCATGGCAACACGGACACACCCCCCCACACCCACACAAATGCCTATGGACAAAGCAAGGAAAAAAATGGTAACTTGGGTTAGAAGTCATAAATATTTCGCTAAAATTCACAATTCCTATTACAAAGGGCTAATCTCCTACATAAAGAGCTCCTACAAATCAGTAAGAACATTAACCCTGCAGAAAAATAAGCAAATGTTCACAGACAAATAACTATAAATGATTTTTAAACATGTGAAAAGATCAATGTTGACTTACAAAAGGAATACAAATTAAAAATACACTTAAATATTACTTTTCTCTCATTAGACTGGCAAACATACAGAACTTTGGTAATCATCTTGGCAAGACTGTGGAAAAAGAGGCAGGAGTGTAAATAGTTACAAACCCTCTGGAGAGCAATGTGGCAAAATTACATATAATCTACCAAAAGTGTAAGAGTATATATCCTTTAACCAGGCAATGCCAGAAACTTATCCTAGAGATAAACTAACATGTGCACAATGACATATGTGCATTTTGGGATCTATTTAAAAGAGTAATATTGAAAACAATGTAAATGCTCATCAGTAAAGACTTAGTTATGCCTTCACCAATTGATGTACTACCACTCAGCTGCTTTTTAAAAAGGCATGGGGAAGAAAACTGTTCATGTATCAATATGGAAAGAGCATCAAGATATATTATGAAGTAAAAAAAAAAAAAGCAAGTATAGAGAAAGTTGTCCTTTATTTGTATAAATGGAGGAGTTAATACGTATTTGTATGCGTATTTATAATCTCTATTAGATATATTCTAACATATCTAATATGTTAACAGGCCAACATACATTATAAAGATAAATACACCAGGTTATTAGAAATGAGCAGATGGTGGCAGAAGGATAGAGAAGAGACTTCTCACAGTATACTTTTCAAATATTTTGTGTTTAAGCCATGTGCATGTATTATCTATTAAATTTAAACATTTTAATAAGTATGCATAATAAAATACCTAGAGTAACTTCTAATGAAGTAGTTAGAGTGTAACTTCCAAATAAGCAGAGGGATAAAAAGGAAATTAGAAAAAGGAAACAAAATGTTCAATCCAAAAGGTAAGATTAAAAAAAACAACAGAAAATTTCAGTGTAAGGTAAGGTACAACACTACACGGTTGCAACAAATCAAAACATTTCCATAATCACAATAAATGTAAATCAATTTAATTCACCATTTAAAAGATAAAGCCTGTCTCACTGTATTAACCACAATAAATGTGAATTAACTAAATTCTCAAGTTAAAAGAAAGACTTTCCAGACTAAACAAAAACATAATCTAGCTACATACTGTTTTTTAAAGATACACCTAAAATACAAGAGCACAGGTAGGTTGAAATCAAAGGATGGAAAAAATTACATAAAGCATATACATTACTCAAAAGAATGCTGCTGCAGGTATATGACTACCAAGCAAAAAAAGATATTAAGGTAAAAAGGCAAAGAGGGTCAGGCACTTCACAAAGATAAGAGGTTCAAAGGCCCAGAAGTCATGTACTTCTAAAAAGTATGTGTACCTAGTAATATGGCCTCGAAATATATAAAGCAAGAATTGCCATTACTATAAGTAGAAAGTGACAAGTCCATTACATAATGGGAGATTTTTAAACAACCTCCCAGTAACTAATATAAAAAAGATGAGGCTCCTTTTGCCAACTCAAGTTAACCTTCCTTGGAACTAGATCACCATATCAGATACACAATTTCTTACTTAATTCCTAAGAAAATTAATCAGAACGGAAAGACATTCTTCCTGTCTGGTTCTGGTGACCAGTATTCAAACACAGAAATGAGAAGTTACACATGAGCTGCATAAGCAACCACATAGCTAGAGACTAACACTAATGGCTTTGTCAGCAATTCTGTGTGCTTATGCTTCAATTAATCTCTAAATTCCTCAAGGGAAGATGTTGGTCTCTTACACACATTTGTATCACTTCCCATACCTACCACACTGCCTGGTATATAGTAGGTGCTCAATAAATGTTTTATGAGTCATCTACTAAAATACTCCTCTTAAAAATATGTATTCTCTCCAACATCTATGAAGCACCTATTACATACCAGGTACTGTGTTAAGTACTGAGAATACACAGATGAATAAAAATGTCTGCTTTCCAGGGGACCACAACCTAGTAAAAGATAAATAGAAATATATTTTCTTTTTTTTTTTTTTTTGAGACAGGGTCTCACTTTGTTGCCAAGGCTGAAGTGCAGTGGGACACCCACAGCTCACTGCAGTCTTCACCTCCCAGGCTTAGGCAATCCTCTCACTTCAGCCTCCCAAGTAGTTGGGACTATAGGCACGCACTACTATGACCCTGCTAATTTTTGTATTTTTTGTAGAGATGGGGTTTTGCCACGTTGCCTAGACTGGTCTCGAATTTCCAAGCACAAAATCCACCCACCTCAGCCTCCCAAACTGCTGGAAATGTAGGCATGAGCCACTGTGCCTGGCTTAGAAATACATTTTCTTAAAAAGCTGTAAGTAGAGTTTTAAATGGAGTGGTAGATATACAAGCCCAGTGAAAGTACCCACAGACCTAAGGGAAAGGTTCTCACCCATTTAACATATATTTATAAGCACTTACTGTATGCCAGAATCAGGTAGGTGTTAAGAAGAGATATTTGAGTTAATTCTTGTCAAGCAGATGTGGGGTTGAAGTCAGACAGAAGGTACTAAGGGCAATGAGAAAAAAGAATGTAAGGTCCAGGAGAAAAATGTGATTTGCTTGAAGTCAAAGAGCTTGGATAAAGACTAGAACCTACATTCCCTAGTGTCCTTTCCACATTGCTTCTGGAATTCCTGGCCTCAAGCTATCCTCCCACCTCCGCCTCCCAAAGTACTGAGAATATAGGCATGAACCACCGCATGTGGCTCCCACATTGCTTCTCTACACTCCTTCCCCTTAGAACCATCTTTACTCCAATACAGATTCCTATCTAGGTCAATGGATTTTGACAAAAATTCAGTAAGAAATGTCTTTTAAATTGTAGCACAGTATCTATAAATACAATGAACTTAAAAGTTTCAATAAATATCCTTAACTGGACACAATACATGCTACTTTTTGTATACTATTTTACTTTGAAAATACTGGTAGCAACTCATTACCATTGATTTCATCACCTACGAATAGAGCTCAATCCCCATTTTGTAAAATGCTTATTGCTTGCAGTGGTTATTCTACCTCTAGCTTCTCACTTAATAGCCATCCCCCCAAATTCCTCTCCAAACATATTACTAACAACTATGATAGCAAATGCTGTGATAGGCCTTGAGTTTGCTATATGTGTTTAAGTTCTTCAAAAAAGCATAAACCAGGGATTTTATCAAACTTTCCTGAGAAATTTTCCCCAAACTATACATATTTACTACATATCTACTGATATCAGAAGATTCAGTAGATACAGAGTGAGATTTGGACATATGTAATGTTGGGAAAAGCTTCCCAGGTAATAGCACCTTTTTAAAAATATATATATATACGTCTATATAGTATTTTGCAAGTAGGTGGCAATGCTATGCTTGAAATACAAGGGTGGGAATGGCTGCAGTCATTTTTTTTATTTCAACAGGGTTTTGGGGAACAGGTGTTATTTGGTTACATGAATAAGATCTTTAGTGGTGACTTCTGAGATTTTAGTGTACCTGTCACCCCAAGGTGATAGCAACTTAATGATCTGAGGTCCCTTCCACTGTTATGAAACAAATATTTGTGTAGGAAAAGGAGTCTGGTAACGGACTAGACACAGACAAGAAAATGAAATCTCAGATAAGCAGAGGGACTTAAGTGTGATTAAAAAGCCACCAGTAAGGCAGGCATTAGAATCCAGCTCACCTGATTGCCAGTCCATTTCAGAAAGTTCCCACTAGGAAAATGAAGTCTCCCTATCAGTGTCCCTTCTCCTTCTGCAGTGACCTTTTCTTTATCAGAAACTCCCCAGGGCACCTTGGCTTACTAAATGCTAATTAGATTTCCTCCACCTGCTCTGGGATTTAGAGGGCAGTGCTAATGCAGCGCCCTCCTCAACTAACAAAGCCACTGGCATTCCTGGTATGCAGGGGCTGGCCTCCAGTTTAGTCAACATCAATTAAAGGGCTCCTATCCAAAGCCCTAAGGAGGAAGACAGAAAAGGGAGGGGTATTCCTTGATCCAAAAAATGAAGTACAGTCACTGATTGGGATTGATTGTTACTGTGGAGCTGGGTGGGACCAGGGAAAATTCTGGGAGGTAGGAATGGAATCTGGGTGAGGCAAGCAAACTGATGACCATTCATCATCTTCTCACTCCCCCAAGGAATGCTATTGTTGAGCTTGAGGGGATGAAGCCTTGGATCGCAAAAAGCCTTCATCCAAAAATAACTTAAGAAACACTTCCCTTTCTCTTCTTGTTTCAATACACAGGTCCAAATTCCGCAGTCCAGAATGACAAGTCCTCCATAATTCTATCCCGCTCTATGGAGGCATCAGAATTTCGTGAATATTCAGCCACTAACTGGCAAAGTTCAGCCTGGATGTTCAGCCATTAACTGCTGTGTAATTATGGACCAGTTACAGTTTTCTCTGGGCTTTGATTTTTCTCATTTGCAGCACTCAGTTGATTTCAAAATTAAATAAGACAATGAATATACATATGTTTTATAAACTATAAGGTGGTGTAGAGTTCTAATACAACTCCTAACACAAACTCAATTCAATGCAAACATTTACTGAGTTCCTAGAATAGTGTTTATACAGAGTTGGCACACAAACATTATCAAGTATTAGCTGTTAGATGCACAAAAACCATACCGAGTTCTTAATGATAGGGAAATCACAGTCCAGTGTAGGAGACAAGCTCTTTAACATAATATGATGAGTACTAAAATAGGCTGGGCACAGTGGCTCACGCCTGTAATCCCAGCACTTTGGGAGGCCGAGGCAGGTGGATCACCTGAGGTCAGGAGTTCAAGGCCAGCCTGGCCAACATGGCGAAATTAGATTTCCGTCTCTACTAAAAATACAAAAATTAGCCAGGTACAGTGGTGCATGTCTGTAGTCCCAGCTACTTGGGAGGCTGAGGCAGGAGAATTGCTTGAACCCAGGAGGTGGAGGTTGCAGTAAACTGAGATCACACCACTGTATTCCAGGCTGGGCGACAGAGCAAGACTCCATCTCAAAAAAAAAAAAAAAAAAAAAAAAGATGAGTACTAAAATAGAATATGCACAAAGTGAGGATGGGGGGTTAATTTACCCTGCTACCAAAGAGCAGGGGTTAAGGATTATCAAAAACCTTCTATATTCACTATATTTTCTCCAAGCCCTATCCCCAATTACATTCTATTCCCCATCCAGACTATGATGGCGAATAGAATGTAATTGGGGATAGGGCTTGGAGAAAATATAGTGGAGAAGCAACTCAAATGGTTGCTTCTCAAATGATCCTCCAGAACAACATATTCATTAGAATCTCCCCATCTTTATTCACAAAGTTACATGAGAAATTTTAAAAACCCACTAACCATCCAAGGAGTATTTAAGCTTCCATTATGTGCAAGGTATTCTTAAGGATGCAAAAAAATACAAGACAGGTCCCTGAACCCAATGAATTTACCATCTAGCAAGGGAGATAAGTCATATACAAAATTATGATACTAAGGTATATTCCTGAGCCATACAGTATCTCAGGGGTAAAGGGGAACATAGCTCAAATATCTGGAGGAGCTCCAAATTGAAAACTTCTGTTTTCTTTTCCCCCATCAACTTGGACCAAGAGTCACAAATACATTCTTCCTCCATCTAGCAATATCCTTTAACCTACTTTGTGCCAGACAACATTCTGGTCATGAGAAAAAAGCAATGAACAAAACAGACAAAAATCCTGCCTTCGAAGGGCATATGGTCTGGAAGTGTAAAGGGTCAGGTAGGTACATATATGAGTGACTGGTGTGTGCATGTATGTGTGCGTGCGTGCATGTGATACAGCAGACTAGAAAGCATATGCTTTGGCTTAAATGGAAAGCTACCACCCAGTTCCAGCTAATTGCTGCTAGGCAGAAATTTGGGCCCAGTGTTCCCAGATCTGGAAGCTGGACATTTTACGGATTTTATGTAAGAGATCTCAGCTTTTAACAATCTACGACTAATTAAAAGTGTTTAAAACACTGCAGGCCAAGCAAAACACTTTATAGATGGAATTCAGGCTAAAGATACCAGTCTATAATCTGTCTTAGAACATGTATCATGATTTTTGGCTTAGAGATGCAGTCACTTCATATAGTGTTATAAACCAAGTGCTACTGGGCTGCAGGCAGAAGATCCAGCCTCTCAGCCAGTATTAAGGAGGTGAGAGCATTTAGCCTGAGCTCCTTCAGAAAACATCTCAGAATATGTCAGTGCTTAATTTTCTTTTTCTTTTTTTTTTTTTTTTTTTTTGAGACGGAGTCTTGCTCTTCCCCCCAGGCAGTGGCGCTATCTCTGCTCACTGCAAGCTCCGCCTCCCGGATTCACGCCATTCTCCTGCCTCAGCCTCCCGAGTAGCTGGGACTACCGGCACCCGCCACTGCGCCCGGCTAATTTTTTGTATTTTTAGTAGAGACGGGGTTTCACCGTGTTAGCCAAGATGGTCTCAATCTCCTGACCTCGTGATCCGCCCGCCTCGGCCTCCCAAAGTGCTGGGATTACAGGCGTGAGCCACTGCGCCCGGCTGTCAGTGCTTAATTTTCTATTCTTTGTTCACTTCTCACAGCACTTACTGGCCACATCCATGAGTTGCCACATGCTGAGGTATTTCTTTGCTAAGAATGGCAAGACCATTTTGTTCAACCAGGAAGTCCATGAACAGCAACTCAACCAATGCATCTGCCTTGATGGTTTGATTATTCAACAGATTAATACTGTTCATGAATATGATTAATTCTGATCTACTCTATAATAGGCTTGCTATTTAGAAATATAGTAAACTTCTGTCACCTGAAATTCTCAAGTGAGGGACTTTATGTAAATTATCCTGGACAAAAAAATTTCCTATAGTTAAATCACGTTTGTGCAGAAGTCACTGAAATACAGTACTGATGGCTGAAAAGCAAGCTACAAATTAAATATATAAATTACTACACAAATAGTCACAATACAAACAAATGTTTTAATAAAAATAGAAACAAAGCATACTACACGAAGGAAGAATTTCACTAAATACTAGTGCATACCAAATGAGAAAAGGAACAATTAACCCTAATAAAAGCTGGTCTTTCACTACATATGTTTGTAACAGAACTACACAGCATGTTAACAAACTGAAAAAAAAAAGACAAGACAGCAAAAATAAACTCTATAGGTTTAAATCTTCAACTTCAGACCCCAGAAAAGCATCTTTAAAGTCAGATAAGTCCAGGCATGGCGGCTCATGCCTATAACCCCAGCACTTTGGGAGGCTGAGGTGGGAGAATTGCTTGAGGCTAGGAGTTTGAGACCAGCCTGGGAAACACAGCGAGACCCCATCGCTACAAACAAATTTTTTAAAAATTAAAAAATTTTTTAATTTGTTTAAAATTAATAAATTTACTTATTAAATAAATTTATATTTACGGGCATGGTGGCATGTGCCTGTAGTCCCAGCTACTCAGGAGGCTGAGGTGGGAGGATCACTTGAGCCCAGGAGGTCAAGGCTGCAGTGAGCAATGATTGTACCACTGCACTCCAGCCTGGGTGACAGAGTGACAGAGACCCTGTCTCAAAAAAAAAAAAAAAAAAAGTCAGATAAGTAATTCTCAATGCCAGGAAAATTTATCATCCCTGCTGGTCTCCAGTTCATTGTATTAATCAATGGCAATCATTGCATTAGAAACTTGGTCACCCTGTCTTCAAAATATGGTGCTGTTGCCTTTTAACTGGGTTAGTTTACAGTGTATATAAACTTAATGATCAATCAGTGCCTCTACTGTATTTGAGCCATGACTTACTGTAGCAAAGTTAAAATCTAAAATGTAATGGAATAGCTCAAATATACCTCTGATCAGCTGTGTGGCCTATGGTTTCTTTTGGTTACCAAAATCTGGGATGTGAAACTTGCATCCCTTATACAGTGTTTTGTGTTCCCATTCTTTCTCATTAGAAGAGTCGCCTAAGGGCAGATTATCTTGCTATTAGTTTTGCTTTGGCCCAGAGTCTTTCATCTGCAAAACAGGTGTGTTGGTCACAAGGTAGTATCTGAATAAAAATTTTCAGGGGGAGAAATATATCTTACATACCAACAAGTTTAAAAAATCCAAAGGCATTTATAAGGATGGTCATTTCAGCACATTTTTTAAGTAAATAAAATACTGTAACTGCTTATCAACTGGTCAGGTTGGTTAAATTACAGTAGTATACTCGGACACTACTATAAAGATAATGAGAAAAGCTGAGCTTCATGAGCGCCCCCAGAACGTTATTCACCTAAAGGTTATCACCAGATGATGGCATCTGGCGTGGGGTTTTTTGTTTGTTTGTTTTAGCATTTCTTGATTTATAACGAACATGTACCATTTTAACAAAAGCAATAATCTTTCCTTTAAAAAAGAAAATACTGGCCGGGCGCGGTGGCTCACGCCTGTAATCCCAGCACTTTGGGAGGCCGAGGCGGGCGGATCACGAGGTCAGGAGATCGAGACCATCCCGGCTAAAACGGTGAAACCCCGTCTCTACTAAAAATACAAAAAATTAGCCGGGCGTAGTGGCGGGCGCCTGTAGTCCCAGCTACTTGGGAGGCTGAGGCAGGAGAATGGCGTGAACCCGGGAGGCGGAGCTTGCAGTGAGCTGAGATCCCGCCACTGCAC
The DNA here is from genome assembly GCF_000001405.40 of Homo sapiens. Classification (NCBI taxonomy): domain Eukaryota; kingdom Metazoa; phylum Chordata; class Mammalia; order Primates; family Hominidae; genus Homo; species Homo sapiens. The sequence goes on from NC_000011.10 coordinate 78,370,224, forward strand.
TCCAGCCTGGGCGACAGAGCGAGACTCCGTCTCAAAAAAAAAAAAAAAAAAGAAAAGAAAATACAATTGACCTATATATGCAAATACGGAACTACACTCATGGTTTATTTTATCTCACAGGATTTTGGTGCACATTAATCATATGGTAGTATTCAAATATTACCTGATTTATGCTAAGTGAAAAATAACAAGGTATAAAACAGGGCAAACAGGGCAAGGGTCTGTGATGGGCAAGATGTTTTTTATTGACTACTATTGTGCCCAGGTTCTAGAAAACAGTCTGGAGCAAAGCTTACCTGTTTATCATGTGTTGCAATCTCAGAGCAGAGAGTGGGGAAAGACTGGTAGGAAAGAATAGGAGGGAAAGGAAACCAAGGCTATATGCATCAACAAACCCGCTACGGCTTAGCATGAAAACACAGACAACTGCTCATTTAGAAGGTTACAGGATGGGTTGTATGGAACTACTAATATTGTATGTGTGTGTGCGTGTGTGTGTGTATGTGTGTGTGTGTGTGTGTGTAAGGGGTAAATGGAGGAGAAAGGCAGGCAGACACGAAGCAATTTGTCTGCTGGCTCCTTCCCTTCTCCAGCTTCCAACTGCTCTGGTCAGTGATGTCAACTGCCCTCACTCCCTACTTCCAGGCTGTGTTTACCCAGCCACTCTGGACAGTCACTGGGGAAGAACACACCCCACGTTTGAACTTGAAAGTGGTAGGAGAGGCCAGGGTCTGGCCAAATGGGGCTTAGGCACATGAGTTGCTGTAGTTCTCTCCACAATGGACTTAACAGAGACCAAACCAGAGCCCCACCCTCACAGAGGGAAGATGAGACAGCCAGCACTGTTAGAAAACGTGGCAAAAGCAGCAACATCTGAAGACTCACCACTGAGCAAGCAGACTGCCTGAGGTGCAGACAGAACCAAGGGCATCTCGATAGACACACTGAGTCTCACACAACGCATACCCTTGTATACAGAATAGAACTTTAACTATCATGTATTTAAAAAACATACATTAGGAAAAACCTATACTTAGTCTATACTCAGTAGTCTAATGAAAAGGGCAGGGACTTGCAGCCAGACAGTTCTGAGATTGAAAATCCTATCCATCTGCTCCTTGTTGTGAAACGCCAAGTAGGTTGCTGATCTGTATAATCAGGATATTACATGGTTATAGTGAAGATTAAATGAGCTAAGGTGGCTAAAAGAGATGTTAGGCTCTGGCAGACATAGTGCTGCCTCTTACATAAGAGGGGCTGATTCTTTTCCTTCCCTCATTCAATCCCTCTTCCGTGTTCCTCCAGGACAACCTCACGTTATACTGCTAACATCACTCTGCCCAACATTGTTTATATTTATGATCACTCACTACACTGGCAGCTCCATGAGGATGGGATTATTTCTTTGGTGTCCACCTTTGCTGTCTAGTACAGTTCATGCTTATAGCTGGGGCTAAGCACACATTTGCTGAATGAACCAAGAACGTCAAACACCAATTCTCAGGGGAGACAGCTTTTCATAAGACCATTAGTAAAGTCACTTGAAGGACCCATGAGACTTCTAAACATAGTCTGACAGCTGTACCGGCCAGAAAGGTAGAAAAAAAATAAATAAAAGGTTTTGAAGCTAGACACATTTACATTCCAATCCCAGTTCCATCTCTTATTACAAGGGTAATATTTGGGCAAGTGACATAGACCCTCTAAAACCTTCATTCCCATAAACATAAAATCAAAATCATACTATATTTTGTAGGGCTAGTTTAAGAAATGAGATTAAATAATATAAACTATTACTCGTATGGTGTTAATCCATGTCACAAGGCACTCTTATCCTGACCAAGGTAGGGGGAGCAGAAGAGAGATTACTGCTATGAGTAAAAGGTATCTGCTTTTTTTCCTTTTCTTTTAATTCTATGCATTTTTACTGAATGTCTGCTGTGTGCCAGGCTTTGTACAAAATACCATCCTCTATAAGTTTACAAAGTGCTTTCACCTTAGCCTCTCTCTGAGCTCTCACCCTCCTGACTCTGCTTTAAGCCTGCCAAGGATACCCACTAGAAATGCTGAGAGATGAAGAGTTTCCATGACCTCTGGAACAGATGTGAATCGTAGCTCCAACGACAAAGGCAGTAAATAGGAAAGACATCCAAGTCTTGTTGATGACATAGTAAAGAGTAAGTGTGCCAAATACATTTGACCAGCCCCTAGAGGTTCCACATCTAAGGTTGGTATTATTCCCTAGGCCCACTCTACTTCTCTAAAAAAACTTATCTTTCAGGAAAAACCCTTTAAAAGAATTTAAGAATTCCTGATTTATCAGCTACTTGCAGAAAAACTGCTGAGCAAGGAAAGGGACAAAAAGCCAGTTAAAATAGAGAGGCATGGTATGTATAACCTGAATAAACCCCAGCAATCTAAGTGGCTGTCCTGGGTAGAAAGTCCAACAATCAAAAGTGAAAAAACAGTAATTCCAGTCTTTACATGCTTTCCTCAATGGATACGAGAAGAAATCAAAATCGTAACACACTTTTTATCTCTTAATCAATTCTCTCATATAATATAGTTGCTCAAGGGTCTCTCATTCACCAACCTACCCCACTCCCAACCTTCAAAACCAGTTTCAAATTTGCATTCTCCCCTTTCCCCTTTATCTTAAAAATTCTTTATTAAGAAGATTCAGCGTGTCTTCCCTATTTTTACATTTTCGCTCCATTCAGCCTATTAGAAAGAAGTAGAGTCCTGGAAGAAGACCCAGTAAGAAAGAATCCTTCCACCCTAGAAAGACTTACCACTGGGCAAGCAGACTACCTGAGGGACAGATATTACCAAGGGAATCTTGGTAGATACACTGAGTCGGTGAGAAACTAAAGGGAAGACTGTGAATACTAATATGAATAACTTGTATTTCTCTTTTGACAAATAATTGTACATGTTTATGGAGCAAACAACTCTTCTCTGTTCTATACATTATATATAGAGTCATATCTAAAGCTACTAGGTGATTATAATGACTTTTTTTTTTTTTTTTTTGAGATGGAGTTTCACTTTTGTTGCCCAGGCTGGAGTGCAATGGCGGAATCTCAGCTCACTGCAACCTCCGCCTCAGGGTTAAAGCGATTCTCCTGCCTCAGCCTCTGGAGTAGCTGGGATTACAGGCATGCATCACCACACCCGGCTAATTTTGTATTTTAGTAGAGATGGGAGTTTCTCCTTGCTGGTCAGGCTGGTCTTGGACTACTGACCTCAGGTGATCTGCCCACCTTGGCCTCCCAAAGTGCTGGGATTACAGGCGTGAGCCACCACGCCTGGCCATATAATGACTTTTTAAATCAAATAAGGGACAAGCCACAAAACAAAAAAGGTCAAAGTTTCTAAACGTAGAGATAAAAATAACACATTGAATGGGCCCGGGACAAGGAAAACTTCCGCAAATGTAAACAAATACTTAAGTAATACATGTAAATTGCTTAGAATAGAACCTGGCATGATACTGGATTAATGTAGTCATTGTTATTATTGACCCAACTTTCTTGGTTCCCAGCTCCTTTGTTGTTAGATGATCACACAAACCCCTCAAACAGAAATCACCTCTTTGTGTAGCTGTTCAGTTTGGGGACAGAATCTGACTTAATAGCTCCTCTAAAACAAGGTTCTTTTTATCCTTCTTTGCTGCTCCAGGCTAGCACAGTACCCGACACACAGTTGGAATCAACAAATGCTTGTTAAAGGAATTAGTTCTGCTAAGTGAAGATGGTTTACCCTGGAAACCTGAGACTTTACATTGAAAAGCATTCTAATCCCAGGTTGCCTTCTATGGGACCCATTTTTGGCAAGGATTTGACAAATCAGAGGGTCTGACCAAACCAATATTATATTATAACACATGATAAGCAGGCCAACTTTAGACACACATTCTAACAGCTTGACTGAAAAAGTCCAAGTTGATCCCAGTTTAGTTTTGTAATCCGAAAACACACTTCCTCAGTATTTTCCATACAGTTGACTACTGTGTGTGTCTCTCAAATCTCATGACCTGCCATCAACCCTCGAAGAAAAACAAAATTATTAAGACCAAGGTCTACAATACAAATAATCCGGTATTTGTCACAGGTTTCACTTTTGTCGAGCCATTTCTGAACTCATTATAAAACTATGTCTATGTAGGACCTTATTGTCCATGTCAACAAACCCCTACAACAAAGGAAAGACTTGGGGGTTACCCGGGGGGGAACCTGAAGTCCCGGGGTCTAGTCCTAGTGCCAATTCTGCTACTGACTAGATAAGTTAGTGAAGTTGTTACACCTTACTCATCATCCATTTCTTAATGTATAAAATAATGATTCAAATATTTGCAGAATGTCTATTATATGCTGGTCATTACGCTGAATGCTAAAAATACAAAGATGAATACTATCCCTATCTTTAAGGGTTTGATATTTTATTGGAGTTGGACAGAAATTATATACATTAAATTAAAATACAATTTAGTAAGTAATATAATGGCACACAGTTTTACAGAAATGTAAAAGACAGACCCATTATTCTAATGGGTGGATAGACACACCAGGAAACTAAGAACTAAGAAAGAACATTTTATGGGTTTATTCTATGCATAAAACAAGGTGGATGGGTAAGGAGGGGAATAAATGCCAGAATGCAGTTGCTAAATTGGATCTTCAAATCAAGAACAGCATCAAGTCTATTGAAATATTATTTTAATTGTAGCATGTAACGAAAATTCTATTTCACACACAGGTACATTGGTAAAGGGAAGACCACAAACTGCACACTTTGCAATCTTTGTATATTTCGTTTATTTATTTTGTATTTTCTTTAGAGGCAGGGTCTTGCTCTGTCACCCACACTAGAGTGCAATTGCACAATCATAGCTCACTGCAGCCTAGAACTCCTGGGCTCAAGCAATCCTCCCGCCTCAGCCTCCCAAGTAGCTGGGACTACAGATGCATGCCACTATGCCCTGCTAATATTTGGGTATTTGAATTAAACTACTACTACTACAAAATAGTCTCAGTCTATCTTGTGAGATTTTTTAAAATCAAAGGCCACAACTATTCACTTTCATTTTGAAATGGGGTTTTTTTGTTTGTATTTTTTTTAGTCTGGGCACAGCTTAATTAAAGTACTTTTTGATCCATACACAGTTTGAAAAATCTAAGGCTCTTCCTGATATAAAATGTCTTTTCAGTGGCAAAGACATGGTGGAAATATTTGTTGGAAAATGTTTAACATTAAAAAGGCATTTATTGGTACAGCAAATATATGGTAAAATTAGAGACAGATACATCAACTGATCAGCAATCTAGAGGTATAGTTCCCAATATGCCCACTGATATAGAAGTAAATGGATACATCTTGAGATTTACCCATTACAACTGAGTTTTAGATCCCATTCTAGAATCAGGTAGTAATCTGAGCTGAACTAGAGAGGCAGAGAAAAGGCCCGAACACCTCAAAATTTATAAAGCTTACATAGTCAGTGATATAGCCTTCCATTTTCCCTCTTTGACTCACTGACTAATAAGTTACAGAGTGCTCTTCAGATTTTCCTTGGGGACCACGTTGTCCTAGCTCCTCACAGAGGAAACTATATTCCATTTCATTCAGAAGCTTCATACACAGACTCTCCATTGGCTTCTGGTGCCTGCCAGATGTGCTCAGACCATCCTACTCCTTATACCACCCTTCTGCCAAATCACCTGCAGTACTTTGGATACAGCAGCTCTGTGCATTCCAGATTTAACTGTTTCCCATAGTCTAACAGAGGGAAGTTTATTTAAACTTGCATGTGCAAAAGATCAGAACGTAAGTATAATTAGAGGGGAAATATGGGGGAAATGTTAATCATATGTATACGAACAGGACCAGATAGGCAGGGAGACTGTTTCTTCCTTAGAACTTCCTGGACTACAAATAGTTTATTTTTGCCTTAGATTGTAGTCAGCTCTCTTTGAGAGCTAAGTACCTACATCCCAGATGTGAACTCAAGGAGCAAAATGAAGATTCCCTAAGCAAAGTCTGCCTGTTTTGGCATTAATAAGAAGAGCCCATTAATGATGAATAACAATACTTCTAATAAAGAGCTAACACTGAGACAGTACTTGCTGTGTACCAGATACTATTCTAAGCACTTTATGTATTAACTCACTCAATCTTCACAACAAGCCCTATGAGATAGGTTCCATCATTAGCCTCACTTTAAGGATGAAAAAATTGAGACACAGAATACTTGCCTAGTTAGTAAGTAATGGGATTCAAATACAGACCAGCCAGCTCTTGCTACAGCTTTTTCATCTTTTAAGTAAAAGGTTGTGTTCAGTATATGTGAAACTTGGAAATGTGTTTTCACACATTCTGTTCTGATTAAAAGTTGGGGAATACATCCTTTGTTTACTGTAGGATAAGGCAAGAATAACCATAAAAGTCTGGACAACCTAGGTTTCAAGTTCTAATCTAGGCTCATGATGAGGGAGAGTTGGAGGGGGGCACCGAGACTGTGACTAGGGAAGTGTCTTAATCAGCCTGGGCTGCTATAACAAATTACCATAGACTAGGTGACTTAAACAACAGACTGACAGTTGGGATATTTGTCCCCGCCCAAATCTCATGCTGAATTGTAATCCTTAGTACGGGAGGTGGGGCTTGGTGGAAGGTGTTTAGATCATGGGAGTGGATCCCTCATGGCTTGGTGCTGTGAGTCTTGTAAGAGCTGTTCATTTAAAAGTGTATGGCACCTCCTGCCACCCCGACTCTCTCAAGCTTGCCCCTGCTTTCGCTGTGTGATGTGCCTCTTCCCCTTTCATCTCCTGCCATGACTGAAAGCTCCCTGAGGCTTCACCAGAAGCTGAGCAGATGCCAGCAACATGCTTCTGGTAAAGCCTGCAGAACTGTAAACCAATTAAATCTATTTTCATTTTAAATTATCCAGTCTCAGGTATTTATTTCTAGCACTGCAAGAACAGCCTAATACACAGACATTTCTCACAGTTCTGGAGGCTGGGAAGTCCAGGATGAAGGAACTAGTAGGTCCAGTGTCTGGTGACGGCCCTTTTCCAGCTTTACAGAGGGCTGCCTTCTTGCTGTGTCCTCACATGGCAGAAAAAGGCGACTGGATGGAAGTTCTCTTGTGTGTGTTCACTTCTTATAAAGACACTAATCCCATCATGAGGGCTCTACTCTCATGACTCAATTTTCCCAAAGGCCCCATCTCCAAATTCTATCACACTGGGGATCAGAATTTCAATACATGGTTTTGGGGGGACACAAACATTGAGTCGGTAGCAGGGAGTACAGGGGACCGGCATGTTGACCAGGCAAGTTTAACTCACTTTATTTTGAAGAACGTGGTAGCAGCAGAAAAGCCTATTATGCTTTGGAGACAAGTGGACTCAGCTTTATATGGTCCTGGGCTAGTTTCTTAACTTGAGCTTGTTTCTGGCTGACATGAGAATATTATCTATCGCACAGTATTGTAGCAAAGATTAAATGAGATGCAATCGGCTCATACCTGCAAAGTTTACTTACTACGTAGTTAAGTACACAATAAAATTTACACTTCACTCTCTCTCCTACTTTCTTATTTTCCCTCCACCCTGCCAGAGATAAGGAGGATGAATCTGCTTCAGACAAAAAGCAAGTACTGAATAACTGGATACTTGTTTTACTATCCAGCACTGCTTCCCTTTCTCATGGAGGAAATTGCTTTCCACGAGATGCAAACATGATTCTGAGCGAAGCTGTCACTCATCCCTCTCCACACCTACCACGTGAGTGTCAGGTGAGGCACAGGTAGCTCTAGTCTGACTACCGTAGTTTCCAATTCCCTGGCCATAATGGCTCAGTCCAGGGGTAGAATTATGGCCCCAACTGTCAGTATCCTTCCCTAGGATTTTAAATTTGGAGTTCTAAAAGTAAGGACCTTGCCTTTTAGGTTACAGAGATGAGAGGACTGAGGGTTGCCAGTGATCTCCTTTCTTATCACCTATAGACAGCTTGCCTACAGGAAAAAAGAAAGCCAAACACAGACAAGCAGTATGAGATACAATGAGCGCCCTTGGGCCATTAAAATATGATTGTGTGCCCAAGGTCGCCTGGTATCTAGAAAATTTTCTTCCATTTTCTGAGCTTCCTTATTATCATACCATTACATTTCTATTTCTTGCTTAAATTTACCTGAGTTGGTTTTTGTCATTAGCAATTCCAAAAGTCCTTAAAACATGAATTTATATTTTATGTCAGACTTTTCTGCAAGGTGCTTTACAGTCAAGATCCCATTCAATTCTCATAGCAACCCTGATGTGAAGGCATTGGTTCTCTCTTTCTCCCTTCACCCTGACTGCATATCTGTGATGGTGTGAACTTCTTTGTAAGCCTAGGATCAGAGTACAGGATTCATAGTCACTTTTTTCTTTTTGTTCTTTTGTTTTGTTTCTTTGAAACAGGAGTCTTAATGCTCAGGCTTGTCTTGAACTCCTGGCCTCAAGCAATCCTCCTGCCTCCATCTCCCAAGTAGTTGGGATTATAACCACGAGCCACTGTGCCCCATAGACACTTCTTATATTTAACCAAATCATATGGCAGAATAGAGGCCTTATATCCACTTACCATACCAACTAGAATACACTCAGACTATACCTGCTTAGATCACATGCCCAATCCAAAATAATCATGGTGGCTGAGGGAATGCAATGTGCTAACTAGCCAAACCTGAAGCTTAGGATAGATGGAGCCAGCTTCCCCAGAATCACACAGATGTCTGAACACAAATTAAGGTGTTGCAAGGAAGGAGAAAGGAGATGAATTTAAGAGAAGCAATCAATAAGTGTTCGTTACATACAAGGAAAATTGGAATCAAGTTATTAAGATCATCCAGCTCTCTGAACCATCTGATCAGTAACTCCTCCTGTTCACATTACTTCCTGTTGTGACCTCACGCTTCTTCAGACTAATTTAAGACTGTGGTTCTCCAGAGGCTTCAGCTATTCTCCACAGAGAAGCTAGCTGATTTGTCATGACTTCTAATCACTCATCCTGAGTACCAAATTGAAATGCTGATTTGGCAAGATTATTAAAAGATCTCAAGGCACTTTCCAGAACATAAAAGACTTGGTTAAAAGTAAGTATCTCTTGAGTCAATTAAAATGTCCTTGGCTGTCTTTCTTGCCTTGGTTTCCTCCTTAGTAAGTGTAAATTCAAAATAACAGGGAAATAGATAAGGTAAAGCTTCTTTTTAGGAAAGGGTTTTCTCACACAGTTGACCGACAAGACAGATTTCCTACTGGCTGGACTGATAACAGTGAGCAAATGGGTCCTGATACCTTCACCATCCTATGATTTTCAACAAGCTACTATATTTCATTAATTCAAATTCAGTTCTATTTTAACATCAAAATCAGAATGTTTCCTACTGTTGAGAGTGTCTTACAGTTAAGCTGCAGTCAGGACACAGCTGTCATTGCCTGCACAAGAGTGTACTTGGTTGTCATGTCTGTCATTGTGACTGAACAAATACAACCCTGAACAAATAAATCAAGGGCCATTTTAAGGAGAAACATGAATTTCAGTAGTTGTGAGACTTTTTGCTAAGATCTTCTAGTAAGACCAAGAAAGTGCCAAAGTTGAAACTTGCAAAATACGTGTCAGTAACCTGAAAGAAAAATTTGAAGACAATGTTGAATCATTTTTAAGAAATGTTGCACCATCAATACTCTTGATGGCATGCAGGGCAGTTATTATGTAGGCAAATATGGACAATGAATTAAAAAGTGATTGAAAGCTAGAATTGATTATGAAGTAGTTTTAGAAATTTCTTTACCAATGTTTCATTTATACTTTTCTTTTTTGTGTATGCAAGAGAGTGCCGGACTATAAATCCATGTCCGCATAAGTCTACAAGCACTCTTTCAATAAGGTATTTATTCCCCTGCTTAGTGGAATATAAAATAATTGTGAATGACATTGAATGAGAACTTTTTTTTTTTTTGAGACGAAGTCTCGCTCTGTCGCCAGGCTGAAATGCAGTGGTGTGATCTCAGCTCACTGCAACCTCCGCCTCCCGGGTTCAAGTGATTCTGCCTCAGCCTCCCAAGTAGCTGGGACTACAGGTGCGTGCCACCATGCCCAGCTAATTTTTGTATTTTTAGTAGAGACAGGGGTTTCACCACGTTGGCCAGGATGGTCTCAATCTCTTGACCGCGTGATCCGCCTGCCTCGGCCTCCCAAAGTGCTGGGATTACAGGAATGAGAACATTTCTAAGGCCTCATTTGAAAATTGGGATGACAAAGACTCCCTAATAGCTGTAGAATAAAATGCAAATAAAACACAGCATTCAAAGGCCTCTATAACATTGCCTAAATCTACATTTTCCACTCTTGTCTCCTATCACACTTCCAAGTCCACTACACACTGTGAAATTAAATAATTCAAACTGAAAGCTATTGGAACTTTAAATTATTCGGAGCCTTGGGAGGAATGTGGCTATGCAGCCTGAGTCACATGTCATGCAGCTGCAACTTCTGCCCCCATTCCCCACCCCCAAACCCCCCACCCCGTAATTAAGACCAAATGGCGCCAGAGATAAGACCATCTCAGAACGTTGTCCCTCCTCATGGAGTAATCTTCCTTGGAATGTAGGAATCTGTAACCAGTCAAATCACTGTAACGTATGCACTGGTCTTGTATGGGAAATGTTGTAATCCTGTTAAAATTTCTGTGTCTCTGCCTATGTAAGTGAAACCTTATCTTCTCTACTTTGAAACTCTGACCCCATTCATTTGGAGTCAGTGTCTCCCAGGTGGCCATACTTAAGCTTTGTACTCAAATAGACTCTACTTAATCGTATTTTCTGAATCTCACTATTTAAGGTTGACAATACCAAATTATACACATTATTCCTTGAAGATCACCTGCTCCTTTTCACTTCTGTGCCTTTAAGTTGTTTCTTCCACTGAAAATGTCCCATCTCCCATCCATCTCATTTACTAGAAGGTGGTCTTGAATAGCTTCTTTAATCTCTCAATTCCTCACTTTTCTTATCTTTGAAATGGGAATCTAACTTTAGGTTTGATTTGAGGATTTAATGAGCTAATACATATAAAGCACTTAACACAGACTCCAACTAACCTGTGGTCAAGCAGTATTTATCTGTGTCTTGAGAGATGAGTCTCAAAAAAGTAGTGAACTAGCCAAGGGCACACAGCTTATTTAACAGCTAAGGCAGAGTAAGAACTTAGACCTCCTCACTCCCAGTACAGAGCTGTCTTTAGATTTAAGAAATGGCTCTTCCTCCTCCCACCTGCTACAGCCAAATACTGCTAGACTGGTAAAAAAGGTTCTTCTTTTATTTCCCTAGAAGCCTGTTTCTCCCTCTTCCTCCTTTCCCTATATCAGATCTCCTAAACATGTTACTAAAAACTAAAAGGTAAATAGATAAAAAAAAAAAGGTTCCATGTTTGAGCACATTTGACCCTGTGTTAAGCACATTAAATGAGTTTATCATTTCAGAGCCTCCAATGTAGTTATGTACATATAGAGTCACCATGAAAAAGAAATATAGTATGGATTGTTTCTCAAATTATTTAATCAGAGAACCAGAGGTGGCTGTATCACATATGTGAGGTCAGGCCATTAAAACCTACACACTTAACTTCGCAGTTCCTTGCTGCTTAAAGAATAAGAGCTCTAACTCCTTAGCATATGAGAATCTTCATAACTTGGCCATGCTAATCCCACCACTTCTCATATATCAGCTCCATTCTCATCATTCCAGCGTGTCAGTAACAAGTTTTACAAGTTGTTCCCTTTGGCTAAAAGACCTTTGTTCTCTTCTTCTAGTCCAAGTTTTACTGATCCCTCCAGACCTGGCTGATGGAACCAAGCCCTGAAGCCTTCTCTGAATATTCCCAATCAATTAGCTGTACCCTCCTCTGTGCTCTCATGGCACTTTGTTTATGTCGGAATTGCAGCATCTCAGTGGCTCTCAGTTAACCGTTGATTGATTTCCTTCTACACCTGGCTCCTGAAGGCCAAGGACTGTATCATTTACATCCCCAGTGAGAGGCATCCTGTAGGCACTCAATAAAAGCCTACAATTCCTTGGCCCCCCCTTCTGCTGGAGCAATATTCTTTTTTTTATTATTATTTTTTTTTTTTTGAGACAGAGTCTCGCTCTGTCGCCCAGGCTGGAGTGCAGTGGCGGGATCTCGGCTCACTGCAAGTGCTGGAGCAATATTCTAAAACAAAGCTTTCCTGGATTCTCAAAGACCTGAGGTATGCTTTTTTTCCTAGTGTAAATAACAATAGGGATACTTACACTTTAATGCCTAATAGACCCTCCAAGAACAGCAGTTAGGTAAGTCTCTGTGTATTGCATAGTACTGCACATAAAATTAAGTCACCACGCATGGAAAGCAATGCATTCCTTCCTTTTCAGTCAATTGTAATCATGAGACCTTTTAGACTTAGCCACAATAAATCCTATTTTTCTAAACGTTCAAAAGACTGTCAAATGTTGTTCCTCCAATTTTAATAAAGTCCCTGTAGATTTGAGAGCAGAAAACATTTATTTTATTTGTTACTAAAACAAGGAACTCGATTAGAAGTCAACAGTATGAGATGAAAACTAGAGATTATGAGCCATGATTCTTTTACTCATGATAGAGGTTCTGGCCTCTCAGATTCCCTAGACTAACGTTTCTCAGAAAACACATTTAGTCTATCCTTTGTCTGACTTTAGAAACAGTCTTCCAGCCGGGTGTGGTGGCTCACGCCTGTAATCCTGGCACTTTGGGAGGCCAAGGCAGGTGGATCACCTGAGGTCAGGAATTCAAGACGAGCCTGACCAACATGGCAAAACCTTGTCTCTACCAGTAACACAAAATTAGCTGGGCATGGTGGCACATGCCTGTAGTCCCAGCTACTTGGGAGGCTGAGGCAGAAGAATCGCTTGAACCTGGGAGGCAGAGGTTGCAGTGAGCTGAGACCATGCCATTGCACTCCAGACTGGGCAACAAGAGCAAAACTCCGTCTCAAAAAAGAAAAAACAGAAATGAAATAATCTTCCAGAAAAGGCTGCAAGTCATGACTGGCAAGTAGAGAATACTACCATTTCCATGAAAAGTAGGCATAAGATAAAAAATTCATTAATTCAAACACTGAAACACAAGGAATGGCATAGCTACGACAATGTCTTTTTCTTTTTTTTTAAGACGTGGGGTCTCAGCCGTGTGTGGTGGCTCACGTATGTAATCCTAATACTTTGGGAGGCGAGGTGGACAAAATCATTTGAGCCCAGGAGTTTGAGACCAGCCTGGGCAACATGGCAAAACCCTGTCTCTCCAAAAAAAAAAAAAAAAAAATACAAAAATTAGCCAGGTGTGGTGGTGTGCGCCTGTAATGCCAGCTACTCGAGAGGCTGAGGTGGGAGGATGGCTTCAGCCCAGGAGGCAGAGGTTGCAGTAAGCTGAGATCATGCCCCTGCACTCCAGTCTGGGCAACAGAGCCAGACCGTGTCTCAATTAATTAAATGAATGGCCACAGACCTCGTCCCAGGAGTAGTGAGTCAGGGTAAGGTCTCTGGGAGGTGGAGGGATTGAATGGGAGAAATGATCTTCCAAGGCCCTTTCCAAGGCTCCCAAAATCTTGGAACTTTACTCGCCAGGCATTGCGGGCTTTCGTGACATTGCTGGCTTTCCTGACATTGCTTTTCAGTGGTGCAGGAGCAGAGAGCTTCACTGCCCAGAGCAGCAGCGTGGCGACAGAGGCATAGTTGAGCAAAGAAAGAGGAAAGGGGCCTCCAGGGAAGCCAGAGCTGACTGAAGTGTTCTTGGGAAGATCTATTCATTGATTTTGTACCAAACCTGCACTCTCATTTTGTACCAAAATGTACCAAACCTGATGCACCTCAAAGGTGGCACCAGATGGGTGTGAATGTCACACACAGGAGTAAAACTCTTCCTAGAGCAAATGATAATGAGAGAGCTGAAGGCAGATGCATGCTTGAACTCTCATATGGGAGCTATGTGGGAGACCAACAGGTCTGTGAAAGAGAACTCCAGTCAGAGTAAGAAATACAGCACACAAATCGAGTGTCTCAGTCCTGGGAGTGCTTGCAGGCACTTCCGGAGCTTCCATTATCATGAAGCAACTGAACCGCTTGAGGCTATCAACCAACTTCAGAAATTGTGCCATCAGTGGCTGAGGCCAGAGATCCACTCAAAAAAGCACATTTTGGAAATGCTGGTACTAGAGCACTTCCTGACCATCCTGCCAAAGGGGACCCAGAACTGGGTGCAGAAGCATCATCCACAGCTTGCCAAACAGGCCCTGGTCCTGGTGGAACGCTTGCAGAGAGAACCTGGTGGAACAAAGAATGAGGTCACAGCCCATGAGCTGGGAGAGGAGGCAGTGCTCTTGAGAGGAACAACAGTGGCCCCAGGCTTCAAGTGGAAGCCAGCAGAGCTCGAACCAATGGGTCTGTTCTAGAAAGAATACTGGAACACATACAGGGTACTACAAGAACAGCTGGGCTGGAATACTCAGAAAGAAACCCAGCCTGTATATGAAAGAGCTGTGCATGTTCAACAGATTTTAGCCCTTTCTGAGCACAAAAGCACCAAAGACTGGAAGATGGCACCTAAGCTCATCTGGCCTGAGTCCCAGAGTTTATTGACATTTGAAGACATGGCTGTGTACTTCTCTGAGGAAGAATGGCAATTATTAGGTCCTCTTGAGAAGACTCTCTACAATGATGTAATGCAGGATATCTATGAGACTGCCATCTCTCTAGGGTTAAAGCTAAAAAATGACAATGGAAATGACTATCCTATAATATCGGTTTCTGCACCTGAAATACAAACAGCAGGATACAAAGTATCAAAAAAGACCAGAATGAAAATTGCCCAGAAAACAAAGGACAGGGAAAATCATGGTGATACACACAGGGTATAGAAATGGCATCAAGCTTTTCCAAGGAAGAAAAGAAACTTACAACTTGTAAACAAGAGCTTCCAAAACTTATGGATCTTCACGGGAAAGGCCACACAGGAGAGAAACCTTTTAAATGTCAGGACTGTGGGAAAATCTTCAGAGTTAGCTCAGATCTTATTAAGCACCAGAGAATTCACACTGAAGAGAAACTCTATAAATGTCAACAATGTGACAGGAGGTTTAGATGGAGTTCAGGTCTTAATAAGCACTTCATGACACATCAAGGAATAAACCCATATAGATGCTCATGGTATGGGAAAAGCATTAGTTATGACACAAATCTACAAACACACCAAAGAATTCACACAGGAGAGAAGCCCTTTAAATGTCATGAATGTGGGAAAATATTCATTCACAAATCCAACCTTATTAAATACCAGAGAACTCACACAGGTGAGCAGCCTTATACTTGTAGCATATGCAGGAGAAACTTTAGTAGGCAGTTGAGCCTTCTTAGACACCAGAAACTCCACAGAAGATGGGAAGCATGTCCAATGTCTCCAAACTGAGGAAAGTTACCATGTAGAGATTGATTTTAGATGTGATGAAAGAATACAAAATTATGAGGCACCCAATGATAGGAATCTGTCATCAACAGAACATTTGGGAGGGGTACATATTATGCTTCACAAAAGTTATCTAACCTGTCTTATTCAGCATTGCATCTTTCATGCCTAGCACAAGACTGATACATAATTAGTATTTTATTAATAAAAAAATGAAAGTGTAGCTATGAGATATCTTTACCTGTCTATCTATACGTATGTATCTGGTTATTCAAAGCTTCCCCATCCCCAGTCAGTGCCTGAGATATATGATGGTCAAGACTCTTAGACTCATTCTTTATTCTTTGTCAGGAGAGATGGAAGGTAAGAGTACCTGGGCCCTCTCAAGGGAGTTCAGAGAGAATTACTAAGTTAGGGACAGTTTCAATAGCTATCATTCTATCTATGTGAACAATCAAACCCAGGACTCAGGGAACTTTATAACAGAAAGAGGATTCAGTGTTTGCCCTGGGAGAAGTGCCCCATTCTAGTTGCTTCTTTCCTGAGTACCCACTACCACAATGTCTTCTGTCAAGGAATTACAAGTAGCAAGGGAAGGTCTGGCTACAAGGACAGACCTAGGGACCCTGCAAGCACTTGATATCTCTTCTCTTGCTGACTCTGTCAACACAGACAACACAAAATGGAATGATGAAGGAGGCAGTCTTGGCCCTCATCCAGGTATCTGTTTCTTTGTAGAAAGTACACATAAGTAATGAAGGTCTTTTTCTGACTTTCATTATGTGCACTGGATGGAGGCTTTCAAACTGGTGCTACACTGCTGCAGGGCCTAAAGGGAGGCCTGTCCTTATGGCTGATCAGCTACAACCCTATATGCCTGAATACTCTGCAAGAAGGCCTGGAGGTTTTCCAAAACTGATTTATTGAGAATGGCAAGGAGGGCCCTGTGACCTCTTAGCCTTGGTGCACAGCTAATACCAGGAGGGAACATCCTGAAGTGTCAGAGCAAAGTAAGGCATGTGGCTTAGAGTAATGACCGCAGTCAGGGCCAGGCAAGATGTAAATTGTTTACTCATGTTATTGGTTTTCCTGTCTTCCCTACTGGCCAAAGTGACTATCTCTTACGAAGAGACAATGTGATGTCAAGGAAGTTGGAAGGCACGGATTTACATCTGGTTTATAAATGTTGGCCAAGCCTTCTATATATTTATTATTTCATAAAATTGTACTTTTAAATCAAAATGACATGTTTTGTTAGATTTAGACATTAAACAAAACGTTGTTACCAAAATAATGAATGAATGAATCAATCAATCAATGAATGAGGTGGGGACTCACTTTGTCACCCAGGCTGGAGTACAGTGGCTAGGTCATAGCTCACTGTAGCCTAGAGCTGCTAGGCTGAAGCAGTCCTTCTACTTTAGATTCCGTGTGAGCCCCCCACAATGGAATATCTTCTTTTTCTTTTCTTTCTTTTTAAAACTCTTCTTTTCCTCACACTGTATGACCTCTGAGGCTCCAACTACTCCTTATCTGGCATGCTTCCCACATGATCCCTTGGGCTGTCATCTTCTCTAGATGTACTAGCATTGGTCAAGGTTTTCAGACACTTTCTGAAATACGCATTTCTAAAGTCTAGGGTACGATGTTCTTGCTCTTCACTGCTAACAAGCTAAACTGACCATCACGTTATCAAGTTCTCATCAAGTTTATATTACCAAAATCTCTACCAATGGGTCAGAATTAAGTCCACAGTAACAGTGGTCTCTCAGTGGGTTGAGAAACAAATTTGTTAACACGATAGAAAAGGATGTGTAGAACTGCTTAATCATTACATAACAAATAGTTGAAATCTGCCATCACTCACATATCCTGCTGTCAGACTGTACAGAGTTAGCAAGAAAAATCCACAAATAAATGACAGAAGGGAATCACAATGGACTAAGGAGCTTTACTCACAATCTGCCAACTACCTCATGTAGAAAGTGAGGCTCAAAGAGATTAGATGACTTATCCAAAGCTATATTCCTACTAAATAGTAGAGCCAGGATTCAAATTCAGTTTATTTTATATGGAGACACCAACCAGGCACTAGAGGAAGATTGCTTGGGGTCAAAATGTGGTTCTTTTATTTTCTAATGGAGACATCTTTTGCAATTTTCCTAAATACCCTGTCCTTTAGTTTCTTATCCACAAAATGGAGAAAATAAAAGTGAAGGTTAACTAATACATAAGAAATGCACAGGACAGTACTCTATATAGTAAGTGCTCAATATGTATATAATATGCATAATAAATTATGACTCCGTATTTTTTTTTTTTTTAGACAGAGTCCAGGCTGGAGTGCATGGCACGATCTTGGCCCACTGCAATCTGTTTCCTGGCTTCAAGCGATTCTTGTGCCTCAGCCTTCCAAGTAGCTGGGACTATAGGCATGCACCACCACACCCGCTAATTTTTCTATTTTTCAGTAGAGACGGGGTTTTTTTGCCTTGTTGGCCAGACTGGTCCTGAAGTCCAGACTTCAAGAGATCCAGCTGCCTCAGCCTCCCAACGTGCTAAGATCACAAACATGAGCCACTGTGCCTGGCCTCCACATTGTTTTTTTGCGACAGGGTCTCGCTCTGTTGTCTAGGGTGGAGTGCAGTGGCATGATCACACGTCACTGCAGCCTCAACTTCCTGGGCTTGGGCAATCCTCCTACCTCAGCCTCCTGAGTAGCTGGGACTACAGGGATGTGCCACCACATCCAGCTATTTTTAAGAATTTTTTGTAGAGACAGTGTCTTGCTATGTTGTCTAGGCTGATCTCGAACTCGTGGGCTCAAGTGATCCTCCTGCCTCAGCCTCCCAAAAAGCTGGGATTACAGGTGTGAGCCACTGTGCCTGGCATCATATTGTTTATAGATGGGGCTCACAATATAGTCCCAGAACATAATTTCTCTTGTCTTTATCCAAATGTTCTCTACCAACCTTTTGCCCTCAGAGCTATGGATATCCTTAGAGAACATAACTTCAAAATAAGCAAATGCAATGATTCTATTCCCACCATCAGTCCTGCTTATTTTTGTTTTGTTAAAAAGAGAGAGAAAGAGACTGAGAACTAGAGCGAGAAAGAAAGTTAACCCTTACCTTACTTTAAATCATACTTCTTTGGGTAGAAACAGAAGAATGAGAAACTCCACCCAACGGAGAAATGAACTAGGGATGTATTGGTCAGAAAAGATCTTTCTCCTAGAAATCTACCTGAAAAGTCTAAGGATGTCAATAGAATTCAAACTGATATTTAATGAGTACATATTAAGCATTTACTCAACAGGTGGTAAAATTAGCACAAGACCTAGTCTTTGCTCCCAGGGTCCTCCTAAGCTGGCAGAGGAGAGGTATTCATGCTCCTAGTTTCTTGGCAGAATGTATTAAGTGCCAAGATAGAGTCTCAATCAACATGTTCTGAGATCACAACAGGAAAAATGACATTTTACTTTGGGAGAAACATCTGAGATTGACATGAAGAACAACTCCATGTCCTTTTCTACCTTTTCTTTTAGAGAATGACAGAAAAGCATGTGGTTTTCCTTTTTTTTTTTTTTGAGACAGAGTTTTGCTCGTTGCCCAGGAAGGAGTGCAATGGCACAATCTCGGCTCACTGCAACCTCCGCCTCCCGGGTTGATGTGATTCTTTTGCCTCAGCCTCCCAAGTAGCTGGGATTACAGGCATGTGCCACCACACCCAGCTAATTTTTTGTATTTTTAATAGAGACAGGGTTTCTCCATGTTGGTCAGACTGGTCTCGAACTCCCAACCTCAGGTGATCCACCCACCTCGGCTTCCCAAAGTGCTGGATTACAGGCGTGAGCCACCGCGCCCGGCCGTGGTTTTCTTTTCAGGTAAGAATGTTCTGAAAATAGTGGTGATGGCTGTACAACTGCATAAATATACTGAAAACACTGAATATGTACACTTTTAAATGGTGACTTTTATGGTATGTGAATTACATCCCAACAAAGCTGTTATTTTCAAAACAGAATTGAGACACCATAAAGTTGAAGCCCCTTTTACCACCCCTGCCAGTCAAATCCCCACAAGTTACCAATATCATCAGTTTACTATCATTCTTTTGTTATACCTTTCTCTCTCGCAATGCCTAGCTGAAGTTCTTGCACACAGCAGGAATTTTAGGCATTTGTTGCATAATAATTTTGTACATGGATAAGATAATACTTTGTTCTTTTCAGCATAATATAGATCCTTTTGTATCTACCACCACATAAATTCAGTAGTTCAGGACCAGGCAGCTTTAGAGTACAGTTTATGTTAACACTACACACGCCACGTGCAGTAACAAAAGAAAATAGTACTCACTGGCTCAAAGCTCACCAATCACAAATTCAGTTAACAAAAAACCTTGATATGGAAGTTCATGAAAATAAGGAGATAATTTGCATCTGTTCCCTTGGTTTACAAAGGGTTTGAAATAAATGAAACCAGGCTTGGCGAGGCTATTGCTTTATAGCCCACACCAGCAAGCTATAAACAAAGGATTTCTCACTAGGTCAACCCAACTTATACAGAGGCCTTAAACAGTCTCATAAAAAGACTTGTTCCTTTGGGAAGCCAAGGCAGGAGGATCACTTGAGCCCAGGAGTTTGAGACCAGCCTGAGAAACATAGTGAGATCCCGTATCTACAAAAAAGAAAATAAAAATTAGCTGAGTATGGTGGCAGGTGCCTGTAATCCTAGCTACTCGGGAGGCTGATGCACAAGAATCACTTGAACCAGGGAGGCGGAGGTTGCAGCAAGTCAAGATGGTGCCATTGCACTCCAGCATATATAGATATATATAAAGAAATTGCTAAGAGACTGGTGGACCTATAGAGGCCTATGGTTGGGACAAGCAGTTCTCAGTGTATAGAGACTTTGAGACAGATGTCCAATACCGCGATCTCCTCCAATAATGGGTTCATGCACATCACTCCGAAAGACAGAATAAGTCTCAACAGGTGACTCAGGAATACATCAGAAATTAGACACTGAAGTAGAAAATTCCACAGATACCAATGTAGATATCCTCTTCTCTCTCACACAGATACATAGTAAGCATTACATAATCCGTGATATGTATTAAACATCAACGGTTTGCCAGACACTGTTCTAGATTGATGAGGATCTGGAGATCAATAACGCAGATGAAATCCCTGCCTTGACCAAGTAAGATTTCCAGCAGAAATAGGGAAGTGGGCGGTACTATGAAAGCGGAAGTATTTACTCAAAGAGCCCTGATTAGGAAGCTGACCTTTGAAAAGATTCAAAGGAGACTTTATCCTGAAAAATAAATGTTATTGTGGCAGTTTTAAAAAATGGCCAGCCTGGGCAAAATAGTGCAACACCATCTCTACAAAATACAGAAAAATTAGCTGGATGTGGTGCCATGCACCTGTGGTCCCAGCTGTCCAGGAGGCTGAGTTGGGAGAATCGCTTGAGCCCGGGAGGTTGAGGCTGCAATGAGACGAGATCATACCACTGCACAACAGCCTGGGTGACAGAGACCCTGTCTCTAAATTAAAAAATAAATAAATAAAATAAAAATTAAAATGACCACAAATTCTTTGATACTCCATCTACCAAGAGGTTGGAAGTCTATGTTCCCTTTCCATGAATCTGAGTGGACTTGTGACTCCTTCAATCAATGAAGTATGGCCAAAGTAACACTATGTGACTTCTAAGGCTAGGTCACTAAAAAAGGCCATGACATCTTCATCTTGGCCACTAAGACATTCACTCTTGGAGCCCTTAAGCACCATGTAAGCAGTCTGATTGCTTAGAGACTGCCATGAGAGGAAGCCTGGGCTCCATGTAAAGGCCACTGGTAGGTGCTCTCATCAACAACTGCAGCTGAGCAGAGCCTTTGAGTCATCCCAGCCCTGGTGACAGGTATGTAAGTGATGCTTTCGGAGGATTCCAGTTCCTAGCAGTCAAGTCACTCTGAGCCATTCAAGCCTTCCCAGTTGGGGCCCCAGATATTGGGGAGCAGAATCAAGTTCCTGCCATGCCCTCTCTGAATTCCTGACCCACACAATCTGTGAGTAAAATAAAATGGTTACCTTATGGCATTAACTTTTGGGCATGCTTTAATCATGACCAAAGATGTATCGTGAAGCCAAAGAAACTGGAACAAAGATGGAAACTGACAGAGAAGCAGACAGCTATAGAAAATATGAAAACTGCCTGGGTGCAGTAGCTCATGCCTGTAATTCCAGCACTTTAGGAGGCCGAGGTGGGCGGATCACGAAGTCAGGAGTGAGACCAGCCTGGCTAACATGGTGAAACCCTGTCTCTACTAAAAATACAAAAAATTAGCTGAGCGTGGTGGTGCGCACCTGTAATCCCAGCTACTCAGGAGGCTGAGGTAGGAGAATTGCTTGAACCCAGGAGGCAGAGGTTGCAGTGAGCTGAGATTCTGCCACTGCACCATAGCCTGGGTGACAGAGCAAGACTCCTTCTCGAACAAAAAAAAAAAAGAAGAAGAAGAAGAAAACTGTATTTTCTTTGCCTAAGCCTAGTTAGAAAGAAACCACTGTCCCATCACAAGGGACTAAATAAACTGTAACTCTTTTGATTGTTATCTATTTTATCTACAGATGCTACAATAGAAAACATTTCAGTTGTTAGGAACAATCAGTGCAGTCGAAAAGGAATATGGGTAAGGCACTACTCTGCTTGGCTTTTCAGGATGGGGCTAACATTCCTATGATGCCATTCCAAGTTGTCCATGAACCCATTTTTGCCTCTTTCTCTTGATGCAAGTACATAATAGGTATTCAGTAACTTTGTGGAATGATCGATAGAGTCTGAGGAGGCAGGGGAGAGAGAAGATACTCTGGACAGAGCAGAGACCACGGTGGGCAAAGGTAATGAAGATGGGGGTACTGGGGAGAACAGAGAGACTCACTTGAACCTTGTTCTTCATCCCTCTCCATCCACACACCTTACCTCGACATTCATGAGCTCACATCTTTAGGCCTTTAAACTGTTCTCATTATTTGAAATGTTACTTTTCCATCTGTAGATGAACTCCTGTTCACTCTTCACATCCCAGCTCAATTATAATTTTCTCTGCAGCCTCTGACACTGCCCCACTCCAAGTGGAGTTAATCACCCTATTCTACTTTCTTGCAACACTTTCCACCGTCTTATCTCTTGCTTCTGTACCTATGTGCCAAACACCAGGTTAGAAAAGAAAGATGACTATCCTTGAGAAGTCCCCATAATTAAGAGAAGAGACTAAAAACACAGTCACGCTGCAACATCATAGGAGCTGCAGAGAGGCAGGATGTTGAGGGAAGATAAATCTCCTTCAGGAGGATATCAGGAAGTATCACAAACCATGTGACATTTGAGGCAGGCCTTGAAACTGAGTAAAGATCAAAAGGCTGCCTGGGGGAAATCTATGGAATCACAACTGCAAAGGTCTCAAAAGGGAGCTGCTGAGTTAACAGGAACATCAGGTCAGGTCAATCTTTTCCCTCCCTACTGCTGGAGATTCCCCCGCTCTAGTTATTCCAAGTTCCCTTATTACAATGCCTGAAGTCACACAGTTTTCCCAATTACACGAATAAAGTGTATCAAAAAGCACCTTGCATTTGAACAAGTCATTTAAAATATGAGCCAATAATACATGAAAATATATTCAAACTCAGTAGCAATCAAAGAAATCCAAATCAAAACAACTATTTTTTCACCTATCAAATTATCAAGTATTAAAAAATTAAAATGTCTAATATCAAAGAAGAATCAGGGAAGCCAAAACTATCCTTTCTGAGAGCCAATTTGGTATGATGCATCAAAAAGCCTTACAAATAATTATACCCTTTGAATCAGACCCTCTTTTGCAGAAATTCATCCTAAGGATAAAAGTCTTTGCTCTAAAGATCATCACAGCATTATCTATTATAAAATAGCGGAAAATAGTTAAGGACTAAAATATCCAAGAACAGAAGAATCAAATAAATTTGGCACTGCAATAATTGTAACAGTTACCACTTATTTATAGAGTGTTTACAATGTGCCTGGCATTATCATATTTAATACCACAGAAATCCATAAGGTAGTTATGTAAGAGAATGTTGAATGTGACTTTTTCAGTTGCCCCACAATTGGTAAATAGAACTCACAACTAAAGACAGAGAGGAGGTGAGTTCCCCACAAGGTAAAGACAGCAGTCAATAACTGGTGCCAGGCTAATTAAAGAATTTATTAAGAAGCCATACTATGGGCCAGGCGTGGTGGCTCACGCCCGTAATCCCAGCACTTTGGGAGGCCGTGGCAGGCAGATCATGAGGTCAAGAGATCAAGACCATCTTGGCCAACATGGTGAAACCCCATGTCTACTAAAAATATAAAAAATTTGCTGGGCGTGGTGGCACGCATCTCTAGTCCCAGCTACTTGGGAGGCTGAGGCAGGAGAATGGCGTGAACCCAGGAGGCGGAGGTTGCAGTTAGCCGAGATCGTGCCACTGCATTCCAGCCTGGGTGACAGAGCAAGACTCCATCTCAAAAAAAACACCAAAAAACAAAAAAGAAGCTATACTATGAGATCTTCTACCCCAACCATGTGCTCCTGCACTGTCCCTCTCCCTCCACAGTCC
This sequence comes from Homo sapiens, assembly GCF_000001405.40. Taxonomy (NCBI): domain Eukaryota; kingdom Metazoa; phylum Chordata; class Mammalia; order Primates; family Hominidae; genus Homo; species Homo sapiens. The sequence goes on from NC_000011.10 coordinate 78,394,381, forward strand.
ACAAAAGAAGAGCAGAGATAAGAGGGGAAATCTTGGATTCCCTGACCTACTATAATGTGCTGTATTTTGGGGTGGTCCTCTCCCTACCCCACGGTGGGCTCCAAGATCATCAGTTACAGAGACTAGGGGTACCAAAAAAGAAAAAAGAAAAGAAAAGGTTTGGGGTAATAACTTTTAAAAAGTGTAATGTCTTGTGAATATCTGATCAGGCAGTCGACTTACAGATTTGGCCTGCACCAATCTGGACAGAGGAAGGAGAAACTGAGCAAGAAGGAGCAGCACTGCTGTTACCCCACTGTTTGGCACAGATATGTCTTCCCTGGGTCATACAGTCCATAGAAATTGCTGGTCTTAAGCCCTCTTGCCAGTTCCCCACCCAAAACGGCTGCCCAATAAGCAAGTGGACCAGGGCCAGGTGGTACCAGAGAAGAGTGAGGATGTCCTGAAAGAGACGAAAAGAACTAAATACCAGTTTCTTCTCCAGGTCTGGAGATCATGCGGTGAGGAAGCCCACCCTCCAAAGAACTCACAACAATGGGGAGTGGACCCACAGACAGTGCTAGACAGGCAACCTGTAAATGCCATCTAGGAGGACTCAAGAGCAGCCAGTGAAGAGACTCGTATCCTTGTCCCTCGCCCTCTTGCTCATTTTACACACTGGGCAACTGGGCACTGGAATGACTGGAGACCAGAAGGGCCAGGGAAGAAATATCAGAGAGAGACTGTATCTCCTCCCACCCCTACACTCTCCAAGGTGAAGAATGGGGAAGAGGAGTAAAAAAAATCAACCAGGCCAGGCGCGGCGGCTCACGCCTGTAATCCCAGCACTTTGGGAGGCCAAGGCAGGCGGATCACATCAGGTCAGAAGTTCGAGACCATCCTGGCCAACACGGTGAAACCGTGTCTCTACTAAAAGTACAAAAATTAGCTGTGTGTGGTGGCACATGCCTGTAATCACAGCTACAAAGAAGGCTGAGGCAGGGGAATCACTTGAACCCAGGGGGCAGAGGTTGCAGTGAGCTCAGATCATGCCACTGCATTCCAGCCCGGGCAACAGCAAGTCTCCATCTCAAAAACAAACCAACCAAGTCTACCTTTTCCCACTTCATATCCCAATAGCCACAAGCCTGGTTAGAGTAACAGGAGTAAGTAAACCTTTCAATTAGATATACTGAACTTTTCAAATGGTCAACTTTCAGTAACCCAGTGTGACCAGGAGGTTGTGAACTCTGCCTAAGGTATCATCTGTCCTTGAGAGGAGAAGGGAGATTTGGACAGAGCAGTTGGGAGTTCTGACTGGAGAAAAACACAATTGTTCATGTTTGCACCCCTCTAAGCGAAAACTATTCAATTAACAGGCTAAGGTTGCCATTATCTCTATTTTACAGACTAGGAGATTAAAGCTCAGAAAGATTAAGAAACTTGCCCACACCCACAAAGCATATGGGAGGTTTAGTTTGGATTCCAATCCAGGACTAACCTCAGAGCTCATGCTTTTTATGATTACATGAGGATTTTTCAAAATAGCATCCAACATATCCTTAGGGATCTGCAAAGCCAGTACACATTTCTTTTTTCAATCTTGAGTTTTCAACTCAAGCATTATCTTCTTAAAAAATATAAGCATAGTATCGACTACCTGAATCATCTTGCAGGTGAATGCTGATCCTTGATTGCCAGCATTTGCATTTAAAATCTTACAGATATCAAGTAGTAAGTTCCTTAATTTTCATATACTAATGACTAATCAGAAAGGACAGAGGTGACAGCTTATAAATAATGTGGTCATACCAATTAAAAGCCAATGCCTTGCTACACAAAGCAAAGTTTCACCGTAGTTCAAACAAAGAAATGTGGTAGGAAAAAAGTATGGGACACAGGACAGACAGGCATCAAAGAAGTGCTATATTCACATCTGAATCACCAATTTAGTTTCAGCAAAATATCTACTGTTGTTAACGTGAATTATATGGATTCTGAAGTTTTAAATTGAATTTGTAAATTTGTTTTCATATATAATTGTGGGAGAGCTATAAGAACATGTTTACACCTCACAGTTTTTGTTTATACAAATTTTGGTAAAGAAATAATTAAAATAATTTAATTCAACAGCAAGAACCAGTACAAATATATGTTTAAAGTGTCCTTATTACACATGCTTGAGAAACTCTGTGGCCATTAAAAACCTATGTTGTAGATGACTATTTTGTGATGCGGAAATATTTTTTCTTTTTTCTTTTTTTTGAGGCAGAGTTTCACTCTTGTTGTCCAGGCTGGAGTGCTCTCAGGTCACCGCAACCTCCGCCTCCCGGGTTCAAGCGATTCTCCTGCCTCAGCCACCCGAGCAGCTGAGATTACAGGCATGTGCCACTGTGCCCGACTAATCTTGTATTTTTAGTAGAGATGGGATTTCTCTGTGTTGGTCAGGCTGCTCTCCAACTCCTGACCTCAGGTGATCCACCCACCTCAGCCTCCCAAAGTGCTGAGATCACAGGCGTGAGCCACTGCACCCGGCCAGGGAAATATTTTCAATATATTAACTTAAAGCACACAAAGGGTGAAACAGCCTCACCTTCATTTTGTAAAATATACATAGCACATATAAATACAGGAAAAAGAGACTAGGAAATACTCTAAAATATTAATGTTTAGGCTTGACAGGAGTATTACAAGTGCTATTTATTAATATTATTTTTGTGATGTGTGTTTATAATTACTTTATTGTGAATAAAACAAGTATTAACAAAAAAATTCCATGTTTAATAGCGTATACTATGAAAGTTCCCAAAACCTGTTGCAAAACAAACAAACAAAAAAAACCCAAAACCAAATCACATTTTCAATTCAATTCCAGTTCAAACTCTTTTTTTCGCCAAGGCAATATAACCAATCCTGAGTAATATTTGTTCAAAACTTAAAAGCATATAAAGCACTAATGAACCAATAACTTACTGTGCTTTAGGTACCAAGGCTACAAGAACATGAACAAAGGGCATGGTGCATTGGAAAAGCTACCATTTTAGGGGAAGCACAGCGTAAACCAACAGTTACTGAGTGGTACTAAGGCCTGACGGTGACACAGGTGAACTAGAGGAAGGAGCTTCATAATTCATTCTGATGAGGTGGATGGTGCAGGAAAGACTGCCACAAGGTGGCAAGTGAAATTAGTCCTAAGAACATATGAGGAAATGAGGGCACAGAGGTGAAATGGCAGATTACCCACAAGTAAAATCTAAACATAGGTCTTATGACACTAACCTCACTGACCACACTAGACCAATCTCTTCCGGACTCCTATGGCACTGGTCTTTGTCATTTGTGTAGTATGTACTGCCTGGCAGTACATTCTACATTCAAGCTGCTTCCCCACCAAGACTATAAACTTTGAGGGGAATACTATGTACACTGTAGATACTTATGTACACTGTAGATACTTACTATCTGTTAATGACAGTATCTTCAAGTGGACCTCTAACAGGTTTTAGCCTCAATAAGTTATAGTCTCTGTTGGTATCCAAAAAAGTAAATCCAGGCACAGTGGTGCACCTATAGTCCCAGCTATTCAGGAGGCTAAGTGAGAGGAGCACTTGAGCTCAGGAGTTTGAGGCTGTAGTGTGCTATGGTCCTGCCTGTGAATAGCTACACACACACACACACACACATCCCTGGCCTATACTCAATGTTTTCCTCTAGGAAATTATATGAAAAGATCAACAAACTCATTTCAACAATCCTCATGATACTATACGTAAAACTTAGCACTTTCCCCTGCTCTTGCAAGTCAGCAGAACTCCAATTGGCATGTTCTTCCAATGCACACTAAGGAAAGACACGCTGTCTACCCGAGAAAATCTTCGCAGTGAACTGTGGTAATAGTTAATGACACCTAAATGTTATGGCTCATGAACATGGGTGAAACTCTCAGACATGCCACCTATATGACATGACAGGCCTGCACTGTATACAACAGTGAATAACTGGAAGTAACAAATGTTTAACTGGGGGAATGTGCACACAGGTGTGGTACATTCACTTACGTGATATTTATAAGACTTATGTACATGTCTAGTATTTGCTTTAAATATTCCAGCAAAGAAACAGAAAAACAGATAGATGAAATGTGATGAAATCTTGATAAGATTTGAAATTGTGTGCATCAGTATTCTTTACTTTTGTGTATGACTGAAATTTTTCATAATTAAAAATTGGAAAAAATACTATGTAGATATAAGTGAAAAAATTCACAATGTTATAATAAAAAAAATAAAGTGATAACTGATGTTGGTTATAACCATGTAAAAAATGAGCGTGTGGCCAAAATAACAGCAATAGCAATTAGCACCCTTAGTGCCCATCATGGATTTTGGCATACCACTTTTACTAGAAGAAACCAGGACTCTGAGGAAATGGCTAGCTAATTCCAGGTCTGGGTCAGAAAATGTACAAGATAAACTTGGAACATCTTGTCATACCAGAGAACAAAGAAATTATCAAAGACTAGTAGGGTCAAGTCAAAAGGATCCAGAAATCAACTCGAATAGGCTCCTGCTGGTTAAAGATAGGACAATCTGACTTTCAATAAGGATAACAACTCTAACAGATTCAAATGCATGGAATATGTTTAAACATGTGAGCTTATAATGATACTAAAAAATACCCTAATTGATCACTTTGAAGGATCCTAAGGAACTCACTCACTACTCTGACAGCAAGTAAATAAATAAGAAGCCAGCATAAAAATGGGTTAGAGGGGTAATTAGTTGTAAAGAATATCAGCGACTTCTGAAATTACCTTGATGATAGCTGCTGCCTTACAAGTGGCATCAAGCCTGCACCAAGCTGCTTACAGTCTCAAGCAAAGGGCTCATAATCTAGCAAAGGGAGACTGATAGCCCAATGTGAGAATGGCGAATTAGAGATGAAAAAAGTGTCATGGAAGCAAGCCCAGAAGGCGGCTCCCTTTGGAGGATCCTGCAGGGTAGGCAATCTGAGCTAACCTTTGAAGGGTTACCACTTACTGAGAAGTTTTTGCATTTTAAACCATTCTCAAACATTGGCCCCAGGATCTCACATATTGATCTTTACATCCCCCAGCACACACCTATTTCCCAGCGACTGGCCAAAGTCATAGCTTCAGACAAATCCCTGTGTGGTTTAATTTCCCTTCCATGAGACTGGCAGATCCTTGAGCTGTTCCTTTCAGGAAAAATTAACTCCCTAAAATTTGATGTGCTACCCAGCTTGAGAATTTCAGTTATGTTCTGACATTGTACATTCCAGGTATGGCTCAAATTTGAAAGGGATGTGAAGGCACCCATGCTCATGTTCAGAGTTCCTATGAATAGGTTAATAAATGTAAGTCAACATCATCCCTATGCCACCTCCCCCAGTACTTAATACTCTGGACTAGACACTGTGCTAAGATTTTTTTCACATGTTATTCTGATAAATGTGCAAACCCAGTGAAATAAGAAGCATTAGTCTAATTTTACAGACAAAGAAGTGGCCTCAGTGAATTAAAAGAATTAAGTCATTTGCTTAATGACCCTAAGGCCTTTGAAATACTGAGAGGTTTTCTGAACATAAACATTGTCAATATACACTGACATTTCACACTGAAGAAGTGGCCATCTGTGAGGGAAAGACTCACTGAGTTAGTGATGCTCTTTATCAGTAAATGTCATCCTACCATCTAAGGCATTTACTGGGAATTATAAAATATTCCCCCCAGCTCTGAACTTTCAAAACTTCCTGCTTTCTGCTACAGATTCCTCCACTCTGGATGGAATTTTACTGGCCCCACACCCCATGTGCACCACCTCTTTCTCATTTTGAACACCATATTCCTTCCTAGGCCCTTATCTCTTGAGTCCAACTCACATGTCCACCTCCTATTCCAGGAAGCCCCTCCAACTTCTTCCACACCAAGAGCATTTGCCTTCACGCAACTTGGTGCCTGGATAACTCCATATAAGGGCATCATTCTGTTTCACATGTAGACTTCTAGTCTTTCTAGTCTGCAAATGCCTTGAAGGCAGGGATGAGTACTGATTTATTACCTTGGGAAGGGAAAGGATACAGTATATGCTCTATAAACACCTGTCAAAATTAATTTGGATGTAGACAACAGCCTGCTCAGGAACCTGTATTTCTCAGCATTTCTTATAAGCTTAAAGTTACTATATCTCATTGTCCCTTTCTACCTAGAGATAAAAAGCAACATCAAAGGTGTTTCATTAAGGCCAGGCGCAGTGGCTCATGTCTGTAATCCCAGCACTTTGGGAGGCTGAGGCAGGTAGATCACTTGAGGCCAGGAGTTCGAGACCAGCCTGGTCAACAGAGCAAAACCCCATCTCTATTGAAAATACAAAAAAATTAGCCAGGCATAGTGGTGCAGCCTGTAATCCCAGCTTCTCTGGAGGCTAAGGCACAAGAATTGCTTACGCCTAGGAGGCGGAGACTGCAGCAAGCCAAGACTGTGCCACTGCACTCCAGCCTGAGTGACAGAGTGAGACTGTCTCAAAAAAAAAAAAAAAAAAAAAAAAAAGGTTGTTTCATTAAGCGAAGCAGCAGGCATGTCTTCCAGCTCTGTGCAACTTCATTGCCTCAGGTCCTTACATGTCACTGAGAGAATATTCCATAATCATTCATGGCTGTGGAGATTCCATCCTGTCTTTTCTCTTGGGTTAGAAATATGAGCAAGACCAATTACTAACCTTTACCAAGTGAGGTTTAAAAAAAAAAAACTGTCATAAAATGTACAGAATACAAAATTTATCATCTTATCATTTTTAAGTGTACAGCTCAGTGGCATTAAGTACATTCACATTGCTGTTGCCACCATTACCACCAATGTCCAGAACCCTTTATCTTGCAAAACTGAAACTCTGTACCCATTAAACAATAGCTGCTCATTGTCCCCTACCCCTAGCCCCTGGCAACTAGCACTAGACTTTCTGTCTCTCTGAATTTGACTACTCTAGTACCTCACATAAGTAGAATCATACAGTATTTGTCCTTTTGTGACTGGCTCATTTTATTTAGCATAATGTCATCAAGGTTCATCTATGTTGTATCATGTCCATGTATTAAAGTTTTCTTCCCTTTTAAGGCTGAACAGTATTCGTGTGTGTGTGTGTGTGTGTGTGTGTGTGTGTGTGTGTGTGTCTGGCTCCTTTTATTTAGCATAATGTCATCAAGGTTCATCTCTGTTGTAGCATGTCCATGTATTAAAGTTTTCTTCCCTTTTAAGGCTGAACAGTATTCCAGTGTGTGTGCGTGTGTGTATATATATGTATACCAGATAGCATATATGTGATATGTATATGTGTGTATATATGAACACACACATATCACATTTTGTTTATTCAATTATCTGTTGGTGGACACTTGAGTTGCTTCCAAATGAGAAGTTCTGATCCAATGTGAATGATAAAAAGCTCAGGAGACTGGCCTTGAACTGGTTAGAACAGTCTCCTTAATGCTGTGAATATAATCGAAGAAATAATCCAGTGATTAGGACCACAATAGAAACCTACTAAAATGAATTTCCATCTGGTTATATGAACCATATAGAATTATTTATTTAAATACTCAAATAATCTGTTGGAATAATGCCCTGGCTGCCTAGGATGGTCTACAAACAAGTCTTGAATGGACTCCAGTTTTTGAAGATCTTCCCCTCCCCTGTTCTTACCAGCCCAGGTATTCTCTCTTACTTACCTCTCCAGCTTCAAAGCCTTCTATTCCAATCATCCTGCTGATAATCCAGCAACACCCAACTGTTTTTAGTGTCCTTGCACACACTGTGTATGTCCTTGCCACCTTGTCTACTCTCTTAGTGGTCCCTCTACCTGAAAAACCTTCTTCTCTTGGATTACTTCTATCTAGTCAGGTCCTAGAAGTAAGGAAGCCTTTGCTTTTTCTTCTCTAGGAAGCCTTTGCTTTTTTTTCTTTGCAGTCCCAGAACTTGGGCACTTGGCACATACTAATTGTTTGATAAATTACTGAACTAAATTATACTAAATACATTTTCATTTTTGTTTAAAAAAAATTTTTTTTTTTTTGAGACAGAGTTTCACTCTTGTCGCCCAGGCTGGAGTACAGTGGCACAATCTCAGCCCAATGCAACCTCCGCCTCCCAGGTTCAAGCAATTCTCCGGCCTCAGCCGCACCCCCCCACCCCCACCCCCAATCGCCCCAGTAGCTGGGATTACAGGCACGTACCACCACGCCCAGCTAATTTTTGTATTTTTGGTAGAGATGGGATTTCACCATGTTGGCCAGGCTGGTCTCAAACTCCTCAGGTGACCTGCCCGCCTCGGCCACCCAAAGTGCTGGGATTACAGACATGAGCCACTGCGCCCGGCCATGAGCAGACTTTTAAAAGTCACCTTTTAGAAAATTTAAAGAATCATCTTATTACAATGAACTGCATGCTTCTGCCTCACAATGCCCCAGCCCGCCCCACCACCCCAATTCACATGTTGGAATCCTAATCCCTAAAGTGACCGTATTAGGAGGTGGGTCCTTTGGGAGGTTATCAGGTCATGAGGGCAGAGTACTCATAAATTAGAGACATTATAATTAGAGACATTATAAAAGAAACCCTGAGGAGCTTCTTTCCCTCTTCAACCATGTGAGGACACAATGGAAGACATTGTCTATGAGGAAGTGGGCAATCACCAGACGCTGAATGTGTCAGTGCCTTGATCTTGGACTTGCCAGCCTCCAGAGCTTTTAGAAGTAAATGTCTGTTGCTTATAAACCACCCAGCTAAGGCTACTTTGTTATAGCAGCCTGAATGGACTAAGATACTAATCAAGGATAGCAAATCACTTAAACATATTTACGAAGTTTAAATTTTTAAAAACTGCTAGGGTTACCCTATAGCTTAAAAAGAAAATTAATAATTGCTTGAGTTTTAAAGAGTTAAACTGCAGGATAATTATGGCAATACTATGTAAGTTTAAAATAATCTCGTCATTTAAACATTTGTAAATGGCTACCTTTTTGCAAATGGACTATAGTAAACAGAAATTATCTAGCTATGCTAAAGTAGGACAGAAGTCACCTTTGACAAAGGTGCCAAGAACATACACTGGAAAAAGTGCAGTTTCTTCAATAAATGTTCTAGGAAAACTTGATATCCATATGCAGAAGAATGAAACTAGACCCCTATCTTTCTCAATATTTAAAAATGAAATCAAAATGGATTAAGGACTTAAATATGAGACCTGAAACTATAAAACTATTAGTAGAAAATATTGAGGAAATGCTCCAGGACATTGGTCTGGGCAAAGATTTCTTGAGCAAGACCTCAAAAGCACAAGCAACCAAAGCAAAAACGGACAGAAGGGATCACATCAAGCTTAAAAGCTTTGACACAGCAAAGGAAACAATTAACAACATGAAGAAACAACTCACAGAATGCGAGAAAATATGTGTAAACTACTCATCTGACAAGGGATTAATAACTAGAATATATAAGGAGCTCAAAGTCATATATGCTGGCATTCAGTTCTTTTTTTTTGTAAAATATGCTAAGTATCTACAGAAAAAAAGACAAGTGATAACAGACGCTGGGAAGGATGTGGAGAAAGGGAAGCCCTCACACATTGTTGGTAGGAATGTAAATTAGTACAGCCCCCATAGAGAACAGTATGATAGTTCTTCAAAAAACTAAAAATAGAACTACCATATGATCTAGCAATCCCACTGCTGGCTATATATCCAAAAGAAAGGAAATCAATGTATTGAAGAGATATCTGCACTCCCATGCTTATTATAGTAGCCAACATGCAGAATCAACCTAAGTGTCCATCAATCGATGAATGCATTTAAAAAATGTGGTACATATACACAATGGAATATTATTCAGGGCTGGGCACAGTGGCTCATGCCTTTAATCCCAGCACTTTAGGAGGCCAAGGCAGGAAAGTCACTTGAGCTCAGGAGTTCGAGATGAGCCTGGGCAACATAGTGAGCCCTCACCTCTGCAAAAAATAAAACAAAAAATTAGCCAGGCCGGGTGGCGCATGTCTGTAGTCCCAGCTACTCAGGAGGATGAGGTGGCAGGATCGCTTGAGCCTAGGAGGTTGAGGCTGCAGTGAGCCAAGATTGTACCACTACACCTCTTGGTAACAGAGCAAGACTCCGTCTTGAAAACAACAATAACAATGGAATACTATTCGGCCATACAAATAATGAAATCCTGCCATTCGTGGCAACACGGTTGGTACTGGAGGACATTATGTTAAGCAAAATAAGCCAGGAACAGAAATTTAAACACTGCATGTTCTTACTCATATGTGGAAGCTAAAAAAACTGAACTCATGGAGATAGAGAAACAATAACGATTATCAGATACTGGAAAGGACAGTGGGAAGAGAAGTATAAAGAAGGGATGGTTAGTGGGTATAAAAATACAGTTAGAAGAACTAAGATCTAATATTTGGTAGCAAGATAGAGCAAGTATAGTTAACAATAATTTATTGTATACTTCAAAATAACAAGACTGGAATTGGAATGTTCCTAACAAAAAGAAATGATAAACGTTTGAGGTGATGAGTATCCTAAGCACACATTATATGCTTGTATCAAAATTTCACATCTCCATAAATATTTACAACTATTATGTATCCGTAAAAAGTAAAAATTAAAAAAATAAAGGCAGAATCCTAATCCACAGAATGTGGGGAAAAAACATGGATTTTTTTTTTTTTTTTTTTTTTTTTGAGATGGAGTCTAGCTCTGTCGCCCAGGCTGGAATGCAGTGGCGCAATCTCGGCTCACTGCAAGCTCCACCTCCCCGGTTCACGCCATTCTCCTGCCTCAGACTCCTGAGGAGCTGGAACTACAGGTGCCTGCCACCACACCCGGCTAATTTTTTGTATTTTTAGTAGAGATGGGGTTTCGCTGTGTTAGCCAGGATGGTCTCGATCTCCTGACCTCTGTGATCTACCTGCCTCGGCCTCCCAAAGTGCTGGGATTATAGGCGTGAGCCACCACGCCTGGCCAAGCACATGGATTTTAATGAGAAGACTTGGTTTGTAGTCCTGGGTCTGCTACTTACTATATGTGTGGCACTTAAGCTCTGTGCTCAGTTTCTCCTCTGGTAACATGGGAATAAAATATCTAGTAATTGCCACTACTATACTATATGTTTACTGGTAACAAGTGCTTTTGTATAAGCAACATTCAAGACCATACACAGTGGGTAAATGGAATAGACATACTTTTCCCTATTCCCACCACTAAGTACAACTAAAATCCTTAGATATTACATATAAAACAAGCTTAAGAAGAATCTAAAAGGTGAAGAGTAGGCGGCAGATTTGCTAGGGACCCTGGAACCCAAGGAATGACACAGTGATAAATTCCATGAGTTTTCTTTATGCCTCATATATCTCAGACTTGGAGCTGAAGCAGTCAGCATGGCAGAAACACCAACCTGTGTAGACCAAAAAATTCCCAAAGAAAGTCTGCTCTCTCTAGCCAAAGGACTGGGAAAGGAGCAGCCTAGCAAGAGACGAAACTGCTAAACAATAACTGCTCTACTCCAGCCAAACACCGCAGAGCAAACTGTGGTCCAACCCTCACCCACAGCAGCAAAAACTGACTGACAACCTAGACTTCTACCCTTCAGAGGTTGTCATGAGGCCAGGTGACACCTGCTAGGGTGGTGTCAAAGAAAGCCAAGTAGAAAGCTATGATATGCATACCCAAAAACTGGTAATAAGGCACCCATCCCTGTAGAGTCACTGGAGACCACATGGGAAGTTGGAACCTTAAACCATTCACAGGAGTAATGAGGACTACCTTCCTATCGGGAGTGTCAATGGAGGTGGAATGAAAAACCTGGACTTCAACTTCTACTTGAAAGTACTAAGGCAGTGTCCCCTTCCGATGATTGCAGCAGGGTCAGAGAAATCCAGATAAAACACAAGGTTTAAATTAGATCCAGAGTATCACAACACAATACAAAAATGTCCACGTTTAATTTTTTTTTTTTTTGAGACAGAATCTTGCTCTGTTGCCCAGGTTGGAGTGCAATGGCATGATCTTGGCTCAGAGCAACCTCTGCCCCCTGGGTTGAAGCAATTCTCTCACCTCAGCCTCCGAAGTAGCTGGGATTACAGTCACCTGCCACCATGCCTGGGTAATTTTTGTATTTTCAGTAGAGACAGGGTTTCGCCATGTTGGCCAGGCTGGTCTTGAGCTCCTGACCTCAGGTGACTCACCTGCCTTGGCCTCCCAAAGTGCTAGGATTACATGTGTGAGCCAAAAATGTCCAGGTTTTAATAGAAAACGACTCATTATACAAAGAATGAGGAAGCTCTCAAATGGAATGAAAAAGACAATCGACAGATGCCAACACTGAGATAACAGAGCTGTTAGAATTATCTTTCAAAGATTTTAAAGAGTCATCATAAAAATGCAGGTACAAACATGCTTGGAACAAATGGAAAATTGGAAAGCCTCCAAAAAGAAACAAAGTCTCAGTAAAAAAATAGAAGATGTAAAGAAAAACCAAATGGAATTTTAGAACTGAAAAATATAACCACCAAAATAAAAAAGTTCATCAGTGAGTTCAATGGCAGAATAGTGAGGACAGAGAAATAGAATCAGTGAATGGGAAAACAGGACAGTAGAAATAACCTAATATGAACAACACAGAGAAAACAGACTGAAAAAAAATGACCAGAGTCTACAGAAGCTATGGAACTACAACAAAAGATCTAACAGTTTTGTCATTGGATTCTTGGAAGAAGAGAAGAAAGAGGGTAGGACTGAGAAAGTACTTGAAATAATGGGTGAAAACTTCTCAAATGTAGTAAGAAAGATTCAGTAGGTTTAGTGAGTTCCAAACAGGATAAACTCAAGAAAATTCCACACCAAGACACATAGCAAAATTCTGAAAATAAAGAGAAAAAAAATCATTGAACGCATCCAGAGAAAAAGATGGGAGCTGGTCGTGGTGGCTCACTCCTGTAATCCCAGCACTTTGGGAGGCTGAGTTGGGTGGATCACCTGAGGTCAGGAGTTCAAGACCAGCCTGGCCAACATAGTGAAACCCTGTCTCTACCAAAAATACAAAAAAATTAGCTGGGCGTGGTGGTGAGCGCCTGTAATCTCAGCTACTAGGGAGGCTGAGGCAGGAGAATCTATTGAACCTGGGACGCAGACATTGCAGTGAGCCCAGATAGTGCCATTGCATTCCAGCCTGGGTGACAAGAGTGAAACTCCTTCTCAAAGAAAGAAAGAAAGAAAGAAAGTAAGAAAGAAAGAAAGAAAGAAAGAAAGAAAGAAAGAAAGAAAGAGATGGCATTTTCCGTCCCAAAAAGAAAGAAAGAAAGAAAGAAAGAAAAAGAAAGAAAGAAAGAAAGAGAGAGAAAGAAAGAAAGAAAAGAAAAGAAAGAAAAAGAGGGCATTTTACCTCCTGAGGGAAAGCAATTGGAAAGACCATGGATTTTTCATTAGAAACCATGCAGGCCAGAAGGAAAGGATGCAGTATTTTACAGGTGCTCAAAGAAAAGAAGTGTCAACTAAATAATTCAATATCCAGTGAAAATATCAGAATGAAGGGGAAAATGAGACCTTCTCAGGTGAAGGAAAATAAAGACAATTTATCACTGGCCAATCTACCCTAAAGAATGGCTAAAGGAAGTTCTCTAAACAGAAAGGAAATGAAAAAAAGAGGAACCTGAAAACATCAGCAAAGAAGAAAGCACATAGTAAACAAAAATGTAATTAAATAGTCTTTCCTTCTGAGTTTTCTAAATTAGGTTTAATGACTGAAGCAAAAATTATAGCACTGTCTGATATAAAAAAAATATTTAAGACAATTATATATGGAGGATGGCAAAAGGACATAAAGGGAGGTAAGGTTACTATACTTTACTTAAACTTGTAAAATGATGATACAGACTTCATTTAGATTATAAGACGACACCAACTGACTGTTGTATGTACAGTATAATACCTAGAGCAACCACTAAAAAAGCTGTATAGAGAGATACACTCAAAAACACTATATAGATAAATCAAAATGGAATTCTAAAAAATATTCAAGAAACTCACAGGAAGGCAAGAAGAAAACAAAAACAGAACACAAACAAAAAATAAAGTGGCAGAACTAAGCTCTAGCATATTAGAAATTATATTAAGTGTAAATTTAAATATACCAATTAAGACATAAATCAGCACAGTGGATTAAAAACATGCCCCATGATATGGTTTGGGTATGTGTCCCTGCCCAAATCTGAGGTCAAATTGTCATCCCCAAATATTGGAGGTGGGGCCTGATGGGAAATGATTGGATTATGGAGGTGGAGTTCCCCTTTGGTGCTGTTCTCATGATAGTGAGTGAGTTATTGTGAGATCTGGTTATTTAGAAGTGTGTAGTACCTCTCCCCTCACTCTCTTCCTCCTGCTCCAGCCATGTAAGATGTGCCTGCTTCTCCCTCACCTTCCGCCATGACTGTAAGTTTCCTGAGGCCTCCCCAGCCATGCTTCCTGTACAGCTTGTGGAACTGTGGGCCAATTAAACCTCTTTTCTTGATAAATTACCCAGTCTCAGGTAGTTCTTTACAGCAGTGCGAGAACGGATTAATACACCCCAACAATATGCCACCTATAAGATATCACTTCAAATACAATGATATGGGTAGGTTGAAAGTAAATTGATGGAAAAGATGTATCATGTGAATATCAATAAAAGGAAAGCAAGAATAACTATATCATCAGATATAGGCTATAATATATCAAGTAGCCCTCAGATACTTGTATAATATATCAGATAACAAGTAGACCTCAGAGCAAAAGAAATTACCAGAGACTCAGCAGGTATTATATAAAGATAAAAGGGTCATGCCACCAAGAAGATGTTGCAATTCTAAATGTGTATATATTGAACAACAGGGCTGGGTGCGGTGGCTCATGTCTGTAATCCCAGCACTTTGGGAGGCCGAGGCAGGCGGATGACCTGAGGTCAGGAGTTCGAGACCAGTCTGGCCAACATGGAGAAACCCTGTCTCTATTAAAAATACAAAATTAGCCGGGTGTGGTGGCGCATGCCTGTAATCCCAACTACTTGGGAGGCTGAGGCAGGAGAATTGCTTGCACCCAGGAGGTGGAGGTTGCGGAGAGCTGAGATCATGCTATTGCACCTCCAGCCTGGGCAACAACAGCGGAACTCCATCTCCAAAAAAATAATAAAAAAAATAAAATATGTGAAACAAAAACAGATATAAGTGAAATGAGAAACAGAAATATTCACAATTATAGTTGGAAACTTCAACCCCTGTCTCTCAACAATCGACAGAAGAACTAGATAGAAAAATCAGCAAGGATATAAAAGAATTATATATATCACTATCAATCAAAAAGATATAATTGACATTTATGGAATACTTTACCCAATAATAGCAGAATAAACATTCTTTTCAAAGTACCCATGGAACCTAAAGCAAGATAGACCACATTTTCAGCAATAAAATAAACCTTGACAAGTTAAAAATAATTGAAATCAAATAGAACTTACTCTACTCCCACAATGAATTCCAACTAAAAGACAGAAACAGAAAAATAATGGGAAAATCTCCAAACATTTGGAAACTAAACAATGTACTTGTAAATAATCCATGGTCAAAGAGGAAAGTCTCAAGGAAAGTAAAAAAAATATATATATACTGAGCAAATAAAAATTGAAAATGCAATTTATCAAAATTAGTGGGACACAGCTAAAGCAGTGCTGAGAGGGAAATTCATAGCAGTAAATGAATACATTAAATAAGAGGAAAAGTCTCAAATGAATAAACTACTATATAAAAAAATCAGAGGCCAGGTGCAGCGGCTCATGCCTGTAATTGCAGCACTTTGGGAGGCCAAAGCAGGCAGATCACTTAAGGTCAGGAGTTTGAGACCAGCCTGGCCAATATGGTGAAACCCTGTCTCTACTAAAAATACAAAAATCAGCTGGGCATTGTGGCACATGCCTGCAATCCCAGCTGCTCGGGAGGCTGAGGCAGGAGAACTGCTGGAACCTGGGAGGTGGAGGTTGTAGTGAGCTGAGATCGTGCCATTGCACTCCACCCCAGGTGACAGAGTGACATGCTGTCTCAAAAAACAAACAAAAAATAATAATGAAGCAATGTCAGTATGCAAGAATAAGGGTTAAAAAAATAAAGCAGTGGACCCACTACAGACCCTGCAGACACTGAAAGCATAATACAGGATACTGTAACTCCACTCACATGTATGTAACAACTTAGACAAAATGGACCAATTTGTTGAAAAATGTAAACTTCTATAATTCAGCCAATATGAAGTAGATAATTTGAAGAACCCCGTATCTATTAAAGAAATTGGATTAAAAATGTAAAAAATTCCTAACAAAGACATTTCCAGATCCAGATGGTTTAATCTGGAGAATTCTACCAAAGGTTTAAAGAATTATACCAGTTCTACACCATCTCTTCCAGAAGGCTAGACATGGTGGTTCACACCTATAATCGCAGCACTCTGGGAAGCCAAGGTGGGAGGACTGCTTAAGCTCCGGAGTGTGAGACCAGCCTGGGCAACGCAGGGAGACCCTGTCTCTACAAATAATAAAAAAAAAAATTAGCCAGGCACAGCAGTACGCAGCTGTCGTCCCAATTACTTGGGAGGCTGAGACAGTAGGATCACCTGAGCCCAGGAATTTGAGGCTGCAGTGAGCCATGATTGTGCCACTGTCGCCAGCCTGTGTGACACAGCAAGATTCTGGTGGGGGTGGTTGGGGGGGGGGATGGTGGAAGGAGAAGAAAATAAACGAAGGAAGAAAGACATATATAAATAAATGTAAAATAAATTCATGGACTGGAAGATTTAATATAGTAAAGCTGTAATTTCTTCCCAAATTGGTACACAGGATTAATGCACTTCCTATTAAAATCTCAGCAAGACTTTCTTTTTTTTGCATAAACAAGATTATTCTAAAATTTGTATTGAAAGGTAAAGATAATAGAATAGCTAAAACACTTTGAAAAATAAGAATAAAGTAGAGGAATCAGGCTACCAGATTTCAAGACTTACAATATAGCTAGAGTTGGCAAGATTCTATGGTATTTGCAGAGGGACAGACACATGGAAAAATGGACCAAAACAGAGACAACAGAAACAGACCCACACAAATACGTCCAACTGATTTTTGACAAAGACGGAAAAGCAATTCAATGGAAGTAGGATGGCTTTGTCAACAACAATGACAACAACAAAAGAACCTCAATCTAAGTCTCACATCTTACATGAAAATTAACTCACAGTGGATCACGGACTTAAAGGAAAAACATAAACCTGTAAAATGTGTAGAAAAAAAAAAACCAGGAAAGCCGGCGCAGTGGCTCACGCCTGTAATCCCAGCACTTTGGGAGGCCAAGGTGGGCGGATCACGAGGTCAAGAGATTGAGACCATCCTGGCCAACATGGTGAAACCCTGTCTCTACTAAAAATACAAAAATGAGCTGGGCATGGTGGCGCACACCTGTAGTCCCAGCTACTCAGGAGGCTGAGGCAGGAGAATCGCTTGAACCTGGGAGGCAGAGGTTGCAGTGAGCCAAGACTGTGCCACCGCACTCCAGCCTGGGTGACAGAGTGAGAATCTGTCTAAAAACAACAACAACAACAACAACAACAACAAAGAGAATCACTTGAACCTGGGGAGCCGAGATCATGCCATTGCACTCCAGCCTGGGTAACAAGAGCAAAACTCCATCTCAAAAAAAAAAAACCTATATATAAAATACTCAAATTCTTGAAGACATTTGACCAAAGAGGATATACAGATGGCAAATAATCATATGAAAAGATGTTCAACATCATTAGCCATAAGGGAAATGTAAATGAGAACTAACGGGTGAATGGTTAAATAAACAGACTGTGTGGTACATCCATACCATGAAATACTACTTAGCAATAAAAAACAATAACTATTGATGCATGAAATGAGGATGAATCTCCAGAGAATTATGCTGAATAAAAAAAAGTTCAAAATCTTAAGTACTGCATGAATCCATTTAAATAACACACATGAAATATCAGAGAACAGATTAGTAGTTGTCACAGATTAAGGATGTGGTAGGGGTGGGATGGTAGTGAATACGATTATAAAAGGGCAACATAAAAAATCCTATCATGATGGAAATGCTCTGTATCTTGACTGTATCATTGTCAATATACTGTTGTGATACTGTACTATAATTTTGCAAGATGTTACCATTAAGGAAAACTGGATAATGGCTACATAAATCTTTGTTTACTATTTCTTACAACTAGATGTGCATGTAGAATTACCTCAAAATGAAATGTTTAATTTTTTTAAAAAGCCCAGGCTTTAGGACAAAGCTAGATGACTTTGGGTAAGTTGCTTCCCTTATTATAGGGCTAAATTACTACATTAAAAGATCAATGGTCTAAGCATAGTGCCTGGTACAAAGTAAGTGCTCAACAGATGGCTACTAAAATAATCCTAAAAGTCATGGCAGTGGGGATGAAGAAGCGTATAACAAGATATTTAGATGATACCACTAATGGGTTTTGGTGACAGATTAGATGTGGGATAGTGGGTGACGGGGAGTCAAAGATGATGCCCAAGTTTCTCATCTGAGCAAGTAGGTGCTTAGTGGCACTGTTTACTGAGCAGATGTGGAGTGAAGAGATGAACAAAGAAGAGTTTAGTTTTGGAAGTGGTGAGTTTGTGTTGACTGGGAAACATTCAAATAGAGATGCCCAGTTAACAGTTGGATATGTAAGTCTGAAGTTCAGAACACAACTCTGAGATGGAAATTTAACTTGATGACCACCATGCAAATGATAACTGAAGCCAGTAGAATGGACAAGGTTGCCAAAGGGGAGAAACCACACAGCCACTATGACTATAAAGGAGCTTCAACCTTTAAGGACTGGATAAAAGGGTCAGTCTAGCAAAGGAAATATAGAGTAGCCAGAAAAGGAGAAATAACAGGCATTTATAGTGTCAGCCAAGATAAGAGGAAGGTGTTTTAAAAAAGAGTGGTCAACTATGACCAAGCAGTGAAGAGATTAATTAAAATGAGGAGTAAAAAATCATCCTCTGAGTTTAGTGACCTGGGTATCGCTGGTGCCTTTGTCAGAATAGCTTTGGTGAATAACAAAGTAGGTTTCCACTGGAGCCGACTGAGAAGAAGGTGGGAGAAAGGAAGACTGCATAAACCACCACCAAGTTTATCCCTGAAAAAAAGTAGGTAGTACAGAGAGGGAAAGAAGTTGAAGATGTGTTACAGGATAAGAATTATTTGAGTAGGGAGGAGAAGATATGATTCAAAGTATAAGTAGCAGGATTAGCTCAGATAGAAGTGGCACTTCATCTACTCTAAGAAAAGGAAACAAGAAAGGAACCATGCAGGCTGGGCGCGGTGGCTCATGTCTGTCTGTAATCCCAGCACTGTGGGAGGCCGAGGCGGGTGGATCACCTGAGGTCAGGAGTTCAAGACCAGCCTCACCAACGTGGTCAAGCCTCATCTCTACTAAAAATACAAAATTAGCCAGGTGTGGTGATGCATGCCTGTAATCCCAGCTACTTGGGAGGCTGAGGCAGGAGAATCGCTTGAACCCAGGAGGCAAAGGTTGCAGTGAGCCCAGATCGTGCATTGCACTCCAGCCTAGGCAACAAAAGTGAAACTCTGTCTCAAAAAAAAAAAAAAAAAAAAGGAAGAAAGAAAGGAACTATGCAGATACAAGTAAATTTGAAAATGTGGCCATTCATCGTACGTACAGACAACTACTCCCTCATCATTTCAATTTTCCTTTGAAGGAGAAGGCAAAGCCATTGCTAAGACTGAAAGACTGGATTAATTTTTTTTTCTGTTTACTGGATTTTTATTCCAAGCACCTGATCCAGTGCCTGGGACATAGATTTAATAAGTATATTTAATAAATATAATGGAAATAAACAATTACTGTTACCTTAATGCAGTAGTTCTTTACAATTTGTGCACAACTTTCTTCAAGTTAGCCACTAGGGGGTAGTCTGCCAATCTTATTCCCTCAATCTTTTAATCCAGTGAAATTGATAGAAAACTACAATGCAGTGTAGGTCATATTAATAAAATGTTTTTCCTCAAGAAAATTCTGTTTAATAATTATATACATGTACGTGTGTATGCATTTGCATGCACGCGCATACACACACAAATACACTGAGGCACGATGGGAGGGTTGTTACTTCTGCCGGCCTCCCACTGCAGCCATATCAGGATGCCCCAGAGGCAATAGTCAGCATTTTCCAGAGACACTTTTTGCAATTTCTCCAGGGCACTCAGTAAATAGCAGATAGGTCTCTTATACTTATACTTAATTAACTAGAAAAGGCTGATGAAAAAAATCCCTGAAAACTAATTGCTCAAACATTTGCCTTTGCTTCTTCTAAGATGTTTTTCCCCTCTACACCTTCCCGTCTTTCCGAATTAAGTAAGTTTTTTTGTTTTTCTTTGAAATGGAGTCTCGTTTTGTCACCCAGGCTGGAGTGCAGTGGTACGATCTCGGCTCACTGCAACCTCAGCCTCCCGGGCTCACGCGATTCTCATGTCTCAGCCTCCTGAGTAGCTGGGACTACAGATGCCCTCCATGACGCCCAGCTAATTTTTATATTTATGGTAGAGACGGGGTTTCACCACATTGGCCAGGCTGGTCTCGAACTTCTGACCTCCAGTGATCCACCCGCCTCAGCCTCCCAAAGTGCTGGGATTACAGGCATAAGCCACTGCGCCCAGACTTCAAATTAAGTCAGTTTTTTAAAAAATCGTTTTAAATAGTTATAACCTAGTTCAACTACTTTTTCCCCTTATCACATATGCTCGATGTATTCTTATAATGAGGATTTCTCAATCTACAATATAACACGCCTATGATGTATACCAGAAGCAGCAGCTACTTTGGGGTAAATATACAGCCATGGGGCTGGGAAATACTTTCCAAGCTTGGTTCTAATGAACTCGGGCCTCTACTGAAATAAGCAAACTAGCAGAGTTTTAACTTACAACAGGATGCAAAAATTCTGAATACCCCAAAAGAAAAGTAGATGTAAAGGCATACTGTTCCCCAGAGGCTTAAGGTTACACATATCACCAGTTTCAGTTAGGGGGAAACTGAACTTCCGAAGGGGCAGAGGCTTCCAGTCATGTAAGTGAACACATCACATCCTAACCTAAGAAAAGCTGTTACTTAAAGCTGTTAAGGTCTGACACCTGATGGGCTGAAGGTACATGGAAGATGGGAAAGAGAGGCTAAGGCCATCATACGACTAGATTCGTTCAAATCAGTGAAAAAGGTGCTTGACCCAAATGCCTCCAAACCTGGTTATTTTGAACTAAAGTTGTTTGGGAACAAAAACACCCAAGAAATGGGTCATAGAGTCTGGGTGAGAGTTCAAGGAGCGATAAGTCAAATGTAGATACAGTGTCATACTGTTTGCAAATTGTTTCAAAAACAACTTTCAAGGTTCTTTAGTGTATAGTGTTCAAACTTGAAAATTAAGGGTCACTTTTTTTTTTTTTTTTTTTACTGTGGACACTGTATTCCACTAGCTTGTATGGAAATCTATTTGTATAGATAATTTTTGGAAGCTCTTCGGGACAAAGTTTTTAAATTATTTATAAAATTGTTAATAGTAAATCACTGCTCCTTAATCCTAATTAAAATATTCAACCTTCCTAACGAACTGATACAACCCTGAAGAGGAAAAAAGTTTATTTCTTAATAATTATACTTTGGCTACATAGACACTCCTAAAAATGAGCTTCCGAACTGAGATGAACAATTCACTGCTTCATTCCTCCTATAAATCCACGTCCACTTTCAAAACTCATGTGCTAAATCCTTAGATTTTTTTCCCCCAGCAAACATCTACCTAAGAGCCTGATTTCATTGACACACACTTGTACTCCGCAACAACAACACTTCCTTTGAAAAACAGAATGTCACTTCCTCAGTCCAGAGGCCAGAAGTCCCTTGATTCTGATCTGGGGAGCCAAGACAGGAAATTCTGGTAGGCTTCTGCCTCTCCCCCCATGGACAGCCACTGGTGCAGCTGACAGAGGGCAGGGTCTATTCCGAGCTCCCTTGATGCACTGCAGCTGGAGGCAACGGCTCCCTTCCAGGCTGTGGGAGTGATCCCGGAGTTCGGCACCACAGCCCGTTAAACAAGGGCATTTCATGGGAAACGGAGAGGGAGCAGATGAGAGACCTTGAAACCTTCCAGCAACCTTACCCCCACTTCCAAACTCCCGCGACTACCCCAAGACCATTTCGGCCAAATCTCAGTAACTGGCACCATCTTGTACTTTGACCTCACCAGGCAAGGCATCCTCTGGGGAGAGGGGTTAAAAAAAAAAAAAAAAAAAGCCAGAACTCCACGGCTCAGCGCCACGCTGTTCCACCTCCCCCAGGCTGCCAGTTCCCCACCTAGAGGGAAAAGGCTGTTCCAGCGATCTCAGTAAACACTGTCGGTTGGCAACACCTGGCCGCGGAGAGCCTCGATCTCTCCCGACCCCAGACACCCGGGAGCTGCCCGGTCCCAAACCCGGGCCAGCCACGGGGACCAAACTGCAGTGTCACACCGGGGTCGGGGGGAGGCGCCTGTGAGAGACGAACGGAATAAAGGGAAAGAAGGGGGACAAACAAATGAGTCACTTAATACAAGGGCTGCACATGCCGCTGACGCTGCCGGTGATGCAGCCGCGGACGGAGGGAGGCCGGCGGCCGGGAGGGGCAGGCGGAGAAAGGGAAGGAGAGGGCGTGAGGCGCTCGCCCTTTGTGGGGCCGTCCGCGCGGCCCCACAGCCTACGCCCCCCTTTCCCGCCCTCTCCCCGACCCTGCGGGCTGAAGCTGCTCGGGGCTGCCGCGGAGCCCCAGCCCCGAGAGTCAACTCTCTCGGTCTCCAGAAGCCATCAATACAAAACTTCGACACTGTATTTAGTTCACGAGCAGACCGGCTTGGGAGGCGCCGCAGCCGCACCCGCCTGGCGGAGCAGGAGCCGCAGCCTCAACCTGCCGCCCGCCCCGCCCCTCGGCGGCCCACCTGTGACAGGTGTGCAGGTGCCCCACACGCCCCCGGCCGCTCCTCGCCCCCGGCCCCCCGCGGCTCCGGGCCCGAGCTCCCCAGCCTGCCGCCCCTCCGGGAGTCCCCCGCCCCTCCGCAGGCCCCGGAGCGCCCCCCGCCCGCCCCTGGGCGGCCGCGCCCGCACTCACATAGCGCCTCAACTTCTTCTCGGGAGGCGATTTCCTCAGCCAGCCGGTGCACACCACGTCGCCGCCGCCGCTCATGCTGCCGGCCTGGAGCCCCCCGCCGGGTCGCGCGGACGAGGGCGCGGGCTCGGGCAGCTGGGGCAGCGGCCGGCGGTGCGCAGCTCGCGGGAGGCCAGGGGCGGGGCGGGCGGCCCGGCGGGGACTAGGCGGCGCGGCGCGGCGCGAGCCCGGCAGCCTCGCGCGCGCCCGCTCCCCCGCCCCGAGCGCGCGCAATCCGCACTCTCCGCCCGGCCGCCGGGGGAGCAGCTGCAGCAGGAAGGCCGGCTCGCTCGCCACGCCCGCTCCCGCCGCGCCCCCGAGGCCGCCGCGCACGCGGACGCGGGGCTAGGGACCCGCGAGGATACAGAAAGCCACCGCCGCCGGCGCGCCCCGGAGTCTCGCTTTCTCCTGAGGCCCCAAGCCGCGGGCGCGGAGGCCAGGGAGGCGACCGCGCCCCTGGCGCTGGCGGGTGTGAGGGGAAGGGACTGCGCGCCCTCGGTCGTCGATCGATTTTTCACCGAGCGTCGACGGGGAAGGGATACTAGGGCTGCTCACATTTCCGATACATTCTGCGGGTCAGGTTCCGGCTGAAAGGAGGGACCCCTTCCCAGCAAGAAGCTCCTTAACTCTGGCGTCCCTCGGCGGGAGGAGGAGACGGACCTACTACGCGCCGGAGCCTTTGCTTTTGTAGCTTACAGGATTGTCTTCAGTATTGTTCCTATTTTATGGACAGCCTAAGGGCAAGGGCTTGTACAAAGCCGAGCCAATTTTCCAATTCAGGTGTGTGGGGGAGGAGGGGTCCCGGTCATCTGCTATTCAAAATGAGGGCATTGCCTTAATGGGATCGACCTGGGAGCCTCTCATTGCCTGGAAACCAAGTCCAGCTGACTCCCTCCTACACTGCCTCTGGGAAAACACAGTTTAGTATAGAAAATTCGCATGATTTGTAGAATGGAAGAAGCAAAACTAGTCAATGTATTTCATAACGAATTGGAAGGCAAGGTCAAGTGCAGAAGAACAAGAAATTGGGGTCCAAATTCCCCAACGTTCCCGCTCATTGACACAGGCTATGAGACCTCTGTTTGTAAATATAATGGTATCCCAGATGTACGTGGAAGCACACAACCCCAGCACTTCAGCGGGAGGGGGGAGAAAAAAATCTTTTGTACGAGCTCTTTTCTCATCACAAAGTGTCTCTCTAAGCAGCATTAAAAGGCAGGTCCTCCCTAACTTCTCTGATAAGTGGATAGTAACCTGTTTATTCAATGGGGAACCGTGCTGTGTGGACAGATGAATTGGAGAAGCAGCATCTTGCAGTGCCCCACACAACCTCAGACTAAAGCTGTTTTGTTTATTTCTGTCTCTGTGCAGCTGAGTTGTTTCAAGCAGTTGGACATCATTTGGTCCAAAAGATCTTGATTGGGTTGGGGGAAGTTCACCCTCCTCAATTTGGAAAAGCGAATCCCCTACCACGTACTTAGCTCTTCTAGATACCCTGGGAGTTTTAGCGGTCAGTCCCCTGGATCTAACATTTCACTGACTTTCTTCAATATCCAGTGTGCTGCTGGATGGGAAGTAAAGCCAGAACTGGTAGGCTGGGACCACAGCTCCCTTAACCTTACAATTTAGGGATCCTTAAGTCACGTATGAAGGGCCACCACCAGAATGATGGCCATTTTAACTTCTGGCTTTAAGTACCTTAAATCCCTGTAAGACAAACAACACTTAACGTCTGCCAAATCAATCAGGAGGCGGTGACTTCCAACCAAAATAAAACTATCCTGACTTCATTCACATCTGAGTCATGGTGCCAAGTCCCAGAGATTGCAGAGTCGGAGAAATCTGCATGGTTTGGCTGCAGCTGAGGTTTGTGATGCAAGTCAGGCATACGTATGCCCTATCTTCCCCCAGAAGAGTAGTCTTACGTATCCTTTGATAGTTACATGATTCAATACACAGACTGGAAGACTGTTTAGCAAGAGTTAGTGGGGGTTAGGTCATATTCTGCCAGAAATTCCTTAAAGTCTTATTTTGTTTGCTTAGGAAAAGATGGTGTTATTTACAATTTCATGTGGAAATGGAAAAGTTTGATGTTTCTTGTTTGGCCAATGGCAGGAGGGACCTTGAAATATGAATACAACAGTCACCAGGTATCGACTTTGGGAAGGGTTCTCTGAACACCCCCATCTTTCCCCAAAGGTTAAAGAAAGGAGCTTTTTTTTTTTTTTTTAGACGGAGTCTCGCTCTGTTGCCCAGGCTAGAGTGCAGTGGCGTGATCTCCGCTCACTGCCAGCTCCGCCTCCCAGGTTCACGCCATTCTCCTGCCTCAGCCTCCCTAGTAGCTGGTACTACAGGCGCCCGTCACCACGCCCAGCTAATGTTTTGTATTTTTTTTTAGTAGAGACGGGGTTTCACCATGTTAGCCAGGATGGTCTCGATCTCCTGACCTCGTAATCCGCCTGCCTCGGCTTCCCAAAGTGCTGGGATTACAGGCGTGAGCCCGGCCGAAAGGGGCTTTTTTACTGTGCTCTTCAGCTGGACTCCCACCCTGCGTCCCTCTTGCTGCTAGTGCCCATCTCGGGCTGTGCATAGGAAGCAAGACTGCTGCTCAAGTCCCTGGCTGCACCCTGGAGTGGCTCAGTCTTTTGAGCCTGAGAGGCGTGCCAGGCCTGGAAACAACCCTTGGACGGAAAGTTCCTGTCTGGGCTTTTACTAAGTCCTCTCCACTCCCTGCTGTGTGTGTCTGTTTAAATGGTCCCCGGTTTTTGCTGGGAAAAAAATGGAAAACAAATCATTTGAATGATTTACATGAAGATAGGCGCCATCTATCGGAACCAGTTGGGGTGACAATCCCCCCACCCCCAAGCCCTGAGCGGACATGCATCACTAGCCCATAATTTAGGCAATTTTGTTTAAAGACCACTGGTATTTCCTGGGGGAATTAATCGCCGGCTCCAAGAGTGCTTTGGGTCATTAATCTTATATTCTTATTAAATTCTCAGGAAATGACTATCTTATGAGGAGGGAGCACTGCAGAGATTAGAGAAATGCACACTGGGAGAGCATGGGTACCACTTTGGCCCCCGCTCATAGCTACTCCCACTCCCCACAAAGCCTGGGGTTCTAAAGGGTGCACTGTGGCTTTGAGTGTCGTCAGGGACATCCGTCGCTGCATCCGTGCCTGTCTGGGAGTTGAGGGTTTGTGGCCAGCGGCAGGTGCATGGCTGGTGGAATGCTTTCAGAAACGGGTTGAAGGGCTGGAAGGAGAGCTGTCCTCAACTGCACACCAAGCTTGTGTGATTAATACCACCCACGCCAGGCCTGACGTCAGTGATTGGACTGGGGGTGGGGATGGATGTTTGTGTGCTAGCCCTTCTGCTTTTTCTCCCCTTCAATTTAGTTGACAGGTTAATTTCAGAACTGAGTGCTGCTTACGAAGGTCAGTGTGACCAGCTGAACCACCTCAGCTGGTGTCTTTCAGGACACTCATCTCTCAGGCATATAAAGGTGTATGCTTCTTTAACCCCTAGTTACTTGAGGCCCACATGGTTCCCTATATCAAATTACCTTAACTTACTCAAGTCAACTCTGGGCATCTGGTTGAGGATGAGATCTGGAAGTGGGAATGGGGTGGGGTTAAAGACCTAATTGGGTTTCCTCCCTGTCTGTGGCTAATAGTCTGAGAGTTACTTGACACTATACCCAGTGGGAGACATTTTGAAAATAAACTTTTGGCCGGGTGCGGTGCCTCATGCCTGCAATGCCAACACTTTGGGACACTGAGGCGGGTGAATCACTTGAGGTCAGGAGTTTGAGACCAGCCTGGCCAACATGGTGAAACCCCAACTCTACTAAAAATACAAAAATTAGCTGGGTGTGGTGGCGGGCACCTGTAATCCCAGCTACTTGGGAGGCTGAGGCAGGAGAATTGCTGGAACCTGGGAGGTGGAGGTTGCAATGAGCTGAGATCGCACCATTGCACTCTAGCCTGGGCGACAAGAGTGAGACTCTGTCTCAAAAAACAAACAAACAAACAAAAAAAAACTTTCTTAGAGAAAAGCTTGAGCAATCCCATTTTCCCAATTTCTCCTTTGAAAATAACCAGAATCAGTGCTAATGGCTCTGTGGCAGTTAGGCTCCCACGACTTTGCTGCTGACACTGGTAAATCAGTTGTCATAATCCACCAAGAACAAAGACTGTCAAGATCCTTGAGAAAGTGCTGTAGTCTTCCAAACCACACTCTGCAATGCTGGCTCCTTTTATTTGCTCTGCAGAGAGAACTCCTACCTTGAATTAGATCTTGAACATACGTCAAGACCTCTTTCCCTAAAACTGACTGTCCCCATTCTCCAGCAAAGTTGTTCACTCTTTTCTTGGTATCCACACTGCACTTATATAAATTGGATTATCACACTGTACAGCAAATATTTCCTTGTCGAGGAATTGTGAGTTCCTTGAAGACATGAATGTGTTTTTCTCACTTATTATTTTTTTAGAGACAATGTCTTGCTATGTTGCCCAGAGTGGTCTCAAACTCCTGGGCTCAAGTGATCTTCCTGCCTTGGTGTCCCAAAGTTCTGGGATTACAGGCATGAGCTACCACATCTGGCCCTTCCTCATTTTTGTATTCCCAGAGCTTCCCAGCATGGTACCAGCACAGAATAGATGCTCATTAAATGTTCATTGTGAGAATGAAGGAACCAACCCTTAAAGGATGACAGGTTGGGGCTGTAGACTACTGGAACATCTAGAACTCTCTGATCCATACAAACCAGAGAATAGTATTTGTGAAGGTACCTATAAGTGGCTGGAGTGGTTTTTTTTAATAAAAATTGTCAGATAACATCGATGTGTTTATTATGTACAATATGATGTTTTGAAATATAAATACAAATACATAAAATACACTGTGGGATGGTTAAATCTAGCTAACTAACAAATGCATTAACTAATATAGTTATCATTTTTGTGGTAAGAACACTTAACATCCACTTTCTTTACATTGCGTTTAAACCCACAGGGACGGCCTAGCTGGAAGGACTTAGCAGGCTGAGGTAATCCTGTGCAGTTCCACTTTTAAAAATGGTTGTAACTCGACATAGAAAGGAACGAGATCATGTCCTTTGCAGGGACATGGATGGAGCTGGAAGGCGTTATCCTCATCAAACTAACACAGGAACAGAAAACCAAACACCGCATGTTCTCACTTATAAGTGGGAGCTGAACAACGAGAACACAGGACACAGGGAGGGAAACACACACTGGGACCTGTGAGTGGGTAGGGGGTTGGGGGAGGGAGAGCATTAGGAAAAATAGCTAATGCTTGCTGAGCTTAATACCTTGGTCATGGGTTGATAGGTGCAGCACACCACCATAGCACACATTTACCTATGTAACAAACCTGCACATCCTGCACATGTACCCTGGAACTTAAATTAAAAAAAAAAGAAAAATTCCAGAAACATGTGAGAAAATAAGATTCCCCCGAAATCTTAAAAACAAAAACAAAAACAAAAAAACATGGCTGTAACTCTTGGATAGTTTCAGAAAACAATGACTCCTTTTAACCTTTTAACTGGTACCCCCAGATTCCAGAGAACCAACTTTGTCAACCCTTGGTTTCCAAACTCTGACACTGTTGTACACTCTTTACACACCCTCCTTTGTGGGACTACAGAATTAAATCTCTTTGCGGTTACTCTGTTATCTGGCTTCACTGTGACAATCCTACAGGGGTTTAGCACTTAACCCCTTGTACCAGATGCAACACTAGTGAAGCTGGAGAAAACCATGTCCCCTGAACTCAAAGTGGCTTTATTCAACAGATGACCAGAAACGTCATTTCCTTCTGCACCTGATAAATTGCATAGTAACTGTGCAGGCTTGCTAGTCTTTGTTTTGCTGGGAACCTAGAGGCCTCAGGATTTCACCTCATCTAACTATATAATTCTACCAGAATTACCCAAGATGATTGTCCGACAATATAGCCAATGATGTGCTGGCAAATATTTTAAAATTGGCTCCCTGGTGGTGTTGGTGGGTGCCTTGATTTACAGTATATGCCAACTGTTGTGGCATAAATACTCTGCCAGCCATGGCCAGTTTTAAGCTATCAAGTTAATGTCCTTGAATACAGAGTTAAGAGATACACAGTAATACACCATTATTTAGTATTTCCAACATAAAGACACAATAGACATAAATAACACCAAGAACACAATAGTAAAATGTAATTAGCCAAGTGATGAGTTTGGGGTAGTTACTACCTTTCTTTTTAATATAACTTATTTAATTATAAGTTTATATAACTTAATTTTTAATTAAGATATTCACGTATCACAAAAGTCACCATGTTAAAGTTTATAATTCATGGTTTCTAATATATTCATCAACTTTGACAACCACCACAGCTATCTAATTCCAGAACATTTTCATTACCCCAAAAGAAACACCATATCCATTAGCAACTCTCCATTCCCCCAATCCCATCAGCTGGCAACCGCTAACCTACTTTTCATCTCTATGGATTTGCCAATTCTAGACATTTCACATAACCATATTCATACAATATGTGACCTGTGTGTCTAACCTCTTTCGCTTTGTATAATGTTTTCAAGTTTCATCCATGTTGAAGCACTTGACAGTTCTTTATATACCGCATTTTATCCATTCATCAGCTGATGAACATTACAGTTGTTTCCACTTTTTGGCTATTATGAATAATGCTGTTGCGATCATTCCTGTACAAGTTTTTGTGTGGACATACGTTTTCAATCTACGTATTTATCTAGGAGTGAAAATGCTGAGTCATATGGTGACACTGTTTAACTTTTTAAGGAACTGCTGACCTTTTTTCCACAGTGGCTACACCATTTTACATTCCCATCAGCAATGTATGAGGGTTCCAATCTGTCCACATCTTTTCCAATGCTTATTTCCCTTTTTTTATTACAACTTAATTTTAACGATGTTCTACTTTAACAACCATCTTGCAAAATTCTTCACAATTGAACAGTCTACTCTCCTGGGTTGATACCACTGCACACAGCCACCAAAGAAAATCTCACCACCATCTCACTAGTCAGTTCCACTTCTTTTTGCTGGCAAGAGCAATACTCAACAGATTTGAATTTCCTTCCTCTTACATCCTTCCTATAGAAAACTGAAACAAAAGATCTCAGGTTCCCTTCTCTTTGGTAATTGAGATGACTTTTGACTGCTGGAGAATCACAAGGTTTTCAGCTCCCACCAGGCACCCCAGCAGAACAGGGTTTGTTTCCCTCCTACATTTGTGTTGAGAAACAAAACTAAACCCAAAATGTATCTTAGTGACACCCAGATGTATCTTCCGGAGGAGCTCTCAAGCAGTTGCTTCAACAGGGCAAACAGCTGTGGTCTGTTTCAACATAATTTGATGTAATCAGGGTTAATTCTGATGATGTAGTAACTCTGAAGACTGTTTTTTAACTGGATTATTGTTGGGTCAACAATCATGTGGCATTACATTTAGTGGCTGAAACAAAAGCCAGAATTAAAACAGCTTCCCCTCAGCCCCCACCCACCCCTTCTAAATGACAGCCTCACCGGGAATGTAAGTTATGAGGCACATTTAACACAATTAACCAAAAAAGGAAAGTAGGTGCAGTCAAATTACCTGCAAGCATCTCCAAGGTCCAGTGTCAATCTAGAGTAAGAGCTGGAAACTTTGTTGTTTTTTCTTTTCCTAGAATGGTTAGAAAATATGTTGGCAGCAATCAGTATAATTTAATATTTTCATAACATTCTAGGAAAAAGCCCCGAGATTTTCCTCTGAAACTTTCCTGAACCAGACAAATGATTTTAGCAGTTCACAGTTCCTCTGTATTTTCCATGCATGTTTTCAAAATGATTATTGTAAGTGAACACTAAATTCACGGTGTGGCATACCAGGGCTGAAAGAGTGTGGTATACAAAGCTCTGAACACATCTGGCACTGTTTCTGAAGAGCAAGGTCTTTATCTTATTTTCATAGATTTGGCCATCATTGTTTATGGTCAGTCCACTTGCAGGGTCTGGGCTGCTCTACATGCACACATACTTATTTAGTCTCTTCCAGTTTTTAGTTTTGGCTAGCCTGAAACACAGCTAACGCCCATGACAAGGGCCATTCTTAATACAGTTCTGGAAAGCAGAATCTTCAAAAATAGATGGTTTGGGAAGCTGCCAAATGTGTTGGTTCTTCAAAATCTTTTAAATCCAATTGTGTGGTTCCAAAAAAGGTCTGACGTGTCCAATCCCCTCTGTAAATAAGCCTCCATTTATTTGCTTTCTGTTTTTGTGACTTAGATTATTAAAAAATTTGAAAAGCAAAGAAGCCACTTACCCTCCTACTGCATCTTATTTTATCAGGAATTTCCCATCTAAGTAATTCCTGATTGACATATATTCTGGGATATGTAGATGTGATTATAAGGTAATGAGACTTAAAAAGTAATGAGAATTCCTTCTGTAAGTCACACAGTATATTAATTTGACTTCTTTTAGTTGTGAAAGCAGATACTCATTTCAAACTCACTCACGATCCAATGGAGATGGTAAGTGAGTTATCTCCCGTGGAACCCATGGAAAAGTTGAATAATCTGGCCTCAGAAAGAGTAGCAACCAGGGAATAAACATGGCAAAAACCAGGCATCCATTTTGCATGTCTCCCTCACCTCCGAACATTTTGCCTTCGTTTCTTTCTCTGAAGACTGCTTTCTCTGTCTCTCTGGGTACATGGTTATACCCACTGGCTCCTAAGTTTATGTGTTCCTGGCTCAAGCAACCAGTCCAGACTCTCCAGTGTCCTCAACCCCAATTTCCCAAGAGAAGGTGAAACTGGTCTATTTGGGATCAGGTGTCCATCCCTACACCAATCAGCAAAGGAAGCTCTGGCCCCCAGGATGTCTGCTAGGGACCCACTGGCCAGGACAGGGGTAGGGGAATTGTCAGAAAAAGGACAGGTTTGATAACTAAGTAAGACACCTTGGAAGGTGTTTAATAGAGACACAAAAACCAATCTTGTTTCTTTCCCCTAGTATCCCTTTAAATTAGGAATATACTTAGAAAACCATATGTTTCTTTCTATTCAAATACAAAATATATTTCTATTCAAACACATGTTACTAGGGAATGGTTATTTATGTACAAGTTAGTCAAGTCTCAGCAGGGATTTTCTGAGAACCTACTACTTCAAGTTCAGCATAGGAATACCAAGATAAGACTAGGTTCTTCAGAATTTCAGGGTCTTTCTGGGGAGAGAAATAGGCAGGTATCTCCAGTAGTATTTGGGCAATGTTATAAGAGGTATGTTCAAAGGACTGTGGGAGCACTGAGAATTATGAACCAACTGTATGGGGACTGAAACTACATGAGGTTAGGTTTAATTTTGGGTAGCCCACAGATAGGCACAGAATAGACATAAGTTAACATTTGTTAAATTCGATGACATAAATAGTAGCTACCTTCAATTTGGAGGCAGTAAAATTGTCTAGATTAAGGGAGCAAGTTGGGGAAAACCACTAACTGAAAATCTGAGCAATTAAATTCATTTGGGACTAGCTTCTGAATTTCTTCTCAATTTAATACAATCATTCAACAATACTTACTGAGCATTTACTATGCACAGGCACAGGGCTAGGTGCTGGCGATGTGATGAACAGCATAGAGATGTTCTTCCGAATAAGTCTAAGTCACTGTATTCCAGAAGCAATGCCAGGAGGATGCCCTAGAAGTCACCTTCAGTAACAGACAGATAACTAAACTCATTACTACTTTTGATTCCTGCCTTTTGGTCCTGTGTTCAGGAAACAGCTCCAGGCAGATTTGTGCTGAAAGGGATAGTTTAAAATTTTATGAGATATTTCAGACACATAAGGAGGGAAAAGCTAGTTTTGGGAAATTTTTTTTTTAAGAAATATTTCCCTGTTGTCTGATGGACGTATTTCCCCCACCCTGTTTTTGGTCACCTTAATGATTCAATTGGTGGTTTCTAAATGAGTGCCCACTATGTGTCAGACACTCTCCAAGGCACTGCAGATATAAAAATGAATGCATTCTTATCCCTGCTGTCGCGGACCTCACATTCTGGCAGAGGAGACGAATGGCAGCATAAGACAACCGGTATTTGCATAAGGCGCTGAAGGAGCATAACGAAAGGAGAAAGTCTGGAAGCCATTGTCCAACCCTTGGTTTCCTGAAGTAAAAATGATTTCAACACTAACACGTGAAAATGCGGAAATCCTAGCTGCATTTTGGAGTGTCACCACTCTTGAAATAAAGCCTCATAGGTTCAGAAAATGTGATCAGAGCTGTTAATATTTTGATTCTGGGTGACTAAGAAGTGACAGGTGTGTAGCCTGAGAAAGCCACCCAAGCCCATTTACAGGCATGTGGAGACAAGCAATGTTGAGTCAGGGTGCAGGGTACACCCCAGCTCTATCGGCAGGACAGGTACCTGAGCAGGGGACTTTTAAAATCTTCTGTTGAGAGCTACTAACCCATCAGAAGAAAATCAGTCAAGAACTAAATGACAGTGAAACTTGACACAAAAATTTCCATATCGGATTTTTAAAAAAATGATTGTTGATCTCAACAAACAGCCCACTCCTACTTTTTGAGAAGCATTAACCAGCACAAGTTTGTACTTAGTAAACTAGATGTAAGTTGTTTTCAATACAATTGACATATCTGGCTGGGGGGTGGGGTGGAGAAAGGAAGGGGAAGCACCTGGATGTTGATACAGTACTAGGC
The DNA here is from genome assembly GCF_000001405.40 of Homo sapiens. NCBI lineage: Eukaryota > Metazoa > Chordata > Mammalia > Primates > Hominidae > Homo > Homo sapiens. The sequence goes on from NC_000011.10 coordinate 78,428,453, forward strand.
ATAGAAGGAACCAGAGTGGGAGATTAACACTTGCATAGAAAGAAGAAAACATTAGGAGAAGTGGTGGGGAGAAATGGAGTGAGGAAAAGAGATAAAAGTTGAGAGGTGTGGTAGTTTCTACACTGCAAGGGTTCCAAGGGGTATCACTGCAGGCTGGCCTTCCCATCCTTGATAGAGACACATAAAAACCAGCTCAAGCATGCAGAGAAAACAGGTAACTTCTTCAATGAGCAGATTTGTATAATTATTACTTACCGTTTAGTGTAAAAATATTAAAATCTCACTGCAGGTTTCTCAGTACAGAATTAAAATACTTACACTAGAATTACTCAGGGTGACTGTTTAAAACAATGTAAATTGTGAGCTAGTTCCATCACAGACCTACTGAATCAGATCTTCTGGTGGGAGTAAGATAATGTGAATTTTTAATACGCTCCGCAGTGATTCACATACACAGTAAACTTTGACAAGACTGTACAGAATGGGAGTCTCTGAGAGCAGGGAGTATGTCCTATTTGTCTCAGCACTCATAGAATCTAGCACGGGGATTGGGAGAGTGAGAGCTCAATAAAAGTTTATTGAACTAAACTGAATACACCTAATATACCTAAGAGTCTTTAAAGCAAAAGTCACTCAATTCCACTACCCTGTAATCCATTTTTTCCATATTCTAGTCTATGTACACAGGTTTTACACTGTTGTAATTGCAAACTCACCATTTTAGATTGTATTTTTCAATATATTTTCTCTTACAATTTTTAATGGCTGTAAAACATTCCACCCAACATGAATAAGTATCTCTGTTCATATAGATTTTGAGTTTTGAAAAGGTTTTCCTTAGGGGACCTTACATTTGTGCAGTGCTTGTCAGTTTATGAAACCCTTTCACACAATCTTCATTGCTTTCACAACACTCTGTAAGATAAGCATTATCCTCATTTTGCAGCTGGGTATACAGACTCAAAGATTAATTAACTTGCTCAAGCTTCTACACCTAGTAAGTGGAATGTCAGATTAAACCAGGATCTTCTCACTATGCATTTAATGCCCTTTCCAAGGCACCAAATAATTGGACCCAACAGTTTCCTGATGCAAAAACCTGTAATTTAAAATGTGGCAGATGGAAATTACATTTAAAGAGAACATTGGTCAGCTATATCCTAACTATATAGGAATCAGCTCCTGCCTCTTGGGGTATGGCAAAGAAAATGCATATATTAGTTGACAACTTCTGTGTAAGAACTTACTGTTCTTCAGCAATGCCTCATAACGCTGTCTGTATACGATCCAAGCCCATTTCTGCAATCCTCACATGAAGGGAGTTGGGACTGTCCCTGAACACTCTGACACTGTAATTAAAGTTCTTCGGCAACCACCACAGGCTGTAAGGCAGATAGGAAGGAGGCAGTGGAGACTTGAAAGCTCTTCTAAGATTGGTATCACAGGAAACTTGGGTAGCAGCTGAGTGAACAGGAGAGGGAAGCTTTTATGTACCAATAGAAATGCCCATTATAAGGACACACGACCTGATGAATAACAGAGGGGTGCAGCACTTCAGGGAAGGACAGACAGTCCACCTGAGCAGTTAGAGGTTCTATACTGGAAAACAGGAGGAGTTGTGTTTCTATTTTATTCCATTTGCATGATACAGAGAGACAGGTTTCCTTATTCTCAGGTAGAAGTTTCTAACAACCAGAGCTCTCTGAGGAGAGAAAAACTTCTTGGCTGGGTGTGGTGGCTCAAACTTGTAATCCCAGCACTTTGGGAGGCTGAGGGAAGCGGACTACTTGAGCCCATGAGTTTAAGACCAGCCTGGGCAACAAAGTGAGACCCTGTCTCTATAAAAAATTAGCTAGATGTGGTGGCACATACCTGTGATCCCAGCTACATGGGAGGCTGAGGATTGCTTGGGCCCAGGAGGTCGAGGCTGCATTGAGCCATGTACACATCACTGCACTTAAGCCTGAGCGACAAAGCAAGACCGTTTCCAAAAAATAAGGCTAGGCACAGTGGCTCATGCCTGTAATCCCTGCCCTTTCAGAGGCCAAAGTGGGAGGACTGCTTGAGCCCAGGAGTTCAAGACCAGCCTGGGCAACATGGCAAAACCCTGTCTCTACAAAAAATACAAAAATTAGCTGGGTGTGGTGGCTTGTGCCTGTGGTCCCAGCTACGTGGGAGGCTGAGGCAGAAGGATCACTTGAGCCTGGGAGGCTGAGGCTGCAGTGAGCTGTGATCACGTCACTGCACTCTAGCCTGAGTGAGAGAGTAAGACCCTGTCTCTAAATAAATAAATAAATAAATAAATAAATAAAAGATCTCTATTAAGATAGTGAGTTCCTATTCAGTGAAGCTACAATAGGTAAATTACTAGGAATCAGGAGAAATACAGAGGGGAGTAGTTCATATATCATAAACGGGAAGAATTATCTTCTTTCCAAGATTTTTCAAAACTAGGTTCCTAGGAAAATGGCAAACCAGCAATTCTTATTGAGCTAGTGTGTAGAGAAAGTTATGAATCAAAGAATCACAGTTGTAGATGGCTCAGGTTCGGCAAAATACAGTTCCAGCTGTGTACATGGGCACCTGTTGCAGAAAAAAAACCTTTGTTACACAGGCTCACCATGTATCTATTTTCAGATTATTACCTTGAAAAATCAAAGGTCTGTGACTTCGAGGAAGATATTAATAATTCCTATCAAAGTTTCTTTCATGTATCTTTCTATCCACAATTCAAAGATGATCCTAAAAGGAAGGTGGCAAATGTGAGTATAAACTGATAACAAATTGAGGCACAATGAGCTTAAGTACATTGCTGGGTCTAGGATCCTTTACCCCATTTTTAGTGTTTCTCTTTACTCCAATGTATTTGAGATCAAACATCATCTTCCTTCACATTCTCCTGTCCCTTCACCCTGGGTAGAACAAGGTCAAGGTGAGTATTTTGCGACACATTCAGTAAACTCTGGGGCTTAAGATGCAAGATTCTTTGGTTATTAGGTTTTATGTTTTTTGGTTTCTCTGGAAGCTGAGGGCAGTGAATTTTATTTGCAGTCTTTCTCTCAGTATTAGGAACTTTCGATTTTTTTTTTTTTTTTTTTTGAGACAGAGTCTCGCTCTTTTGCCTAGGCTGGAGTGCAGTGGTGTGATCTCGGCTGACTGCAAGTTCCGCCTCCCGGGTTCATGCCATTCTCCTGCCTCAGCCTCCTGAGTAAGCTGGGACTACAGGCGCCTGCCACCACACCCGGCTAATTTTTTTTTTTTTTTTTTTTTTTTTTTTTTTGTAGAGACAGGGTTTCACCGTGTTAGCCAGGATGGTCTCAATCTCCTGACCTTGTGATCTGCCGGCCTTGGCCTCCCAAAAGGAACTTTGAATTTTTATAACAAATAAACCAAATAAATTTCATGACCAGTAAGATACAAAGGAACAAAGTCCACAATGTATTGTCTTGATAACTAAGAAAATAAGATACATGAAACATGTTTGTGAACTGTAAAGCAATGCCTAAATAATAGTCATGTTATTAGTAACAATTATGAACAGTAAAGGTATAGCAGAAAATTTTTGAAAAGTCATGAGCTATGTTAATTCAATGACCAGCTGCCTGAATGACAGTTTAAAAACCACCTAAACTCCTGGTGTCTTCTTTATAAAGGTCCCCCAGAAACTATCCAGTGTGCTGATAATGGCTAGAAATTCGCTGGACTCCATTTATGGTAATGCTGGGTCCAAACTGCACAACAGCTAACTGGAGCCTTAGTTGATCACAGGCCAATCTAGGGCTCCTGGCAACAGTAGAATGTCCAAGTTCAGGGAGGGATGCTGACCATGACTTAAAATACTTTCTTACAAAAGCCATACTAAATCATTTCAATACAGTGATTAAGGTTGCTTTGGGCCCTTTTCTTTTTCTTTTTTTTTTTTTTTGAGATGGAGTCTTGCTCTGCTGCCCCCCGCTGGAGTGCAATGGCACCATCTCGGCTCACTGAAACCTCCGCCTCCCAAGTTCCAGCAATTCTCCTGCCTCAGCCTCCCAAGGAGCTGGGATTACAGGAGCCTACCACCACAGCTAGCTAATTTTTGTATTTTTAGTAGAGATGGGTTTCATCATGTTAGTCAGGCTGGTCTCGAACTCCTGACCTCAGGTGATCCGCCTGTCTTGGCCTCCCAAAGTGCTGGGGTTACAGGTATGAGCCACCGTGCCCGGCCCGCTTTCTGCCCTTTTCTTAACGCTTTTACTATCTTTTAATTCTGAAGATTAACTGGGGAGAAATTATAATCAGATGTTACTCTCACCTGTTTTTTTAATTATACATAGATTGCAGACTGAATACAAATATTGATCAGAAGCCAAAACACCCCACACATTACTTATCAATCAACCCAGGCCAATCTGTCTTTCAACTGTACATTTTTGTGTTCTTGCCTCACCACTTAGTAAAATAAACATAAGAATAAATAGCAATCCAATCCAAATAAGCATCTCTCATCTATAATTATCTGAAGCAACGGATTTAAAGATGGGTAGAGTTAATCCACCTCACCAAGTACATCTTCAATGCCTGTTCAGTCATGCTTCAATGTCTACATTCAATTTATAGAGAATATGAATATATAACATTGTAGAGGGAGGCTTCTGGCAGATCCAGTCTGACAAGAACAAAAGGTCAAATAGTTCTTTTGCTATTCTGTGACAGTTGAAGAGTCTCTGGGTTGGAGAGTTATGTCTAGATCTGGAATGGATCACTCACACAATTAAGTTCTTGTCAGACCTAAAAACATGACAGCACAACTTTCCCCAGGCAAAAGGACAGCCAGATGGAAAGCAACTATTTTTCTCAACCTATCTCAAAATTTGAAATAAGAATGAGAATAATGGAAAAAACCTTTCTAAGTTTTAGAATATACTTCTACTTTGGTTGCTGGGGTTCTTATTTTCAGGTGGCATTTGGAAATCTTAGGAAAACATAATCTGATTTCTTTCCTCATTGGAAATGGGTTGCTCAAGTGAAAAACTAACCCTCTTATCACCTTTTAACTCAGAAACTGAGCACTAAAAGCTATTATGGTGTAGACAGTACTCAACTATTGAATCCATACGTTTATTCATTATACACTGACTTATACAACACTGTTTGCAATGTAGAATTTAGATATTCATATCTCAGCTGATGAGTAAACATTTTGAGTTTTTTCCTGCTGATGCTGCCTGCAAGCAACAGTTCAGTTTTGGCATTTTCATCATCTTTGTCTGACTTGAATTTTTGTTTTTGTTCAATTATTGGCAAAATAGAAGTATTGCACCAAAGACAAATTATTAGGCTTGCTATAGGTGGCAAGTATTTGGCTTCAACCAGATATTCATTGTGTGATCAACTATCAAGGAAAAGAATGTATAAAGTTTTGGAAATACATTGGTGAAAACACTATCAAAAAGGCAAGATGCCTTGAGAAGGACCTTTCCTCCTTCCACATATACAGTATATGAACACATTTAAGACTACTGTTCAACTTTCAGCGATGTGACTTCGTTATACATTTTGGAGACTTAATATGTACTAAAATAGGGGACTACATATTGCCTAAAGGTTAGACTCTAAATCAATTATTAGTGACTAAGTTCAGCACAGGTTCACAGAAGATTAAGAGATAAAAGGATCCATAGAGCTTACCTACTTCAAAATGTGATAGTACTATAGATGAAAAAACTGGAGGTCACAAAGATTATTTTACTTGCCTAATGCTCTACAACTACATTTATGGTAATGCTGGGTCCAGAACCTGGGGTTTCTCTAACTCAGCAATCTTTCCATCACTATTATTTTGTTAACCTCTGTCATGTTAACATTACAATGCTATCAGGTCCCTCAAAAATCATGGGAGGCATAATTCCTGATAGCCTTGGAAATTATAGTGCCTCCAGGTTCTGGGTCTATAAATGTCCCTCATTCCACAAAATTAATATGGTATCTAGTAAGACCTGAATGCCAAATCAATACAGGCTGATGCTGCAAATATTTTTAAAATGTTTTCTGCATTTTATCTTCTAGGTCTATGGTTAAATGTCACTTTTTCAGACATGCCTTTTCTAGCAAGCTTATCTATGCTTTCCTGTTCTTCATATAACTTTACAGCACATACTATATTTTGAAATAAGTTATTTAATTATTATATATCTTCTCAAATATATTAATAATTCCATGAAGGCAGGGTCATTTCTGTTTGATCCACAACTGTTTATATAGCACCTACCACATAGTCTCGGCATATAAAAGAAGCTCAGATATTTGTTGAATAAACAAATGAATTTCTCTCTCTAATTATGGTTGAGGCAAGCCTTATGGAAGCCCTAATTATCCCTTTTAGCCTGTCCTAAACTTGATATCTAAGCCCAAGGGATTAAAGTTCCAGGGAAGTAGATTTTCCTGAGATTTTAGCTCAGCAAAAGCTACCAATTAGATTCAGAAATGGAATGAGCAATTTTGTAGGACACTGATTTCTTTGTCAAAAAGAGGCTGGAAAACCAAGTGCCCAGGTAAATGGAATCTCTCTGCATTAGGCAGAAGGTCAACTTTGACAAACTCTCAGGTGTCTTCCAACTCTTAAGGCTCTGGAATTTGTTTCTTTTCAGCTGTTTGATTTTGAATTAGGTTAAAATAAAGTATACATACAAATTTCATTAGGAAATAATCTAGGAGAACCCATCTAATGAGACTTAGAAAACTGATTATTCAGGCATGCATGCCCATTTACAATTACTTGATACATGCGTATTCTACTGAGAATACAATTTGCTATATAGGTCCTTATACATGTAACTCAATGAAGACAAAGACTAAAACAAGAGTTTTAAAAAAGTTTTTGTAGCATTTCAGTTTTAAACATATGCATGTGTGTGTGTGCACACGCACACGCACACACAAACACACATGTAATTATTTTATCAACTCTGAAGAAAATGATGTTGAGCTCCTACACAGTAAGCAGCCTGTCTAAAGTGCTAGAATTGTCAGGTTCTAAACTCCCCAATCAATGCTCTTCTCACTCTCATAGACCACAGTACTTTTTTTTTTTTTTTTTTTTTTTCTGAGATGGAGTCTCCCTCTGTCTCCCAGGCTGGAGGGCAGTGGCCCGTTCTTTGCTTACCGTAACCTCGGCTCCCGGGTTCAAGTGATTCTCCTGCCTCAGCCTCCCAAGTAGCTGGGATTATAGGCGCCTGCCACCACGCCTGGCTAATTTTTGTATTTTTAGTAGAGATGGGGTTTCACCATGTTGTCCAGACTGGTCTGGAACTACTGACCTCAAGTGATCCGCCCGCCTCACCCTCCCAAAGTGCTGGAATTACAGGCGTGAGCCACCATGCCCAGCTGACCACACTACTTTTAACTCTAGAATTACCCATCCTTTAGGCTCAGCCAAACTCCCATCCTCATCTTGGATTGAAAATACCTTTCTTCCAAATTTTACTGGGAAAGGACCAAATGAAATTAAAAAATATATAACTTTTTTTCCATAGGTGTCTATTAAAAAAATCTATTTTATTAGACAAATTATAAACATCAAATATAAACAAATTATAACAACAGTGATTAAAGAGTTGAAATACTTAATGTAATATCTCAACAGCTTTGAAAATTGAAAAGCAACAGTTATTAAACATGATTTTTTCATCCAGTTCAATGAAAGGAGATTTCAATTCAGAATAGCTACTTCTTTAAATCAATTAAGACCTTAAGGAATATTTTTTTCTGCAATGTTTAATGAAGTACTGAAAATGAGATAAGGATTTATCACAAAGTATATGGCAAGGGAGAAAAGATGCAACATTATTTTATTTCGAGCTACTAGATGGTTCTCACAAATTACACAGGGAGTGATTTAATGATTATAGACAACGTAAAATACATTATCTCATTCTGTTTTAGAGTTTAAAAGAAACTTTGAGACTAATTCAATTTCTTCATTTCTTAATTGAGGTAATGGATTTGAGAGTCCCCTTGCTATAAGTACCTCTTCTTGCGGGAGCTCATCCTTACGTGAAATACCCTCAACTTTCTAAGAAAATCACAACCACTTATATTTTTTCTATGATATCTTATGGCACAACAATTACATATTGAAATCTGCATTTCTAAAATCCAAACATGCATTCTGCTGTATGCACAATCATGTGCAGTGTCTCTGCCATGGGGGGTGCTTTTCCTTAACCAATCTTCCAGCTATAAAAGGCATGAATGAGGAAACCTTGGGAAAGGGATAACATCTTTGATATTGTCAACACCCAAGATGCACTGCAGGTAGCGTTCAAATCCCATCCCAAAACCTCCATGTGGCACAGATCCAAATCGACGAAGGTCCAGATACCTGTTTTTCAAAAATAGAAAATCATCATCTATATATAGTATAAGACCAGATGTTATGATTAGAATTTAATGTTTCAAACGTATTTTGCAATCATTTGTTATTGTTTACCTCACTGTGATAGACCAGTCTTTCCCCTCCACAGACAGACAATGGAAAGGAAGAAGCTGAATAATCTATCCAAGGTTACCCAGAGAAACAGCAGTGGATCCTGTCATACAGTCATGGGCTTTGGTCCCTTTTCCTTTTTAAGCTATTATATTTATGCATTTATGACAGAAAACTTGCCTCAGGAGGCTACAGAAAATTTTCTATAGATTTACTAATTTTCTTGAAAATATACGCCTCTTTTATTTCTTGGTAGGTTAATCACAATGTTTTCTTTTCCTTCCCAAAATCATATTGTTCAATACACAGAGGAGAGTGCAGAGTTTTGCCTGTTACATTATGAAAAGATATCCTATAGATTAGATTATAAGCTACAACAGGGCAGGAACTGTGCTTCATTCAACTTTTTATCACCAGGGAGCTCTAGAGTAGGTGTTAATTACATGAAGTTTTGTTTGAAGGCACAAAAATATATGCTTGAATGCTGGAGTGAGGAGAAACCTTTAATTCTCTGCCTTAGGCCTAGTGAAGATGCCCAGAGTCATTTAGCTGACATGCTAGACAGCCTCTGAAACCCATCCACGCACATTCTTTTCCCACTAAAGACCACATGGCAAGACAATGGCACAGACATGACTGAAACTCAGATTCTAACACACCAGCACTGGAAAAAGTTTTAGGAAGAAAAGAGGAAAAGGGCAACTATAAATATTTTATTATGTCATTTTGTGGGGAAATTCTTGAGTTATATAATATTGATTAAAACAAGTTTATCGGCCGGGTGTGGTGGCTCATGCCTGTAATTCCAGCACTTTGGGAGGCCGAGGTGGGCGGATCACTAGCTCAGGAGTTCAAGGCCAGCACTGCCAAAGTGGTGATACCCCGTCTCTACTAAAAATAGGAAAATTAGCCAGGCGTAGTGGCGCCCGTCTGTAATCCCAGCTACTCAGGAGGCTGAGGCAGAGGAGTCGCTTGAACCTGGGAAGTGGAGGTTGCAGTGAGCAGAGATGGAGCCACTGCACTCCAGCCTGGGTGACAGAGTGAGATTCTGTATCAAAAAAAAAAAAAAGAAAGAAAAAAAAAAAAAGACAAAAACCAAGCAAGTTTATATTTTCTTGAATGATTTGTAAAATCAGTTCTATAATAAGACGTAAGCAACATAACTTGTAGCCACTTGGTTCCTCAGTCATAAAGACTGTCCATCAACCTATTTCCCCACCATTAATAATAATGGCTACATATACTGGTATTGCAAGGAGTTAAGTCTAAGCACTTATCTTTTTAAAGGAAAAGATTAACTCCAAACAGATGAGTTGTAATCAGGTAAGAGACCAACATTACAGGGATATCTAGTATAAAACTTCAGATTAGTAATAACTATAAGAAATAATGGGAGGCACATTCAGTTATTCAGTCTTGAATAACTGAAATGTTTAGTTGCTAAATTAACTTTAAAGTTTACGAGGCAGCGGGAAAGAGTACACTTTGACTCAGTGATGAAATGAACAGCACACCAAACTACCTGTCACAGATGCCTACAGGACCTGACCTGGCTGCTACAAAGTCCAGCAATAGTTTTAGATGGGTCTAAATTTCTCATACATTGATATTGAAACACTGGCATGAATATCTGCAAACTGTCAGCAGAGGGGTTCAGTCTGTAGCATTTTTCTTGCCTTTGCTTTGATAGATGAAAAAATCCATTTCTAAGAAAAAAATTTTCTAATGTATATGTATTTGTTTGATTGTTGTTAAATTGGTTCCAGGGTAGCGAGATTATGGAAGAGATGCTACGAAATTTGTGGAACTAGTTACAGATTTAATTTGCATATGGGGTACAGAAATAGGAAGTGAGTAAATTCTTAGCCATCTGGGGTGGCTTCTCACCGTATGGTGGAACACTAGCAGACATCACAGATATGAAGATGTCTAAGGTCTCTTTTACCTTTAATATACTAATATAGAAGGAAGCAAATTCAAGGAGATCTTAAGGATCTGAAAACTTTAGTTGGGAAAAGAATGATTAATAAAGACTTTCAAGGCCTAAACTTATTTAACCAATTTTTTTTTTTTTGAGATGGAGTCTCACTCTATTGCCCAGGCTGGGGTGCAGTCTGTATTTAGCTTTTTTTTTTGAGATGGACTTTTGCTCTTGCTGCCCAGGCTGGAATGCAATGGCGTGATCTTGGCTCACTGAAACATCCATCTCCCAGGTTCAAGCGATTCTCCTGCCTCAGCCTCCGGAGTAGCTGGGAATACAGGCACCTGTCACCACGCTGGGCTAATGTTTGTTATTTTTGGTAGAGATGGGGTTTTACCATGTTGGTCAGGCTGGTCTCGAACTCCTGACCTCAAGTGATCCACCTGCCTTGGCCTCCCAAAGTGCTGGGATTACAGCCGTGAGCCACCGCACCCACGGTGGCTTTGGCTTTTTTTTAAGGCTAGTGGTTTAGCTTTTTTTAAGGCTAGTTTTTACAAACTATAAAATACATAAGCTTGCTCAATCATCAGGCTTATCTACCTAATAGCAAGACTCAGAACAAAGAAAAGAAAGGGGGTAGGAAACTAGCATTTACTAAGCTTCCACTCTATGTAGATACTTAACCTGTATTGTTTCATTTCATCCGCACAATAACTCTGTGAAGGAGATAGTATCATTCCATTTTATAGCCAAAAAAACAAGACTCGGAGAGATTAAATATGCCTAAGGTCATTACTGGTTAATATAAGGCATTCAAAGGCCATCACCTGAAGCCAATTTTAGATTTTTTTGCATCTCTGAAACCTATCTCCTTCCATACCAAAAGGCGAGGGTGTAGGTAACTTGCCCCTTCCTCTTCCTGAGCACAGCACAAGGATTAATAATATTGTTGGTATTATTATACCAAGATCCTGAAGGAGTGCTAATATAGAAATATAAATAAAAAATGTATATATATTGAAAAGTACTTGAAGAAAAAGTCTGCATAAGGAAAACCAAAACAACTTTGAGGAAGTGAATGTATAAGTACAGACACGTGGTCCTCCCTAAGCAGCTTGGATTTCTATAGTTCGTGGGGGCATTAGGGATCACTTAGCTCAAGCCCCTAATTTCACACATAAAGAAATTGCAGCATAATGCTTAAGAGCAAAGGATTTTTTTAAATTAATTAATTTATTTTTTGAGACGGAGTCTCGCTCTGTCACCAGGCTGGAGCGCAGTGGCACGATCTTGGCTCATTGTAACCTCCGCCTCCCAGGTTCAAGCAATTCTCCTGCCTCAGCCTCCCAAATAGCTAGGATTACAGGCACACGCCACCATGCCCAGCTAGTATTTGTATTTTTAGTAGAGACAGGGTTTCACCATGTTGGCCAGGCTCATCTGGAACTCCTGACCTCAAGTGATCCACCCACCCAGGCCTCCCAAAGTGCTGGGATTACAGGCGTGAGCCACCATGCCCGGCCGAGCCAAGCATTTTGATTCAGAGAGATCAAGCCCCATCTCTATCCCTCAAACTGTGTGACCTTGGCTAAGTTAGTTAACATCTCTGGGCCTCATGCCTAGGGAGTAATAAGAAGGGTCAGGATAATAGTACCTAATTCACAGGGTGGTAGGATGATTACATGACATAATATAATTTTTTTTTTTTTGAGACGAAGTCTCGCTCTTGTCCCCCAAGCTGGAGTGCAATGGCGTGATCTCAGCTCACTGCAACCTCTGCCTCCCAGGTTCAAGCGATTCTCCTGCCTCAGCCTCCCAAGTAGGTGGGATTACAGGTGCCTGCCACCATACCCGGCTAATTTTTTTATTTTTAGTAGAGATGGGGTTTCACCATGCTGGCCAGGCTGGTCTCCAACTCCTGACCTCAGGTGATCCACCTGCCTTGGCCTCCCAAAGTGCTGGGATTACAGGCGTGAGCCACTGCGCCCAGCCAATATACATAAAATTTTTAACATAATTATCTGGCACACAATAAGCAGTAAGTAAATGAGAGCTATTATTACTATTTTTCAAGAACCCAAAGGAAGTAAGTAATCTTCTGAGCCCCCAACCCCTTCCCTGACCTAAGAACAGTTAAGTTCATTGTTTTTAACACTCTTTCATGGGGTCTTGGGGATACAAGTAAAAACGCTTCTAGGCAACAGTCAGACAAGCAGCTAGAGTAAGAATTATTAGGGGCCACATTCTTACCATTGGTAGACTTCTGTAAGTCCCGATCTGTTTAAAGGAAAATAAAATTCTTTCAGGGAACGGCAATAAGATAAATATTAACCACTAGACATTTATTCTGGGTGTGTGCAAAGAACTCTTTATGAAGAAGTAGACGACAAAGCCTCTGCTCTCAAGTAATACTCAATATAGTTGAGGAGCTGAAACCATACAGTAACTTAACCAATAGCACAAGGTGTTATCAAATAAATGGTTTACACAATAAATGTTATAGAAAGAAAATATGATCCAGAGTCCAAAGGAAGGGATTCACCTGAGATGAGTTTATTATCCTGTGACATAAGAAAAGCACTATTATTAGGCAGGGTGCAGCGGCTCCTGCCTGTAATCCCAGCACTTTGGGAGGCCAAGGTGGGTGGATCACTTGAGATCAGGATTCCAGACAAGCCTGGCCAACATGGTGAAACCCCATCTCTACTAAAAATACAAAAATTAGCTGGGTGTGGTGGTGTGTGCCTGTAGTCCCAGCTACTCGGGAAGCTGAGGTAGAAGGATTGCTTGAACCTAGGAGGCAGAAGTTGCAGTGAACCAAGATCATGCCACTGCACGCCAGTCTGGACAACAGAGTGAGACTCCATCTCAAAAAAAAAAAAAGAAAAGAAAAGCACTATTATTACTAGTTAAGGTTGTTGGGAGGCACACACAGACAAGGGACACAGAGATATAACTTTCATTCTTCAACATTAAAACAATAATATAGATTCTGAGGCTGCCTTCATAATATGGTTGCACATTGATTCTTGTTTGAGAACTATTAATAAAATTTTAAATTCTTAGTGGTAATTGAAATTCAACTCAGCCCTTTAAAAAATGTGTTTTGGACCACAGTGCATCTAATGTGACCAGGAATATGAAAAATTCAAATATACAAAAATACAGAAAACATGAAGAGCAGCCATAGACAGATCCCTGAAATAGGGAATCATATATATCCACTTCATTACGAAAGACAGATGTGGCTATTATCAGGTATTAGGTAAACATTTAATGTTACGAGGAAAGGTTTCCTGGAGGAAGGAAGCAAGCAAAGAAAACAGACCAATTAATCTTTCAACAGATGAGGTTTCTTGCCATGTGTGATTTTTATTGTGCTTTTTAAAAAACATAGAGAATACTCAGATTTTTTCAACTAGAGTCTGACCTTCAATTCCACAACTTTCTCAGGACTTTTTTAATGCTGTAATAGTAGTAAGGAGTTAGTCGTCTAACGAATACAGTCTTCCTCAAACCTATTTATCCATCCCCTTTCTTTTGGATCCTAACCCAGTAGAGCAGTTCAGATGAGTGGGATAACAAAACTAAGTTACCCAGGAGATTTACATATAGGTTGAGACCTTGAAAAAGCATCAACTTTTAAAGCATTTCCCCATTAGGAAAAGAAGGCCTCACAAATGGCTAACAGAATATTTTTAAACAATTATGGCTTTTCCAGATTACTATGAAACCCAGTACTATCTGGAGAGAATGAAGCATACAGACATGGTAAAGTCTTTCTTTTTTTTTTTTTAAGTCTGGCAGTACTTTTACTAAAGTAGGAATCATGGAAAACAGGTATGGTTAGTTTAGGAAGTCATTATGGCATATAAATGTATATGTAGGAGTGGCGGTTCAATTGAAACATGATTCCTTACTTCCCATCTCCAAAACATTCTCTATGTGTTTACAGATTTGTTTCCCAGTTCTCAAACAGCAAGTTAGAATAAAGTTATTCAAATAGCTAAATCAAGACCCTTACATAGAAGAGAATCTGAGGAAGTGAAATGTGCTTATTCTAAATGCTATCTGACTAGTTTTCTTTCCCCAACTTCATCCTTTCCCTGGCTCAGAGTTTGTCTTTATGTCCTTATAGAAGTCTGCCAATCATAATTGAGAGTAAATAAAGAACACAGATAAGATAAAAATGTAGGACAAGCTGGCCAGGTGCGGTGGCTCATGCCTGTAATCCCAGCACTCTGGGAGGCTGAGGCGGGCAGATCACGAGGTCAGGAGATCAAGACCATCCCGGCTAACACGGTGAAACTCTGTCTCTACTAAAAAATACAAAAAATTAGCCGGGCGTGGTGGCGGGCGCCTGTAGTCCCAGCTACTTGGGAGGCTGAGGCAGGAGAATGGCGTGAACCCCGGGAGGCAGAGCTTGCAGTGAGCCAAGATCGCGCCACTGCACTCCAGCCTGGGCAACACAGCAAGACTCCGTCTCAAAAAAAAAAAAAAAAATTAAAAAAAAATGTAGGACAAGCTTTAAGGGGGAACTCTCTCTTCACATTTTAACTTTTTAAAAAGCTACTTTCCATAGGGAAAGGTTTGTAAAAATGGGCAAATATCACTGTGGGTTTTTCATGTAAGAGTTCCATTCCTGAAGAACGGGAAGCTCAGAGATAAACTAACAACTTGCTCAAGGACATAGAGAATCTGAGATCCAGTTCTGTCAGGCGCCGAGGCCCAGGGTCTTCACTCTGTTACTATGCAATGACCACCTTTGAGCGCCTTATGCTCAATTTCTCAATTGTGTTTCTTTTAGGTCTGACCAGTACCTGGCTAAGCGCTCCTCTAAGAAATGGTATCGTTCTTCTCTGAGGCCTCCTCCAAAGAGTTCCCCAACTCCAGGAACCAGAAGATCAACAGCAGCAACCTAAGGAAAAAAAAAAAATTATTAGCATTATATTTTCAGGTGATTCCAACAGTCAGTTTCTGAAGCAAGTAAACCTTTAACATTTTGGCAATGGCTAATTAACTACCTACCAGAATCTTACTGACTACATACAAATTATAAGTGGACAATTTCCTCTCTCTTGCACCATTTGTGTAGTATACTGAACACAAATGTATTTTCTTCATAAATGTGATAGAAATGTTAATTATAAAAATGTGGATAGTGTTAAAAATTATGAAACATTAAAAATCACCTATCAGTACCAGAAAATTACATTTTTGTGGATTTCCTTTCAAATTTTTTCCCTTATACATTTATAAAGTATAATTACAGATAAAAACTTACCACTTGTCTTACCTAATATTACAAACTAATATTTTTCCTATATTAGTAAAAATACTTCACATTATGTTTTAATAGCTTTAATGTTTAATAGTTTATTGATTAGAATTATAATTATTTAACTGCTTTCCTTTTTAGTTGAACATTTAAGGTGTGTATATTTTTGTCTGTTTTTTCTTATAATGTGGCAATGAAGAGTTTAATTTGTAGTATTGTTATTAGGACATATAAAATAAATTCTGATTATTAATCAAAGAAGTATAAAATTAAAAAAACAAGATACCATTCTGGAGTTATCAAAATGGAGATGATGGCTGGGCACAGTAGCTCACACCTGTAATCCTAGCACTTTGGGAGGCTGAGGTGGGCAGACTGCCTGAGCTCAGGAGTTCAAGACCACCTTGGGGGCAACATGGTACAACCCCCGTCTCTACTAAAATACAAAAAATTAACTGGGCTTGGTGGTGCATGCCTGTAATCCCAGCTACTTGGGAGGCCGAGGCAGGAGAATTGCTTAAACCCAGGAGGTGGAGGTCACAGCGAGCCAAGATTGCACCACTGCATTCTAGCCTGGGCGACAGAGCAAGACTCTGTCTCAAACAAAACAAAAAAAAAAAAAAGGGTGATAAGAAAATAATATATCTGCAAGACTAAGTCTGAAAGAAAAAATATAGGAAAATAAAATAAAGAATACAGATTATAGAATGGATAAACCAATAAGCTCATATAACTGATACAACTTTTCTGGTCAGCAATTTGGCAACAGATAACCAAACGCCTGAAAAATGCAATATGTTTTGACTCAGCAAGCAGTTCAAGGAACCTATCCTAAGAAAATCAGAGATGCAAAAAAAGATTAACATGCAAGATGTTTATTACAGCATTACTTATGACAAAAAGTTCAAATGTACATCAACAGACTATTAGATAAGTTTTAGACATGGATAGAAAAAAGACTATCATCTACATAATGAGATGTTGTGTTGCTACTGTGATGAGATTACAAGTATTTTAAAATTGTTTTCCTCTTTTATTTGTATTTTCTTATTTTCTATACTAAACAGGTATTATAGTTTTATAATAGAAAACATCAAAAAACTCTTAGTAAGGGAAAATGATAGCTTAATATTTTAATTTGTATTTCTTCAATTACTAATTAGTATTACTAAATTAATTATATTTCTTCAATTATTAAATTAGTAATATTTAATTTTTCAGGCCGGGTGCGGTGGCTTACGCCTGTAATCCCAATACTTTGGGAGGCCGAGGTGGGCGGATCACCTGAGGTCAGGAGTTCGAGACCAGCCTGGCCAACCTAGTGAAACCCCCTCTCTGCCAAAAATACAAAAATTAGCCAAGTGCAGTGGCGCATGCCTGTAGTCCCAGCTGTTCTGGAGGCTGAGGCACGAAGAATTGCTTGAACTTATGAGGCGGAGGTTGCAGTGAGCCAAGATCATGCCACTGTACTCCAGCCTGGATGACAAAGCGAGATTTTGTCTGTCTCCCAAAAAACAATTAAAAAAATTTTTTTTAAATGTTTATTTGTGGCTGGGCACAGTGGCATGTGCTTGTAGTCTTGGCTACTTGGGAAGCTGAGGTGGGAGGACTGCTTGAGGCCAGGAATTTGAGACCAGCCTGGGCAACACAGCAAGACTCCGTCCCTACAAAATAATTTTAAAATGTTTATTTGCAGCTAGGTGTGGTGGTGCATGCCTGTGGTCCCGGCTACTTGTCAAACTGAGGCAGGAATATCACTTGAGCCCAGGAGTTCGAAGTTACAGTCAGCCATGATTATACCACCTGTACTCTAGTCTAGGCGACAGGCAAGACCTTGTCTCAAAAAAATATATATATATTTATTTGCTATCTGTATTATTTTGTGACTTTCCTGTCTTTTGGGCAGGTAGACATTTTTAAGCCCAAGAACCTGAAGGTAAAAAACTAAGATTTCATGTAACAAATGAAAAATGAGAAATCCATAAAACACATTTTAATCTTTAAATGTCACATTACATTATAAACATTTTAAAAACTTTGCCTCACTTTGCCGTTAAGCCATCCCCTTCCCAGTTTTGATTTAGAAACTTTTGATTGAGATATACTTTATGAATAATCAACAATAAAGAATAATTCAAGATTGTACCCCCAGTGCTGTATACCTTATCCTCATTACTATGATTAAAGAGAAAAACATCAGCTCTGACCCTCATCACTAGGCTGAATCAGAGTGAGCAAGAACAGCTACACAATTAATATGGCTGGGCTCTAATCAGGACCCTGCAGTTATCCCTTCTGTCCTCAGAGCAAGGAGGAAGTCTGGTATCTTTATTTCCTGGTGTCTTGCTTTTAGATATGGCTAAAATATGATAGGAGTTGAGAGACACATGGTAAAAATTTTGTTCTTTTCTTACCTTCAATCCAGAGTGTTAAATTTAGAATTATAGGCAATCAACTTTGGAAAAGAATAGTCAACCAGTGGCTCTCTGGCTTCTGCTTGAAAATATTTAAAGCCTGAGAAACAGTATCCTTGAAACAGAGCATTTCATCCTTGTTTAGCTCTAAAATTAACTCAAAATGGATTAAAGATTTAAATATAAGATCTGAAATCATAAAACTACCAGAAATAAATATAGAGAAAAAGTTCTATGACATTAGTCTGGGCAATGATTTTTTTGGAGATGACTCCAAAAGCACAGACAACCAATGCAAAACCAGACAAATGAGACAGTATCAAACTAAAAAGTTTCTGCACAGCAAAGGAAACAATTAACAAAGTGAAGAGACAACTCAAAGAATGGGAGAAAATATTTGCAAACCATACATCTTATAAGGGGTTAATACCCAAAATACATAAGGAACTCATACAACTCAACAAGAAAATAACGTGATTAAAAAAAGGTAAAGGAACTGAACAGACATTTCTCAAAAAAAAAACAAACAAACATACAAATGACTAACAGGTGCAAGAAAAAATGCTCAAAATCACTAATTATTAAGAAAATGAAAAATAAAACCACACTGAGTTATCACTTCACACCTGTTAGTGTTTTTTTTTTTCTTCCTACATTTATATTTTTAAATAGAGATGGGGTCTTGCTGTGTTGCTCAGGCTGGACTTGAACTCCTGGGTTCAAGCGATCTCCTGCCTCAGCCTCCTAAGTAGCTGGGATTATAGGTACATGCCACCATCAGGCCCAGCTTTGAATGGCTGTTATAAAAAAGATGAAAAATAAGTTTGGAGAGGATACAGAGAAAAGGAACTCTTATACACTGTTGGTGGGAATGTAAATTAGTACCGTCATTATGAGAAATGGTATGGAAGTTCCTCAAAAACCTAAAAACAGAACATACACCTCAGCAATCCCACTTCTGGGTATATATATCCAGAAGAATAGAAATCAGTATATTGGTGGTGATATCTGCACTCTAATGTTCACTGCAGCATTACTCACAATAGTAAAGATACAGAAACAACCTACGTGCCCATCAACAGATGAATGGACAAATATTGTGTATATATATACACAATAAAATACTATTCAGCCTTAAGAAGGGGGTAAATCCAGTCACTTGTGACACATGGATGAATCCAGAGGATAATGTGCTAAGTGAAATATGCCAACCACAGAAAGACAAATACCACATAATTTCACTTACATATGGAATCTAATAAGCTGAATGAATAGAAATATATAATAGAATGATGGTTACCAGAGGCTGGAGTGGGAAGGAAGGGAACGAAGAGTTGCTGATCAAAGGGTACAAAGTTTCAGATGGACAGAGGAATGGGAGACAGGGGAATGAGTTATTAATCAAAAGGTGCAAAATTTCAGGCAGAAGAATAGATTTTGAGATTTATTACATACAAGGTGACTAGAGTCAACAATACATATTATATATTTTAAAATAACTAAGAGTAAATTTCAAATGTCTCACTATAAAAATGATAGATAAGTCAGGTGAAGGATCTGCTAATTAGTTTGATTTAATCATACCACATTGTATACACATATCAAAACAGTACATTATACCCCATAACGTTAGAATGTTGCATATACTTATTATATATATGAAACAATGACTTGTCAGAACCAGACGAAACAAAACAAAAAAGAAGGGATAGGTATATTCAAAACCTATCATTTTCAAGGCTTCAAAATAGGAGTGATTCCATGGGACAAGGGTGGGTAGTAATCACTTTTTTTTTTTTTTTGAGACGGACTCTCGCTCTGTAGGCCAGGCTGCAGTGCAGTGGCGCGATCTTGGCTCACTGCAACCTCCGCCTCAGCCTCCCGAGTAGCTGGGATTACAGGCACATGCCACCGTGCCCAGCTAATTTTTGTATTTTTAGTAGAGACGGGGTTTCACTATGTCGGCCAGGCTGGTCTTGAACCACCTGATCTTGAACCACGAGGTCTTGACCTCGTGATCCACCCGCCTCATCCTCCCAAAGTGCTGGGATTACAGATGTGAACCACTGTGCCCGGCAGTAATCACTTTTGATACTTTAAGTACATGTAAAGGTTAAAGCCAGGGTTAGAAAGGTCTACTGCCTCAAAAAGATGCTGGAGAATCAGAGACTATGGAATAACCGGAAGGAGGTAGACCAGATGAGACTGGTGGCCAGTGATGAGGAAGATGAGGCAATCCTTGGTAAGATGTTCTGCTTTCTCTATGCAGTTCATGAGCATCAAATGAGAGATGTACTTGTTGCTGGATCTTGCTGCTAAGATAACTAAAACAAACAAAAGTCCTCTGGGTATCTTTGCATGCAGATCTAAACCACGTTAATTTTGGATCTTAATTCTTTTAATGCTATGTTTAAAGGAATATAAAAGACTCATATTTATTTTGATTATAAACTTCCTTTAATATTTGAGTTCAGGAGAGAGTTCACTGTGCAACCACACTGACTTTTCTCTCTGGCTTTTATTTATCTGGAATATCTGCAACTGCACAGTTATAGTTGTGTAACTGGAAGTTTCTAAACCTTTTGAGTCACCTAAAAAATGTTTTTTTTTTTTTTTTTTTTGAGTTGGAGTCTTGCTCTGTCACCCAGGCTGGAGTGCAGTGGTGCGATCTCGGCTCACTGCAAACTCCACCTCCCCGGTTCATGCTATTCTCCTGCCTCAGCCTCCCGAGTAGCTGGGACTACAGGCACCTGCCACCATGCCCGGCTAATTTTTTTGTATTTTTAGTAGAGACAGGGTTTCACCACGTTAGCCAGGATGGTCTCGGATCTCCTGACCTCGTGATCCGCCTGCCTCAGCCTCCCAAAGTGCTGGGATTACAGGCGTGAGCCACCGCGCCTGGCCAAGTCACCTTAAAAACCTTATACCATGGTAGGATAGCTACGTTAAAAAAAAAAATTTTTTTTTCTCCCAAACTTGCCTTCCTAATTTCCAGTGTACCTAACTGGTTATACACAACTATTGCTGCACTTAGTATAAAATTAAGGTGAAAGTTGTTGTATTAGTCAGGATAGGCTAGGCTAAGCTATAGTCACAAACAACCCCAGAAGCTTACAACCAGGTTTCTCAATCTCAACATTAATAACATTTTTAACTAGATACTTCTTTGTTGTGGAGGCCTCAACTGTGCACTGTGGGATATTGAGAAGCATAACTAGCCTCTACCCACTATAGGCCAGTTATACTCCCCTTGTTGTAACAACCAAAAACATTTCCAGACATTACAAATGTTCCTTGGTGAAGAAAGAGGGGAACATAATAATCCCTGGTTGAGAACCACTAGTTTAAAACAATGAAAGGCCTTTTAAAAACACAGGCCACATGTCCACCCTGGTCTAAAACTGATAGAATAATCTCTTTCTAGGGTACTGTTGGTCTTGGGGCAGATGGGAAAAAGATCATGTATGACTATGTACTAAAAGCATTTGTACAGAAGCAACGTATGTATGTCACTTCTCACATTCCTCGACCAATGCAAGTCATATGACTCAGGTCACATTAATGGGACGGGGAAGCATAATTCCCACTGAGGGAGAAGCACAAACTATATGTGCACATAAAACAGTTTTCCATGTTGCTTTTTCCTCATCTACGTGGACTCTTAAACTTCCACCCTCCCAAACAATCCTTCAATGTTAATTAGAATTAAAGGAAGAACAGTAGTTCTCCTATTTTCTTCCTCTGTACTCTGGGAGATAAACGAATCAGTATGGAAGAACTTACCAAAATAGGCTATTTTCACGGGATAAAAATTTTAGAAGACATCTGGATACAGTCCCACACCACTACTATATCTTTACTTGGTACTAATTTAATGGTATGCAGGAGGAACACATATCATCTTTGTTCTTTCTTTGCCTACATGGTCTGAAAATTCACATTCTCTCCAGTGGTCAGTCTCCTACATGTTTCCTTGACAAGAGTGCAAAGTTGCTTCCCCTCTTAAGATACCTGTATCTTTTGAGCAAAGCATTCCTTTACAATGTCTCATAATTATTTCAGGACCAAATGGTACTATTTCTTTTTCAACAAGGTCAGGTGAACCTCTGAAGAAAAGCCCACAAAAGCCTTGTCTTTTTTTTTTTTTTTTTTTTTTTCCTGAGACTGAGTCTCACTGTGTCGCCCAGGCTGGAATGCAGTGGTGTGATCTCAGCTCACTGCAACCTCCGCTTCTCAGGTTCAAGTGATTCTCCTGCCTCAGCCTCCCGAGTAGCTGGTATTACAGATGCATGCCACCACGCCTGGCTAATTTTTATACCTAATTTTTGTAGTAGAGATGGGGTTTCACCATGTTGGGCAGGCAGGCCTCTAACTCCTGACCTCAAGTGATCTGCCCACCTGGGCCTCCAAAGTGCTGGGATTACAGGCGTGAGCCACTGTGCCCAGCCCTTGTTGTCTTTTCTTCCTCCATGTAACATTCTTCTTTTCTCTTTTACTTCAGGTTTAGGTTCCCTTCCACCGTATCAGATTCTAATACTTCCTGTTTTTCTTTTATAACTATATCCTCCTACCTAGCTAAAGATTCTGCACACTCTCTGAGAAGTTATAATACAGCAGAGTATTCTTCAATTACAAATAAAGACACATTTTGAATACACAGAGTGTACTTTCTTCTGGTATATCAAAAATACTGCATTCTCTAAAGATCACTAGAACAATTCCCTCAAATTTTCACACTCTTTAGTTAGGATTGAAATTCCAGGTAGAATTCTTCTACCTTGTATCTCCCCCTGATAACAACTGGGCTAGTTACTAGAAAAACTACCTCTTTCTCCTGGGTTCTCCTAGAGATAAAAGGTACATAAAGATATAATACAAACACACAGGCAATTACACAAATTTCTTGGAGAAGTAATGACAAAAACTTGATTGTGTGTTTCACAAGTTATTGGGAGCCGGTTAAGAGTGCAGGCAGGTTGGAAACAAGAAAGTTGGCATTTGCGGGTGATGACAACTTGCCTTTATGGGCAGGCAGGTCTGTGGTTTATGGGAGGCTGAGACTGGCTTATAGAGCCAAGGACAATAAAGACAGGAGGAATTAACTTTGATTAGGGAAAGTGGGGAAGGTTCATGAATAAATAAAAAGTGCTACAGCAGAGATTAGATTTTATCATAGCTAACCATAAAGCATTAGGTGCTACAAGAAAAATACAGATAAAGTACCACAAATAATCATATAGACCATGGTCACTATCAAAAGCTCAGATATTGATTGTCTACTAATGGCTCTTCCAGCCAATTCCAGTGTGCTTTTAGAGTACTGCAAAGGTGACTCTGAAATTGAGCAACCGTCAATACCCATTTTCTGCCCATTTGGCTGTTGCATGCCAGGCTCTCCAAATAGCCGGACTCTAGAGCACATCTTAAGCAAGCTGGAGCACATCACCTTTGCCCTGGGAAATGAGCTGCAAGCTTTTGAACTTCCTGTTACGAAGTATCCATATCTTTTAGTTAGATGACCAAACACATACTTATTTATGAGTTTCAACTATGATTCTTTTTTTAAATTTTTCAATTTTTTTTTTAAATTTTTTTGAGATGGAGTCTCACTCTGTTGCCAGGCTGGAGTGTAGTGGTGCGATCTCACTCACTGCAACCTCTGCCTCCCAGGTTCAAGAGATTTTCCTGCCTCAGCCTCCCGAGTAGCTGGGACTACAGGAGCTCGCCACCATGCTCAGCTAATTTTTTATATTTTTAGTAGAGAAGGGATTTCACCATGTTGGCCAGGCTGGTCTCGATCTCTTGACCTTGTGATCCACCTGCCTCGGCTTCCTAAAGTTCTGGGATTACAGGCGTCAGCCACCGTGTCTGGCCGATTTTTTTTTTTATTTTTGAGACAGGGTCTCACTCTGCCACTCAGGCTGGAGTGCAGTGGTATGAGTGTGGCTCAATGCCGCCTTGACCTCCCAGGCTCAAGCAATCCTCCTAACTCAGCCTCTCTGAGTAGCTAAGATTACAGGCACAGGTTACCACACCAGGTTAATATTATTTTTTTTTGTACAGACAGGGTCTCAATTTGTTGCCCACACTGGTCTCAAACTCCTTGGCTCAAGCGATCTTCCTGCTTCTACCTCCCAAAGTGGTGGGATGACAGGCATGAGTCACCATGCCCAGCTCTATGATTATTTCTAAGATGATAAATAATGGCATAGGAACCCTCCAAATAATTCAGCCTTCCTATATTACTCTTTTTCTTGGAACTTCAATTAACCACAGCCAAAAATCAGCCATAAACTTGAATTTTTAAAAGTCCTTCTGAATGGACAATCGTCTGTACTTTATGGAAAAAGATATAATTCAAAGAGAAAGGAAGGTAGGACCAGAAGATACACATAGTTTATCTGTAGGTCTGGCGGTTACCGGGAGTAATGAGTTACATAATGAACAGGAACCAGAACTAAATCTATCATTAAGGAATTCACTGGTTGCAGAGCAAAACTTCTTTAAAGTTGACCAAATTTGAGCACTTTTGCAACTAAAAATCTCTATTGTGTTTCTGTGCATCGTTGGGAGGCTTGAACTAAGCAGAAGGAGTTTAGCTCTGCCGACCTTTTACTCTCCTACACAGGTAACAATGGAGACTACAGATCATTTTCCTAAGCTTTCCCTAATTCCTCTATTCCTTAACAAAACCAATTCCACTTTGGGTACATCTTGTAGGCCCAGAATGCTCTCTGACACATCTTCCTCCAGTTAATATGAGTTTTGATTCTGCTTAAGTCACACAGCTGCAGTGGCATGCTGTCTAGAAATAGTTTGTGTTGGTATTCAAGCTGAACAAACCCTGATTTCTATTTATGACACTCCCTTCTGACTCTTTGATTCCAATCAATGCACTGAAAATAAAACTCAGACCCTGAATTAAAAAAAAAACATAGGCTAGATAGGAACAAGGCTTACAATACATAACCTTGTCCACGCTAAAGCTGAAAGAGGGAAAAAGTTTAATGGCCCTTCCTCTGCCACCTCTCTTCTCACCTATCTCAGTATTTTTAAATATTGATGAAAACCACAAATTGAACGCCTCCTTATTCAGTTTCTCACAGGCTGTTACCAACAATGGGGCAAGGTTACACACTAGTATCAGAAGAAAAAGAATGTTCCACAAACCATAGGAAACATGTTTGTGGTTTTTGCTGTAACTGCTGAAATACACAGTATTTTGGCCCTAAAAACAAACTAGGTACAATTAGGAAAGAGGGCTTTCCAGATGTGATGGTGAAGAGATGCAGATGGGCTGCAGGCAACAATGACTGAAAATGGACTTTGGCTACTATAATGGCTAGCCAGTTTTACTACTGCTGCTGTCTGAAAGAGGCAAAAGTCTTACATTTTGCAAAGATACTACTAATGGCTTCAAAGGAATGAAATTCTTACCTTGCTCCCAAACATGTATTCCCTTTCCCTCATGGTCAAGACTGTTTTACCACATTGCTTCCTTCCTTAGTGAGCTCTAAATTTCAAGTGAACCAGAAGAAAACATCAGTTGAGAACTCCACAAAGGTTCACTTATGAGTTCCTCCACTTGAGAGAGGACAACATTTCAGTAAACGGCACCACTCTACTTTTTATAATTAAAGTATGACCTATGGGAATGACTTGTGACTCTTCTCTCTTCCTTATCTTTTCTTTCTAGTTTATTTCATAGACTGATATGGTTTGGATATTTGTGCCCTCCCAAATTCACGTTGAAATGTGACCCTCTAATATTGGAGGTGGGGCCTAGGGGCAGGTGTTGGATCATGGGGGTGGCCTCCTCATGAATGGCGTTGTGCCATTCCGATGGTAATGGCTTCTTGCTCTATTAGTTCACATGAGAACTGGTTGTTTAAAACAGACTGACATCGCTTCCCTTCTTTCTTGCTCTCTGTTTTGCTGTGTGACATGCCTGTTCCCTCTTTGCCTTTTTGTCATGAGTAAAAGCTTCCTGAGGCCACACCAGAAGCTGAGAAGTTGATGCCATTCTTGTACAGTCTGCAGAACCACGAGCCAAATAAAACTCTTTGTTTTATAAATTACCAAGTCTCAGGTGTTTTTTTTTTTTTTAATGTAGCCTCATTCTGTCGCCTGGGCTGGAGTGCAGTGGCGTGATCTCGGCTCACTGCAACCTCCACCTCCCGGGTTCAAGCGATTCTCTTGCCTCAGCCTCCCAAGTAGCTGGGATTATAGGCACCTGCCACTACGCTCAGCTAATTTTTCGTATTTTTAGTAGAGACAGGTTTCACCATGTTGGCCAGGCTGGTCTCGAACTCCTGACCTTGTGATTTGCCTGCCTTGGCCTCCCAAAGTGCTGGGATCACAAGCATGAGCCACCGTGCCCAGCCAGTCTCAGGTATTTTTTTATAGCAACTTAGAGCAACTCTATTTCAGTAAAATGGACTAACACACAGACCACTGTTTATTCCTTCAGAATGTTTTAGGTTCATTTCTTTCTCTCCATTTTCACTGTTGAGATTATAAGCAAAAGTCCCATAATTATCTTATGTGTCTTTAATTCCCCCCTTCCCCAATCCATTCTATATGTCAGGTTAATTTTTTCATCTTGCCAGTATCTTAGAATACATACAATGCCTCTCTGTTTTTTACTGGATAAAGCCCAAGCTATCTGTAACACTCCAATCTCTCCATAATTGTTCCTATCTTGTCTAGCCATCTTTATCACCCAATAATTCCTTACTCCATTATTTTTATAGCATAGAATTTTAATTTTTAAAGCAATTTTAAAAACATTTGTTCATCTGATTTCCACAACAAACCTGTGATGATACAAGTGTGTAATTCCCTTTTAAAGTAAACTTAAAGTATAAAATATGTGTAAAAAGTACACAAATAACTAGTATACAGTTCTATAAATTTTCACAAACACACCATGAAGCACCATACGGATCAATAAACTGAACAATAGCAGTACCCCAAAAAAGTCCTCCTAAGGTCTTCTTTTAGTTACTACCCCTACCAAAAGTAACCTCTTTCCTGACCTCTATCACCAGAGATTGACTATGATCCCCTGAGAATACTGAGGACAAGAAAGATCAAGTGGTATATCCAGGAACAAAACCCAAGTCTCCTGGCTCTAAGTCCATAGCTCTTCCTGCCACCCCACACAAACTCTTCACTCCCAGAAAGATCAGGATTCTAATGAAGCTGCCATATATGCTGTATTTCTGCCTTTACAGCCTAGCTTCAATACCTGCTAGCGGTGTGATTTTGCATGAGTGACTATACTGCTGCACTGAGAGGTAGCAGCCTCATCTGTAAGAAAGGGATAAAAGTTAATTATCGGCACATACTCGATAAACATTATTGTTTTCTCTTTTGAATGTTTTAACGTTATGCTTGCCACACGGGTACTCAATAATAGATGTCAATTTGGAACGTCAAAAATTTAATCTTTGTTAATCTTTTCTTCCATTTTCCTCTGTCTACCATGTTTTAAGTAATCTCTAATCTTACAAAGTTAATCTTATTTAGTTAAGTGAGACAATATAAATAATTTCTCAACTCCCTAAATGTCTTTTCCTTGCTACTTTTAATAATGAAGATTCCTCGACACTCTTACTCTACCAAAAGACTTAGGAGGCATTTACGTTCACTTTTATCTCAGTTGCTTTAACCAAACTTGTTCAATTAAGACACACTGGGAAGACTGAAATGGGAGAAACAGTTTGGTAACAAAACCTTAGAAGTCTGTATCACACACATAAAAGGATTTCTCTTCCCTATGTTCCCTAACTCTACAATTCAAAGTATTAATATAAAATATGTCATGATAAAGAATCTCAAAGTATTTTACGACAGACTGAAATGGATACTTTCAATTTTGACAAAAATTTCTAGGATTCTCTTTAGTCCTAGATATGGGGAAAATTGGCAATTCCCTTCATCACTATTTCTGTTGGTTGGTGGCTCGAGCTATTTTGATGCAGGTTGGTTAATTAGCCACAGCTCTGGGAAATTTATTGCACACCCCTTGGCTGAGTATTCTCCTTTCTGAGTTGACTTCACAGTATGTACTTTACTGAATGCCCACTAATGCTGACCTTTCTCTGGTTTGCTAAGTAATACTGATATAATTTTGAAAATTAGAACACTACCTGGTGATTGTGGCATCTCATCAAGGACTGAGGGGCAGTCACTTTTTCCTAATTACACGTGTGTAGAATAAAAGACTATTCTTCTCTGTGAAGCCACTCCCCCAGCTGAACATCTGCCACCTGGCTTTGAGGGACTTACCTGGAGACCAGCCTCAGAGGCATATGGCATTTTGCATATTTGCTTAGATTCATTTTCCCATGATCTGTCCCTTTCAAATGATCAAATATGCTCAGTAATTTATAAGTTAGTCTTATCCATGCATATGAAGAAAAACTTAGGCTACAGGAAATCAGAGAATCTTAGAGAGGTAATACTTTAGAGGTCACTTAATCCAATTCTCTGATTATACAGAGGGAGAAATTGAGGCTGAAAGATCACAGAGACTTGCCTGAGGTGACACAGGTAACTAGTAAGGTATCTAGATTTCAAACCCAGAACCACTCTGCATCCTGTGTACTTTTCAGTACACCACAGCGCATACCTTCATTTCTACTGAGAGGTGGGGAGAAAGGAAGATAAATTATAACTGTAAAAACATACCATTTTACTATTTATTACCCTCTGGCCAAAAGTTACAAGTGTAGATTAGATATTTCCCCATCCTTCTCTTTTGGTTCCCTAAAGAAGGCACCTATGAAACACACCTGTCTTATTTTTTTCAAGACTGCACTGCATCCATTACAGGAACTCTTGCGAACTTACAGCCAGTTATTACAGCCCTACTAAAAGAAACAGAATTTAGTCATCTGGCCCAAAGCTTCTTCCTTCACCAGAAAACAACAAATGAGGGATAGAAGCAGGCACTTCATACAAATGGATTGAAAAGAAATGTACACTGCTAATGTACCAATGTTATTCTCTATGGCTAATGTAACAAGTTTAAATAAATTATATTTGAATAGTTTAGCTCTGAGAAGCTATATACTCTAGTACTGCATAAATTATGGAAGTATGTTAAAGTCCCAGTATAACGCCTTTAGGGTGTGAGACCACATTACTAGAGAGACTGTGTCATAATGAAGGTTTCCCAGTACTGTTGAAGGTAAGATACTTGTGAGTGCGATCTATGAGAGAACTACCTTTTAAGGAATCTTATGTTATTATGTAACAACACACACACACACACACACACACACACACAAACACACACACACACATTGTACTTTATCATAAGATTTTATCAAAATTTAAAGTCAGGCACAGATAAATATTGCATGTTCTCATTCATATGTGGGAATAAAACATTTTTTGAGCTCATGGGAAATAGTAGAACAGTGTGTAACGGGGGCTTGGAAGGGTGGGGAGAGGTTGGTTAGTAGATACAAAATTATAGCTAGATAGGAGGAATGAGTGCTGGTATTCTGCAGCAATATAGGGTGAATACGGTTAACTACAATTTATTGTATATTTTCAAAAAGGTGGATGAGAGGATTTTGAATGTTCACAACACAAAGAAATGAAAAATGTTTGAGGTGACGAATATGCTAATTACCCTAATTTGATCAGTATTATATACATACACCAAAATACCATTCTATATTCCATAAATACATACAATTATTACATGTCAACTAAACATGAAAGGGGAAAAATTTTATTAAAATTTAGAAAGTAGGAAGAGACAACTTCATACCTATTGACTACCTACTTCCTAAAACACAGCTATCTACTTTTCTTATATTACTTGATTTAATCCTCACAACTCCATAATATATTATGGTCTCATTTTTACAGATCAGGAAATTAAGACACAAAAAGATTAGGTGGCATATGTAAAATCACATAGTTTATAATACACAGAGGTGGGGTGGGGACTTGAACCCAAGAGTGTCTAACTCTATAGCCACTAGACTTTCCTTTATGCTATGTTGCTACCACTCACAAAATTAAAGATGCTTTTTAGCTTCCCAGCAAATTCACAGCAGATCAACTCACTACTCGTCGACAGTGTGTCTTAAACTTTGTTGGATTTGATTCATTAATCCATTCATCCATCCACCACACGGATACTAGGTGTCCACCACGTCCCAGGCATTACACTAGGAATATACCGATGAATGAAAAAGAAGTTGATATGGTTTTGCTGGGTGTCCCCACCCAAATCTCATCTTGAATTGTACTTCCATAATTCCCACTTGTTGTGGGAGATAACTGAATCATGGGGATATTTTCCCCATACTGTTCTTGTGGTAGTAAGTCTAAGGAGATCTGATGGTGGGTTTTTTTTTTGTTTGTTTGTTTGTTTTTTTGAGATGGAGTCTCGCTCTGTTGCCCCGGCTGGACTGCAGTGGTGTGATCTCAGCTTACTGCAACTCTGCCTACTGGGTTCAAGCAATTCTCCTGTCTCAGCCTCCCGAGCTGGGACTACAGGTGCCTGCCACCATGCCTGGCTACTTTTTGTATTTTTAGTAAAGACGGGGTTTCACCTTGTTGGTCAGGCTGGTCTCGAACTCCTGACCTCAGGTGATCCACCAGCCTTGACCTCCCAAAGTGCTGGGATTACAAGCATGAGCCACGGCGCCGGTCAATCTGATGATCTGATGGTGGTTTTTTTTGTCGTTGTTTTTTTTTTGTTTTGTTTTGTTTGTTTTTTTTAAATTGAGACAGAGTTTTGCTCTTGTTGCCCAGGCTGGAGTACAATGATGCAATCTCGGCTCACTGCAACCTCTGCCTCTCGGGTTCAAGCGATTCTCCTGCCTAAGCCTCCCAAGTAGCTGGGATTACAGGTGTGTACCACCACGCCCAGCTAATTTTGTATTTTTAGTAGAGACGGGGTTTCTCCATGTTGGTCAGGCTGGTCTTGAATCCCCTGCCTCAGGTGATCCACCCGCCTCGGCCTCCCAAAGTGCTGGGATTACAGGAGTGAGCCACCGCGCCCAGCCGATCTGATGGTTTTATGAGGTGTTTCCGCTTTCACTTCTCTCTCATTCTCTCTTGCTGC
The DNA here is from genome assembly GCF_000001405.40 of Homo sapiens. Classification (NCBI taxonomy): domain Eukaryota; kingdom Metazoa; phylum Chordata; class Mammalia; order Primates; family Hominidae; genus Homo; species Homo sapiens. The sequence continues at coordinate 78,459,629 of NC_000011.10, forward strand.
TGCCATGTAAGAAGTGCCTTTCACTTTCTGCCATGACTGTGAGGCCTCCCCAGCCATGTGGAACTGTGAGTCCATTAAACCTCTTCTTCTTTCCCGTCTTGGGTATGTCTTTATCAGCAGCATGAAAATGGACTAACATGGAAGTCCTCACGTCTTTTGACATAGAGGAAAGTGTCATTAATTAAATAGTCATGCACATAGATGTAAAATTACAACTGTTAAAGGTTATGATGGATTAAGAGTTAGTATCTCTGGGTGTGAAACTTAACATGGTACGACTGCAGCATCTAACAGGGGCCTCTGACTCAGACTAGAGGGTCAAGAAAGGTTTCTCTGAGGAAATGGTGATTGAGTATAAACATCAGTAAGCAAAATTATTTAGATGAAGAAGACTGTTCTAGATTGAAGGAATAATATACGCAGAGTCTGAGGTGAGAGAAAGAACTGCACGTCTGAAGACACAGAAGAAGGGTGGTGATAGGAGAGAACAAAGTGGAGTCCCACAGTATAACAGACTAGAGAAGGAGACACAGCCACATTCTACTAGGCATTGTAGGCGACATAAAGGATTTTGGCTTTTATCCTAAGAGCAAAGGGAGGCCACTGAATGGCTTTAAGAAGAGTGACAACATGATTGGGTTAATTTTTTTTTTTTTTTAATGGGGATGGAGTCTCATTATGCTGTCCAGGCTGGTCCGGAACTCCTGGGATCAAGTGATCTGTGCACCTCAGGCTCCCAAAGTGCAGGGATTACAGGCATGAGCAACTGTGCCCAGCCAGGATTTACATTTTATAAAAACTCACACTAAAATGGGAGAACTGATTCAGAAGAGGAAAGAATGGATATATGAAGATCAGTTAGGAGGCTATTAGTCTAGGCAGTATCTTAATCTGAAAAGGTAAAAGAGGAAATGAAGAGAAATGAATGGATGTGAGAGATATTTAGGAGCGCAAAACTGACAGAACTTAGTCAATGGAGGAAATGAGAAAGGAAGACTTCTGAGATGACTCAGGTATCTGGCATGTACAATTAGATGAATACAGAATATTGAAAGAAGATCAAATTTGCTGGGAGGAGAGGAGAAATCATAGGTTCAGTTTTGGATGTGTTGTGTTTGAGATGCCTTTGAGATATGTAAATGGCAGTCAATGAGGCAGTCAATGAGTCAGCCCTCTGTATTCAGAGGTTCTGCATTTGTGGATTCAACCAACAGCAGATTTAAAATATTCAGGAAAAACAAATAGATGGTTGTATCTGTAACTAACATGTACAGATTTTTTTCTTGCCATTATTTCCCTAAACAATACAGCATAACAACTATTTACACAGCATTTACATTGTATTAGGTATTATAAGTAACCTATAAATTATTTAAAGTATACAGGAGGATGTGCATAGGTGATACGCATACTACGTCATTTTACATAAGGGACTCATTAGTATCCTCGAATTTTGCTATCTGAGAGGGGGCTAGTGGGTAGGGTGTCCTGGAACCAATCCCTGAGGATACTGAGGGACGAATGTATATGAGTCTAGAGCTCAGAGAAGAAGTCTGGATTAGAGATAAAAACTTCTGAGAGAATAAACAGTAAGCAATAGATACAGATGAAATAACATGAGGAAAATAAAGACCACCAAGGACTGGGCCTTGAGGAATTCCAACACCTGATGAATAGATAGAAATGGATAAATCTGTACAGGAGACTAAGAAAGAATAAATGCTGAGAAAGGAGAAAAACAGGGATAATGTGATGTCACAGAAGTCAAGGGAGTAGAGGGTTATAAGAATAAAAAAGTCATTAATAGTGCTGATTAGCACTGACCGGCCAAGTAAAATAAAGACTTAAAAGTCTGCTGGATTTAATAACATGAAGATCATTACTGATCCTAACAAGAGCTACTTCAACGGTGTGATAGGGGTGGAAACTACAAAGAAGTAGGAGTATAGAATGAGTGGGAGATGCTGTGCTGGTAAAAAAAAAAAAAAAAAAAAAAAAAAAAATTCAATACCCATCCTAAAGTTGTTCAGTTTTGTTTAGGAAAGCAAACTTTCATGCCTGTAATCCAAACACTTTAGGAGGCTGAGGCGGATGGACTGCCTGAGCTCAGTTTGAGACCAGCCTGGGCAACACTGTGAAATCCCGTACCCACTACAAAAAAAAAAAAAAAAAAAATTAGCCGGGTGTGGTGGCATGCGTCTGTAGTCCCAGCTACTCGGGAGGCTGAGGCAGGAGAATTGCTTGAACCCGGGAGACAGAGGGTGCAATGAGCCAAGATCGTGCCATTGCACTCCAGCCTGGAAGACAGAGCAAGATTCCGTCTTTTAAAAAAAAGAAAAGAAAGAAAGCAAAACTCATTAAGAGATTACAGAATATAGACACAATGCTATAGTTTCGCTAATTCGCAACAAAAATCCAAAAAAGGAAGGCTCAAAGTAGCTGGGTAACCCAGAAAAATCTTTATAGAGAAGAAAATTCTTAAGCAAAGTACTTAAGTACAAAATTGAGTGACTGAAAGATGCTTAATCTAGGGAAATTAAATGAGAAAAATACATGGTGTGTGTGTTGGAGGGGGAGCTGGAATTGGAATGGGCTGGAGTGATGAAAAAAAGCCAACAGATACAGTCTTCTGTTTTGTAATATAGGCTCAATACTAAATTATGTAGGACTAGATAATCTAGGTCCTAATGTCTCCTTTTTGCTGGCAACCTGGGGGCCAATTACACTAGAGGGTTGGTAGAAAAAAGAGAATATAAGAATCATACATCAATTATGTTGCTCACTAGTTTTGGATGATTTTGTGTGAAAGGTGAGGATGAGTAAAATAAATGGCTAAAAAGTAATTTTATATTATTTGTGATTTTTAGGCAGTTGGAAGAAGTGGAAAAAAACACAGACTTTATAAAACAGTCTGCAGTCTAGAAAAAAATACATATATTTTAAAAATACACTTTAAAGCTAAAGAGAATCAGGAGTGAATACTAACTACTTACTATCTACGTAGCTTTGGAAATGCAATCTATCTCTGCACTCCAGTTTTTCATTTATAAAATGGGGAAACAAGCTTCTAAGCAAAGTTGTTTCTGGATTTAGAGATGAGATGGTAGTGCTTGATTCCTAAGCATCTAGTAAACGGTGGCTAATACAGCTGTATTAATACAAAATGAAAAAACAGGAAATACAGTCAAACAGATAACCCTGTATACCTGACAGGGACATTCTGTTTACTAGTGGGCCCTAATCTACATTTTTGTATATTTATCCACAAATAAGTGAAAAGCATCAGACAGTAAAGTGTAGTTTTTGGGCCTATTTTGAAATCAATATAATCTGTCTCATAGACTTTTACAACTAATAATATTACATATATAACTATTCAATAAATATTTAGAAAAGTAAAATATATTCTTACTTTATATTATTGCCAACTTTAAAATTTAATTATTTGTTTTTCACATAGGGGGCTCCCTCTGTCGCCCAGGCTGGAGCACAGTGACACCATTATGGCTCACTGAAGCCTCGAGTTCCTAGGCTCCAGTAATTCTCTCACCTCAGCCTCTTGAGTAGATAGACTACAGGTGCACACCACTACACCTGGCTAATTTATTTTTTGTTGAGATAGGGTCTTCCTATGTTCAACAGGCTGGTCTTGAATTCCTGGTCTCAAGCAATTTTCCCACCTTGGACTACCAAAGTGCTAGGATTACAAACGTGAGCCACTATACCTGGCCATGTTATAGCTAATTTTGTAAAAACCAAAAGAATAAAAAAGGCAGGCCAGGTGCAGTGGCTCACGCCTGTAATCCAAGCACTTTGGGAGGCTGAGGAGGGCAGACTACCTGAGGTCAGGAGTTAAAGACCAGCCTGGCCAACATGGTGAAACCCTGTCTCTACTAAAAATACAAAAATCTGATGGGTGTGGCGGCACACGCCTATAATCCCAGCTACTTGGGAGGCTGAGGCAGGAAAATCACTTGAACCTGGGAGGCAGAGGTTGCAGTGAGCTGAGATCACGCCATTGCACCCCAGCCTGGGTGACAAGAGTGAAATTCTATCTCAAAAAAAAGACAACTATAGTTAAGGTCAAAAAAAAAAAAAAAAAAAAAAAACCACAGGACAAGAAACGGTAAAGGGATGAGAGAGACAAAACAGGCAGACAGAGAAGAGACGGTCAGACAAGAGCTGAGACAGGGAAAATCTGCCTAGACTGCCTGTATCCCTTCATAGCCCTCCCCTCACTATTTCTATTTGATAGTCCAAACCAAAGCAGTCTAAGCCTCCTCCTGCTCTGCCAAGCCAGCTTTTCCTTTGCCTGATTGTGCAGTGTCCGGAATTGGTGGGTTCTTGGTCTCACTGACTTCAACAATGAAGCCGCGGACCCTCACGGTGAGTGTTACAGTTCTTAAAGGCGGCGCGTCCGGAGTTTGTTCCTTCTGATGTTCGGATGTGTTTGGAGTTTCTTCCTTCTGGTGGGTTCGTGGTCTGGCTGGCTCAGGAGTGAAGCTGCAGACCTTCGCGGTGAGTGTTAACAGCTCTTTAGGCGGCGTGTCTGGAGTTCTTCATTCCTCCCGGTGGGCTCGTGGGCTCGCTGGCTTCAGGAGTGAAGCTGCAGATCTTCGCGGTGAGTGTTACAGCTCATAAAGGCAGTGTGGACCCAAAGAGTGAGCAGGAGCAAGATTTATTGCAAAGAGCGAAAGAACAAAACTTCCACAGTGTGGAAGGGGACCCGAGCGGGTTGCTACTGCTGGCTCGGGCAGCCTGCTTTTATTCTCTTATCTGGCCCCACCCACATCCTGCTGATTGGTAGAGCAGAGTGGTCTGTTTTGACAGGGCGCTGATTGGTACATTTACAGTCCCTGAGCTAGACACAAAGGTTCTCCACGTCCCCACCAGATTAGCTAGATACAGAGTGTCCACACAAAGGTTCTCCAAGTCCCCACCAGAGTAGCTAGACAGTGTCCACTGGTGCATTCACAACCCTGAGCTAGACACAGGGTGCTGATTGGTGTGTTTTCAAACCTTGAGCTAGATAGAGTGCTGATTGGTGTATTTACAATCCCTTAGCTAGACATAAAGGTTCTCCAAGTCCCCATCAGAGTAGCTAGAAACAGAGTGTCCACTGGTGCATTCACAAACCCTGAGCTAGACAGAGGGTGCTGTTTGGTGTGTTTACAAACCTTGAGCTAGATACAGAGTGCCGATTGGTGTATTTACAATCTCTTAGCTAGACATAAAGGTTCTCCACGTCCCCACCAGACTCAGGAGCCCAGCTGGCTTCACCCAGTGGATCCCACACTGGGGCTGCAGGTGGACCTGCCTGCCAGTCCCGCGCCATGCGCCTGCACTCCTCAGCCCTTGGGTGGTCAATGGGACTGGGCGCCGTGGAGCAGGGGGCGGCGCTCGTCAGGGAGGCTTCAGCGACACAGGAGCCCACGGAGGGGTGGGGAGGCTCAGGCATGGGGGGCTGCAGGTCCCGAGCCCTGCCCCACGGGAAGGCAGCTAAGGCCTGGCAGGAAATTGAGCACAGCTGCTGCTGGCCCAGGTGCTAAGCCCCTCACTGCCCGGAGCAGGTGGGGCCCGCCGAGCCCACACCCACCTGGAACTCGCACTGGCCCGCAAGCACCGCAGGCAGCCCTGGTTCCCGCCCATGCCTCTCCCTCCACACCACCCCACAAGCTGAGGGAGCCGGCTCCGGCCTTGGCCAGCCCAGAAAGGGGCTCCCACAGTGCAGTGGCAGGCTGAAGGGCTCCTCAAGTGCCGCCAAAGTGGGCGCCAAGGCCGAGGAGGCGCCGAGAGCGAGAGAGGGCTGTGAGGGCTACCAGCACGCTGTCACCTCTCAGTGCCACTGCTCTCATCTCTTGCCCAGTATGCCTTCCCTCCTAGGAGTCTCCTAACCAGTACTTCACCACAGACTAACAAGCTTGGTATAGCCATACAGTGTTCTAGGCCACTTCCTCTCAGTCATTACAAAACAAAACAAAACAAAATGAAACATAACAAAACGAAACAAAGAAAACCTAGATTTGCACCTGCTAAACTAAGAAGAAGACCTTGTGACAGAAATGAGGAAGTACGTTTATAGAACACTGGGATCTTCTTTGGGAAAAATTTTTAAGAGATGTCTTTGAAAAACATTATCATTTTAAGAGATAGAGTGATAGATGACATTTAAGAAAAGATCACAAAGGCTAAATGAAAAACCCAACCTAAGAGGACTAACCCCAATTTATTTAGTATCTCTTCTTACCGTGTGCTGAGGGCCATCTTCATTATCCCTCATGTAGAAAGGCTTGAGTGTTAATGGATAATTAATAACGAAGACAGGTATGTTGCCACAGTGCTTCACCAGGTACTTTTCATGTTCAGTCCGTAGGTCAGCACCCCACTGTAATGAGAAGAAAGAAATGACCAAAAGAGGAGACAGAGGTGAAATATACAATTAAGCAGCTGAAAATAACCTGCATCAATTCTAAGGGCTTCATCTTCCTGAGGCTCCATGTGTGGAGCTAGCTGCTAAGGTTACACAGCTGACTAAACAAGAGAGAGATATTTGTTAACAAGAACACCTACAGGCCTGGAAAGATGAAAGCTGAGGCCAGTAGATAGACACTATGCTTACTGTGTCCCCATTGCTCCCCCACCCCCACCCCCCAGGAGCAGACAATACAGCACCTGCAGGAAAACAAAGTCTACTTTACAAGGAGATAAAAAAAAAAACCTGACTTCAGAATCACAATTTTTAATAGTGCCTACAGCTTCTTCCACGTTATTGTTCCTAAGTCTCAGGAAATTAAATGATAGAAGATAATATTCCTAATATTGAGCCTATCTTTGGCTAAATGACTTCTCTTGGTGACTTTTGTTTTTTTTGAGACAGAGTCTGGCTGTGTCGCCCAGGCTAGAGTGCAGTGGTGCAATCTCGGCTCACTGCAACCTCTGTCTCCCGGGTTCAAGTGATTCTCCTGCCTCAGCCTCCCAAGTAACTGGGACTTCAGGTGCCCGCCACCATGCCCGGCTATTTTTTTTGTATTTTCAGTAGAGATGGGGTTTCACTACGTTGGCCAGGCTGGTCTTGAACTCCTGATTTCGTGATCTGCCCACCTTGGCCTCCCAAAGTGCTGGGATTACAGGTGTGAGCCACAGTGATGGCCGGTGACTTCTTTTTAAATAAAAAGAGTCAACTCATGTATGAGATGCTCTTTGATGAATATTTATTAACTCTGTTCAATATATTTATTAAGCAAATACTAATGTGCCTATTAAATTCCAGGTACCATATGATATACTGGATATAGTGGTAAGAAAAAGTTATAATCCCTGACTTCATGAAGCTTCCAGGGTTAGGAGAAAAAGAAATGAAAACTTACACAAAGAATTGATCATAAATATAACAAACAGAGGTTACTTTTGTAATACATAAAGATCTGACTTAATTGGGATTGAACCGGTACAAGGAATAGTTTAAACACAAAGGTTAACATTATCTTATTACTACCACTTGTTTGGCAGTATCTTAGTTACAGGAAAAAATAACTGGAATAGGAAAAGAGTTTTGCCTCCAACATTATACATATGTCCATTGACAGACCATGTGGTCTCTCTGGACCTATATCATTGCCAATAAAATAAAAAAGCTCTGGCCAGGCATGGTGGCTCATGCCTTTAATCCCAGCACCTTGGGAAGCCGAGGAGTGCTTGAGCACAGAAGCCCGAGACTAGCCTAGGCAACATAACCCTGTCTCTACAAAAAATAAAAAAATCAGCCAGACCTGGTGGCACGCACCTGTAGTCCCAGATAGTTGGGAGACTGAGTTGGGAGGAATGATGAGAGCCTGGGAGGTGGAATCTGCAGTGAGCCATGTTTGCACCACTGCACTCCAGCCTCGGCAACACAGAGAGATCTTGTCTTTCAAAAAATAAATAAATAAATAAATAAATAAATTAATTAATTAATTAAATACAATAAAAAATAAACAAAGGAGTTCCTTCACAGAAAGAGAGAGTTGTACAGTGGTTGTCAGGGGTCTGGGAATGGGGCAAATGAGGTGATATTTGTCAAAGTGTATACACTTTCAGTTATAAGATGAACAAGTTCTGGGGATCTAATGTACAGTGTGGGTAATGACAGATGTGTTAACTAATTTGATTATGATAATCTGTTACACAATGTATACATGTATCAAATCATCATGTCGTATACCCTGAATATATACAATCTTCTTTTGTTGTTGTTCTTCGAGACAAGGTCTTTCTCTGTCACCTAGGCTGGAGGGCTGTAGTCGATCATGGCTCACTGCAATTTTAAACTCCTGGGCTCAAGCAATCCTACCTTGGCCTCTTAAAGTGTTGGGATTACAGGTGTGAACTACCACACCCGGCCTATACAATCTTTGTTTATCAAGTAAGTATTGAAAAAAAAAAAAAAAAAAGAATTCTTGGCTGGGTACTGAGGCATGCTCCTCTAGTCCCAGTTACTTGGCAGGCTGAAGTGGCGGATCCCTTGAGCCTAGGAGTTCAAGATGAGCTCAGGCATCATAACGAGACCTCCATCTCTTAAATATAAAGTTCTTTAAAAGCAAAACAAACAAAAAAACCCCAGTATTTTCCAGAGTGGCTCATAAACTAAAAGGCTCCGTAAAGTTCAACTGAAAAACAAACCTGCTTCTGCAAGCACTAAATCTGAAAAAAAAAAAAAAAAAAGAAAAAAAAGAAAAAGAAAAACACACCTGTTTAGTTATGTTGCCTAAACTTATTTGATAATATAACTTCTTTTGTTGGTCATCTTTTTTTTTTTTTTTGAGATGGAGTCTCGCTGTTGCCGAGGCTGGAATGCAGTGGTGATCTCTGCTCACTGCAGACTCTGCCCCCCGGGTTCATGCCATTCTCCTGCCTCAGCCTCCTGAGTAGCTGGGACTACAGGCGCCCGCCACCTCACCCAGCTAATTTTTTGTATTTTTAGTAGAGACGGGGTTTCACCATGTTAGCCAGGATGGTCTCGATCTCCTGACCTTGTGATCCACCCGCCTCAGCCTCCCAAAGTACTGGGATTACAGGTGTGAGCCACCGCACCCAGCCTGGTCATCTTTTAATGTCATTCAGAATATATTTTGGAAAACACAGAACTAGTTGACTTTTACAGTAATATTCTTTTTTTAAAAATTCACTTTTTTTTTTTTTTTTTTGGGTAGAGACAGGGTCTCACTGTATTGCCCAGGCTGGTCTTGAACTTTGGGGCTCAAGCAATCTGCCTGCCTTGGCCTCCCAAAGTGCTGGAATTATAGGCGTGAGCCCCAACACCTGGTCTCTACAGTAATAGTCTATGATTATCTTTCTTTTTTAGAATTTTCATCTTCCTAAACGTGGGAGACTCCTTTATAACCCTTTAGTCACTGCTATTCCAAATGATAAAATTTATTTTTATTCTTAATTAATTCCGTTTTAAGTATCTCAACAAGATTCAGCAAACATCAAAATCTTAAGTCTGTGTACAAATGAGCAAATGCCATATTTTGCTAATAAGAGAATTAAGATGATTTTGAAAGATTCTTAACACAGTAAGCTAAAGACAAGAAGGAAGCATTTTCACACACACATATATACATACACACAAAATACTACCTCTGGGGTAAAGGTGAAGTTCTGGGATGCTTGCTTTAAGATCTCCACTGCTTCAGTATAAGAAATGCTGGAGGAAAACAGGATACAAGCAGAGAAAAGTCAATACAATGGAGCTGCTAACTAGTTCATTTTAAAACCAGAAAAAGCGTACTCCTATATCACACTGTGAGGTCATGAATAATCAGGAATTAAGGCTGATCTAATCCTATGAAAGAATGATCTGCCTGAAGACAAGTAACCATTCAATAACCTCAACTCCTCATCTACTTGCAATATACACAGTGAAGCTAGTCACTTAAGCAAGTAAAGATTATTCTCTGAATCCATGATATGCCAATGCCCTATTAAAAGACTACAACAGCAAAATACTTTTTCCTAAAATTCACCATTAATTCATTTATTTATCCAACAGACATATACTTGGCACCTACTAGGCACTACACACAATTCTAGGCACTGGAGATAAAAATAAAGCTCAGCCTTCATGGAGACAATGTGCGTGCGCGCATGTGTGTGTCAGAGAGAGAGAGAGCGAGAGATGCAGGTGAGGAGAGAGTAGACAGATAAATAAACAAGTAGCTATTCGTGCTATGAAGAAAAATAAAGTGGAATAAGAAGGCAGAGGGGGTTTGGGGTGCCATTTTAGATATGATGGTCAAGAAAGGCCTAAGTTTGTGACATTTGAACAGAAGCGTGCACCGAGTAAGGAAATGAACCATAGAAGTATCTTGGGAGGAGTATTCCAGGCAAAAGGAACAGCAAGTACAAGGACCTGAAGTGAGAAACAGTTTGGCTTGTTCACAGAACAAAAAGGGCAGTCAGCGTGACTAGAGCATACTGAACAAGAGGAAGAATGCACAGGAAATTACATAGGAAAGGCAGTCAGAAGTCAGATCACATGGACTCTTTCAGGTCATAGTAAGGGCCTGGTAATATATTCTAAGCATTATAAGACTATGTAGGAAAATACTGATTCTCTCCATGAGACACCCTCATGCCTAAAGTAAGTCAAAGCAAGTATTTGTTTTAATTTAACTATGTGAATAGGTAACTTGTCTACATAGTTTTAAAAAAAATCAAGATGTATAAGAGTATACATCTCCCTTCCATTGCGGTTCCAGAGAAACCTAGTTCCTTTCCTTTCACACAATCACTGTTATTGGTATTGTGAACATCCCTCTAGAGGATTTTATTTATACAGATAATGTAAATAATACACAATCTTCCTTTTTTACAGATGTCATACATAACATACACACTCTTTCACACCTAATTTTACTAATATACCTTGCAGATCTGTGTGTATATGAAGACATTCTTCACTTTTTGTATTACATAATATTCTATTTTGTGGATGTGTCATAATTAGTTAACCAGTGACCTGATATTTCACGTTCTAATCTTTTGCTATTATAAAACATGCCTATATATACCTATTTAATATTACAAAGTTATTATACACTGATTTTTCACATGCAAAAGTGGAATTATTAGATGAAAATTTGCAATTTTTATATTTTCTGAAAGGTTTTGCCAAAGATATTGCCCCCTTTTATATCAATTTATACCCACCAGTAACATGAAAGTGTCAGGTTGCTTGTAAATTACAGGTAAAATACTGCATCAGTATTTTGGATTTTTTTTTTTTTTTTTTTTACAAAAAAATCTACAAACTTCCTGAAAGACCTTGAGCTCAAAAAATAATTTATCCAGCACAAACTTGTTCTCTGAAGCAAAAATGAAGTTCATATCCATAACAACTAACCAGAAAGAGTTGTATTGTGTCATACAGTACAATAAAGCCCCTAAAGCTATGTTTTGAAAGACAGGTTTTTTCCTAAGAATCTATTCAAATTAAAATCTAGTAATAACAATAGGTAATTTCTAAGGTAATAATGGTGGTGGCAGTGGTGTTGGTAGTAGCAGTAATAACGATTTTAAAATTAGCATTTTACAGAAGGGAAGCAGAAGGTTAGAGAGGATCAATAACTTTCCAAAGGTTACTCATGTAAGTAAATAGTAAATCTTGATCTGCTGACTCCAGAGTATAAGCTTTTAACGGCTAAGATAATGACTGAAACACTTAGAGTTTCATATGTTCCATCAAAACAAAAGAAAATGGGCTCAACTGATTCTACCACTTCATCTGATTCTACTACTAGCTATGTAAGTCACTTCAACGTAGTGAAAGCATGTTATTAATTTTTGTAATGTATTATACAAACATTTAAAAATTAAGTATTTGCACTTGTAAAATAAGGAGATTGAACTATCTTTTTTTTTCTTTTTTTTCTTTTATTATTATACTTTAAGTTTTAGGGTACATGTGCACATTGTGCAGGTTAGTTACATATGTATACATGTGCCATGCTGGTGCGCTGCACCCACTAACTCGTCATCTAGCATTACGTACATCTCCCAATGCTATCCCTCCCCCCTCCCCCCACCCCACCACAGTCCCCAGAGTGTGATGTTCCCCTTCCTGTGTCCATGTGATCTCATTGTTCAATTCCCACCTATGAGTGAGAATATGCGGTGTTTGGTTTTTTGTTCTTGCGATAGTTTACTGAGAATGATGATTTCCAATTTCATCCACGTCCCTACAAAGGACATGAACTCATCATTTTTTATGGCTGCATAGTATTCCATGGTGTATATGTGCCACATAAAGTTCTTTTCTGCTTAGGCATTCTATTGTTCTATTATATCAATTACTTGGTATCATCTACCAATCACACTGAGAAATATGAGAGCAGTCAAAATAATAAGCAGTAAGATTTTGTACCATTGGTATGTTACTGTTTCATTATTAAGAAATGACTCTCATGTCTAAATATCTCCTGTTATTCCACGTCTTCCACTCCACTCCCCAATACCTTCATTAGAGGCAGAACTTTCAAGTTCAAATTACAGTTCTGACATTTGATATCCTTAATGGCTTCCATCAACTCTATTAAGTATTTTTCTTGATATGTATAGAAAATAATATCTCTTCTCCTTTCCAGAAACTGTTTCCAAAGTACTTTGAGGAAAGGAGGAAAAAACACTGTGGTAGAGAATGATACAGCATCAAACTACCTTCATATTCCACATTTTTCATTGCTGAATAAAGAAAATTCATTATTCTGAAGCTGTTAAGAGTAAAATTGCTCAACTACAAAGATAATTATTGTCATCCTTCGCCTCAAATTCACACACAAAGATAAATGAAGAGCAAATAAAAAAGGTAAGTACTCTACATTTTCAGAACCATAATAATATAAAGGAAATGTAAAATAAACTGAATACAATTTCTGCATAAAGGCTAAATTCCATTACTACACGAGTTGCTGAAACAGCACATTTTCATATAAAATAATTGTAACAGGTAGTGAAAAATACACTGAAATCTACTCAAAAGAATACAAGTCACATGGTATCTATACAGATTCAATAACTAACAGTGCAGTCTGCATAAAGGACAACAGTTTCTCTTTCGCCATCTCCCTGTTTTTTCTTTTCTCTTTACTGTTTTTAGGATTAACTCAATAGTAGATTCAGCTACACCAGTATTTTCAGAAGTTTCAGTGCCAATGCCTTAAAAGGCATGTAACAGCAGAAAGGTGATGCCAAAGTGGTAGAGAGGGCACCACCACACAATCTATTTCTCAACTTGATACCTCTGATGTTGATGACTTAATAATCACTGTCATCAGACCAGCACCATCTCATTATGCTTTCAGTGGCTACCCCGCACATTTTAACATGCATATCTGACTTAACAGTCTAAAGCAGCCGGGTGTGGTGGCCTGCACCAGTTGTCTCAGTTACTCGGGAGGCTGAGGCAGGAGGATTGCTTGAGCCCAGGAGTTCAAGGCTGCAGTGAGCTATGATCACACCACTGCCCTCCAGCCTGGAAAACACAGCAAGGTCCTGTCTCTTAAAAACAAAAAGTCTAAAGTTCACCAGTTTCTCTCTCTTCCTTTCAAACAACAAAAGGACTAACATTTCAACTATCAACGTGCCTCTCCAGTTTTACAAGTTATTGCTGCCCAGTATTTCAGTTCTAAGGTAACAGGTATTTTCTTTCAACTATGTGAAGATACTATTTTATCAATCTATTGTCATTACTGTTCTTTGAACTTCTTGGGAATCTAATGCTGTTTGTTATGTCTGCTGTTCTTGCTCATGGTAGGTATTTCCCTGTGTATTTGGAGTGTGAGATTATCTTCAGTAGAGTTTGTTTTGAGAATATCATGCCACTTGGGTTGAGGGTACAAACTTCAAGTTTGGTTTTATATTGATTTCTATAGCTACTCCAGCATTATCACCAACTGAAGACAATTTTTTATTTTAATGCCCTGGCATGAAGATTCTTGAACTACACAGGAAACATAAATTCAAACTCTAGGCTCACTTAAGGGCCAACTGTGGCTGCAAATTCTCAATGAAGACTATTTCTGTTTTGTCTCTATCCTTAAGCCCAGGCTAAAGCAGATATACTTCTACACTTCTTTGTAAATTCTCTATGCTGGCTAGCTCAATTTTCTGTTTGTTTGCTTATTTTCTAATTGGCCCTTTCATTAAGGGTGTAGTCCTTGACCAGTTCTAGCTTTGTGTGTATATCTGTGCATGCATTTCAGGGGATATCTTGATTCTAATTCATTCTGCTACGTCTATTCTCATGTCATCTCATTGCTGTTAAAATCTCTGGTTTCAAAAACTGGAAAATCGCCCTCCAGCTTCCCTACCCTACACCCTGAGAATCCTCAGCATCACACCAACTGTCCATATCACTCTGGTGTTTGGTTCCTTCTTCATTTCTAGCACCTGGAACTTCTCCTACTTTCTAGTGAATTCAACAACGTATTTAAAAGAATCTTATAATATTTTAAGTATTATTTTTAGATGTTTTGCAGAAAGAGTGTTTTCAAATTACCTAGTCTGACATATTGCTTTTAACAGTATTGTCATTAAATCCTTTCAACAATATAAGGCAGAGTATTTTTTTATAGATGAGGAAACTGAAGTTCAGAAAAGTTAAAGATTCACTATTAATCAAGTTCATAGTCGTAATTACATTATTCATATAAATATTTAACTGTTCATCTTTTTCTCTAGATTTTCAACTCCATAAAAAAATAAATCAATGTTTGTTTTCATTATTCTCAAGAACTAGCAAAGTGCCTAACTCATATTAGGCAGTCAATAAATATTTGTTAAAAAATAATAATTTACTCATTAATGGCTAGTAAATGGTAGGGCCAGGATTAGAATCCAGGTTTTCTGAATCATGGTTCACTACCCTCAGTGACTGAAATAAATAGTGATATTAGCCAATAAGAAACCTCAGGAGAGGATCCAGCCTAAAGAATACCTTTACAGCCACAGTTACTCAAGTCACTTGTTTGTCCACTCAATTACTCAGTATTTACTGAGTTCCTGTTAAAGGCACTGGGCTAAGTCCTGGGGGTATAAGAGTAAGCAATTTAAACATAGCCTCTGACATCACAGAGGTAGTAGATACCAATCAAATAATCACACATATACATTTATTTAAAAATGTCTGAATTTTTAATTGACAAATATTTTATGTATTTACAGGATACAATGTGTTTTTGGTATTATACACTGTGGGATGAATATATCAAGGTAATTAACATATCTATCGTCTCACATGCTTCACTTTTTTTTTTGCAGTGAGAAGATTTAAAATCTACTCCTTTAGCAATTTTGAGATATACATTACAATTAATTATGGTCACTTTGTTATGCAATAAATCCTGAACACTTATTCCTCTGGTCTAACTGAAACTTTGTACCCCTTGGACAATTTCTTTCCATTCCCTTCAAGAACCCCTCACCGGCCACTGGTAACTACCATTCTACTCACTACTTCTGTAGTGTTAACTTTATTACATTTCACATCAAAGTGAATCATGCAGTATTTGTCTTTCTGTGCCTAGCTTCTTTCACTTAGCATTAAGTCTTCCAGGTTGATCCATGCTGTCACAAATAAGATTTCCTTTGAATAGTATTCCACTGTGTATATATATACACATTTACTTTATCCAGTCACCTACTGATGGACACTTAGGTTGATTCCATATCTTGGCTACTATGAATAGTGCTGCAAAGAACATGTAAGTGCAGATATCTCTTTGACATACTGACTTCAGTTCTGCATATGTACCCAGAGGTAGGATGGCTGAATCATATGGTAAATATACTTTTGGTTTTTTGAGAAACCTCCCATACTATCCTCCATAATAGCTCTACTAATTTACATTGCCACTAACAGTTATAAAAGGGTTCCCAAGCGCCACATCTTTGCCAACACCTGTTATCATTTGACTTTTTTTTTTTTTTTTTTTTTTTTTTTTTTGAGACAAGGTCTTGCTCTGTCTCCCAGGCTGGAGTGCAGCAGCGTCTGTGATCATAGCTCACTGAAAACTCAACCTCCTGGGCTTAGGCAATCCTCCCACCTTAGTCTCCTGAGTAGCTGGCACTACAGGCACATGTCACCACACCTGACTAATTTATTTATTTATTTTTTGTAGAGACAGGGTCTCACTAAGTTGGCCAGGGTGGTCCTGAACTCCTGGGTTCAAGTGATCCTCCCACCTCAGCCTCCCAAAGTGCTGAGACTACAGGCATGAGCCAACGTGTCTCATTCTACTTTTTGATAACAGCCATTCTAACAGGTGT
Organism: Homo sapiens; assembly: GCF_000001405.40. Taxonomy (NCBI): domain Eukaryota; kingdom Metazoa; phylum Chordata; class Mammalia; order Primates; family Hominidae; genus Homo; species Homo sapiens. The sequence goes on from NC_000011.10 coordinate 78,475,934, forward strand.
GAGTGGTTATCTCAGTGCGGTTTTAATTTGCATTTTATTGATTAGTGATGTTGGACACTTTTTGATAAACCTATTGGCCATCTGTATCTTACACAAATGTAAAACATTTGTGATGTCTGCCTGCCTGAGCAAAGCATGGGGGTGGATGCTGAGGCTAGGTGGGGTGGCTGCCCTGTAGGGGCTCAAACCAGATAGACTTTCCTACTGAGCTTCTGCAGCAACCAGCTAGGCTTTGTAAATGGGCTATGCCACTGGCTGGTATCTCTGATCAGGTGCTACTGCTGGCAGGAACACAGCTATGACTAAGATCCGTGTACTGGTTGCTGTGAGCACTGCCCCACTCCTTTGTTCCTACTTGACCCCTGGTAGTCTAGGCCTTACCCCCAGGGTTCCCTGTGAGACAGGAATGGGCCTCCTAGGAAGCATCACAGAATGCTGGGGAAACTGGATAGCTGTCTCTTTTTCCACTGCATTAACTGTGTGCCAAGGGGAATCTTCTGTGTGTGGTATTGTGCCTACTTAGGGAAGGGAGGATTCAGTCAAACTGAGACCATTGCTCCTACCCTTCTAATGCACTTTTTGCTCTGTGGTCCATCTGCGTGTCTCAATTTCATTCCCAAATTTTGGGATTTTCAAAAAGGTGTTCTTGTATGTGACTAGTTGCCAAATGGACTTTCTGTGGTGAAGGCTGGGACCCTCTATTCATCATCTTGCTGATGTCCCTCTCCCCACAAATTTAAACTGCAACTATGATTTGTAGTATGCAGAATGGATTATGACAATGACAATGATTGAAATGGCGCAGCCCAAGAGGACATTTTCCAACCTTAACATTTTATGGACAAGGACTCCAAAGCACAAGAGTTAAGTGACATGTAAGAGTCGTAATGATAGTGGGGCAGCTACAACCACTCTACCCTTAATTCCAGTACCCTCCCAAATATATGAAAATCTCAGGTTAAAAGTCTGAGCTTTGAAATCAGATGAACATGAGCTTGAATCACCATTTCATCTTTTACTCAACCTCTTTGCAGGGATTCTCCATCTGTAGAATGAGAATAATAACTACTTGGAGTTGTGAAGATAAAATGAGCTACTGATGTATGTAAATTTTATCACTGTCTGGGTAAATATTCAACAAATGGTGAATATTATTTCTGCATTTTGAATCTTTTCATTAGATAGGAGCTGGAAAACTAAGATCCTTCCCTGGTTGTTTTGTCACCAGCAGAGATTCCTTGAGAAGGCCAAATTACTTCTTTCTTCATCTACTTAATGACCACTTTTATCAATATACTCATGCCCAAGACTGTCTTATAAAACTCCAGACCCACACTTTCAGTTGCCTATCCAACATCTATGGCTGGATATCTGAAAAGCATCTCAATCTTAACATGTCTGTGTTCCCGATACCACCCCTTCCTCTCAAAGCTCCTGCCCCAATACTCTCTTAAGCATTTCCCAATTTCAGTTAATAGCAACTTCATTTTTGCAGCTGTAGGAGAAAAAAAACCTTGAAGTCACCCTTAACTCCTCTCTCTCACCCTCAGTAAATCCTGTTTGTTCTATCTCTAAAATATATTCGGAATAGGAGAACTCTTGCCACCATCCTGGTCTGTGATGGTTAATTTTGTGTCAACTTGGCTGCGCCATGGTCTCCAGATATTTGGTCAAATAGTATTCTGAATGCTTCTAAGAAGGTGTTTTTTGGATGAAATTAATGTCTAAATCAGTGGACTTTGAAAAAAGCAGATCATATTACCCTTCATAATGTGGGTGGGCTAAATCCAATCAGTTGAAGATTTTGCTAAGACAGAGACTAATCTCCTCCTGAGAAAGAAGGAATTCTGCCAGCAGACTGCCTTTGGACTTGAATGGCAACTCTTCCTTGACTCTCCAGCTTGTCCACCTACCCCGAGACTTTAAATGCAACAAGCATCTACAATTACGTGAGCCAATTCTTTAGAATAATCTCTCAATCTCTCTCTCTATCTCCACACACACACCCCGCCCTCAAACGTGGTTGGTCGTGTTTCTCTGGAGAACTCTAATACACAGTCCAAATCATCATTAACTCTCACGCAGATCACTGTGGTAATCTCTTAGTTTTCTGTTCCTGAATTCTTGTCTTGTTGTAACCTACACTGAGCATGGTTTTTACAGTTTTTTAAATCAAGCCAAATTTTGATGACTAAAGTTAGTATAAGTTTGAATTATAGTTACATAGTTAATAGTTACTAGATTTTATCTTGCTATGATTTATTAATTTATTGATGAAACACTGATTATCAACTATGAACCAAACACAAGAGCTATAAAAATAATTAGAACATGGGTCTTGCCTGGAATCTGGGGAGTGTCTATATATAGACATATAATATGTCTATATATATATCCTATATATATAGGATCTATATAAGCAGATATAAATTTAAAAAATTATAATATAGTGTGATAAATACAGTGATAATGAATAAAGTTCAAAAAGTATAACATCTACTTACATTAAAAAGTTGTTTTTTAGCATATGTTCTAATCTGTCCTTAATAAAAAGACAAAAAAGAAAATTTTAAAAATATAATTTTATTCATTATGTATAATTAACACATTAAACAGTAGATGTATTGGGCTTTATCCATAAAACTAATTACCTTTTGGCCAGGTGCTATGAATTTGTGACAGAGTTCAACATCTTCAGGACATTTTGAGAGAACCATCATTGTTGTAGCCTTGAACAGTTCCTCTATAACCTAAGAGAAATGAAATAGAATCACCTGACACGTAAGCAATTTTACATGAAAAACCTGTTCAGGACTCAATAAGGACCGCATTCCAGGCTTTAGCAACTATAAATCCACCAAGTCTTTTAATCCTTGAATGTACCATGGAAAATTGGTTCAGTTTTCCAGGCATCTCAATTTCCTTGGTGGGTGGCAGGGAGGAAGAAAAAAGGAAATGTTTTAATCTTATGTTGACAGTTTCAATGCTGGTAAAGAAGTGAGATGTCAAATGAACAGCTGTAACTCATCAATGCCTCTCTAAATTTCAATAAACTCACTGGTAGAATCAGGGTAATAATAGCACCTAACTTACAGGATGTTTGAGAGAATTAAATGAGATAAACCATGTGTCACACTTAGCTTAGTACTGGCTCAGAGAAACACACAACAAACATCAGTTGTTGTGAACTGTAAGAACATTTTGAAAAGTGGTTCATTCGCTCATTGGTAAATGAAAGTCAACTTTAAAATTACAGAAATGATGATATATCTAAATATAAATATATACATTTTTGCTTTGCTAATGGCCAAAATAAAAATAACATAAAACAGCATACAGCAAAAATCAGTATATAAGAACTTATTCTCAAGACCAGCCTAGGCAACATGGCAAAACTCTGTCTCTACAAAAATAAAAAGAAAAATTAGCTGGGCATAGTGGTGTGTGCACCTGTAGTCCCAGATCCTCAGGAGGCTGAGTTGGGAGGATCACTTGAGCCTGCGAGGTTGAGGCTACAGTGAGCCATGATCACGCCACTGCAACTCCAGCCTAGGTGACAGAGTGAGATCCTGTCTCAAAAAACAACAAAAAAAAGTATTCTACCATGGGTGCCCATAGGAGACTCATAATAGAAGCTTGTTCTTAGAAGGAAAAAAGTGACTGGAATGAAAAATATTTCTAAAATGTTTTTATTCACAACTAACATTCTTGGTTTTAAATCAACAAGACAATATTACGTCTTCTAAATGGTGTATTCATAAAGGTGCACATATGTATAAAGTAGAGGCTGCCTTAAAGGCAGGTATCTTCTCTTCCTCTGTTGCATACCAGTAGATCCTCTTGAGGCTGGAAGCATAGTGAAGGCGTAACTGTCTATTGAAGTACATTAATATAACCAGATATAGGAAAACACTTAAATACCAGTGACAACCAGATCTATTTCATGATGTTTCAGTCATTGTTAGTGTTATTTATTTATTTATGAGACAAGGTCTTGCTCTGTCACCCAGGTTGGAGGGCAGTGGTATAATCACAGCTCACTGCTGCCTTGATCTCCTGGGATCAAGCGATCCTCCTGCCTCAGCCAACTGAGTAACTGGGACCACAGGCATGCATCACCACACCCAGCTAATTTTTTTGATATTTAGTAGAGATTAGGTCTCGCTATATTGCCCAGACTGGTCTCGAACTCCTAAGCTCAAGCGATCCTCCCTTCTCAGCCTCCCATAGTACGAGGATTATAGGCATGAGCCACTGCACCTGGCCTAGTGGCATTTGCTCTAGACATCTTGCTAAGCTATACTGCATTCCTGGTTTATTTTCTTACATTTTATTTATTTATTGTTTTTTTAGACGGAGTCTTGCTCTCTCACGCAGGCAGTGGTGCAATGGCTCACTGTAGCCTCTGCCTCCTGGGTTCAAGCAATTGTCCTGCCTCAGCCTCCTTAGCAGCTGTGATTACAGGTGTGTGTCACCACGCCTAGATAATTTTTCTATTTTCAGTGGAGATGGGGTTTCACCATGTTGGCCAGGCTGGTCTTGAACTCTTGACCTCAGGTGATCTGCCCACCTTGGCCTCTTAAAGTGTGGGGATTATAGGTGTGAGCCACTGCGCCCAGCCTATTTTCTTACATTCTATTACTATGGTCATTTATTTTTCCAACCAACATGTATATCTAATTAAGTAAAAAAAAAAAAAAATTGGTGAGCATGTGGCTATTTAAGGCACTGATCACATAAAATAGTAATGACAACTAATTTGGGGGGGGTGGGAAAAAAGAATCAAAAGACTAGATAATAGTAAAGATAAATCTGAAGGGAATAAGCAGAATTAAAGTAAACTTTCTAAGGATCTTGTATCCTAAAAAGGGGAGAAATGTTTAACTTTCTTTTTTTTTTTTCTAAGACAGAGTCTTGCTCTGTCACCCAGAATGGAGTGCAGTGGTGCCATCTCAGCCCACTGCAGCCGCCATCTCCCAGGTTCAAGCAATTCTCCTACCTCAGCCTCCTGAGTAGCTGGGATTACAGGGGTGTAGCACCACACCCAGGTAATGTTTGTAATTTTTTTGTAGAGACAGGATTTCACCATGTTGGCCAGGCTGGTCTCTAACTCCTGGCCTCAAGTGATCCACCTGCCTCAGTCTCCCAAAGTGCCAGGATTACAGGCATGAGCCACCACACCTGGCCTAACTTTTTATTTCATGTAAAAAATATAAGGTAAACCACTAAAATAATAAAAACAGAATGTATAGATTCTAAACTATTGGAGGAAAAGAAAGGAAAATAAAGAAAACCACATGAATCCAATGGGGAGGGTGAGAGGGGTATAGGGGTAAGGAATAACTTGATGAAAGGAGAACAACAGGAAGCTAAAGATCCTTCACCTTGAGCCTGTATCACCTTCAATTCAGCAGTGAGATAAATAAATTACTAAGTAACATAATGATTTATGCAGGCTCATATGCCTCAATCACTTAAACAAAGCTAATACACATTGGGAGGAATAAAGAGCAGGTGGATTAGATGATATGCCTGCACTGTTGAGGGACACAGTACACCCATTTGTAAGATGAAGACTTTGACCACTGGGGTTGTTAAATCATTGTCTTTCCTGAGAAGTACATTTCCAGCAGAATAAGAAAATCTCTGGCTGCCCTAATCTTGACATTCACAATATACTCCACAAATAAGTTGAAAAAAACCCAGAAACCTAACAGAAGGGTTAGCGTAACTCAGATGTCTTAAAAATGTTAGTTAGTTGTACTATAACAGCAATACCTAATTGCTTATAGCTCATAAGGGGAAAATATTCTTTGTTAGAACATTCTGATTTAAGAGACCACTCTGTATAAAGATGCTAATTTCCAAGGAAAGTAATTTGTAAAAGGAAGAAAATTAAGAGACGCAGATTACTTTTGGGGACAGCACACTTTTTTCTAGTCTTCAGGAAAAAAGTGTATATCACAATTAACTAAATCATTCAAGAACGGTATATACCCTGACTACCACCAGCGGAGTACCAAATAAATAAGAACTGGAGTAGCAAATCATGACACCAAAACATGAATATTCTTAAGTGTCAATTTATTATTAGTTTCATGAAGATCAACACTAAGACTCATGAAATTAGTCAGAAACCTTTGTGTGTAATTATGTAATGAACTATCCAAGCTGGGACACTTTTGAGAGTCAAAAGAAATATTAATAATTAAACCACTTTATTTCTCTAGCTGTCCAAGATGAAATAAATTGACTACAACCTATCTCTCTAAACAATTATAACTTAAAAATATGGTCAGACACAGCTAAAGCAGTGTTAAGAGGGAAGTTTATAGCACTAAATGCCCACATCAGAAAGCAGGAAAGATCTCAAATTGACACCCTAACATCACAATTAAAAGAACTAGAGAAGCAAGAGCAAACAAATTCAAAAGCTAGCAGAAGACAAGAAATAACTAAGATCAGAGCAGAACTGAAGGAAATAGAGACACAAAAAACCCTTGAAAAAAATCAATGAATCCAGGAGCTGGTTTTTTGAAAAGATTAACAAATAGGCCGCTAGCTAGACTAATAAAGAAGAAAAGAGAGAAGAATCAAATAGACACAATAAAAAATGATAAAGGGATATCACCACAGATCCCATAGAAATACAAACTACCATCAGAGAAAAGCATAAACACCTCTACGCAAATGAACGAGAAAATCTAGAAGAAATGGATAAATTCCTGGACATATACGCCCTCCCAAGACTAAACCAGGAAGAAGTCCAATCCCTGAATAGACCAATAACAAGTTCTGAAGTTGAGACAGTAATCAATAGCCTACCAACCAAAAAAGCCCAGGACCAGACAGATTCACAGCCAAATTCTACCAGAGGTACAAAGAGGAGCTAGAACCATTCCTTCTAAAATTATTCCAAACAACAGAAAAAGAGGGAGTCCTGTAACCCATTTTATGAAGCCAGCATCATCCTGATGCCAAAACCTGGCAGAGACACAACAAAAAAAGAAAATTTCAGGCCAATATCCCTGATGAACATCAATACGAAAATCCTTAATATAATACTGGCAAACCAAATCCAGCAGCACATCAAAAAGCTTATCCACCACGATCAAGTCAGCTTCATCCCTGGGATGCAAGGCGGGTTCAACATACACAAATCAATAAACTTAATCCATCACATAAACAGAACCAATGACAAAAACCACATGATTACCTCAACAGACGCAGAAAAGGCCTTTGACAAAATTCAACAGCCCTTCATGCTGAAAACTCTCAATAAACTAGGTATTGATGAAACATATCTCAAAATAATAAGAGCTATTTATGACAAACCCACAGCCAGTATCATACTGAATGGGCAAAGCTGGAAGCATTCCATTTGAAAACTGGCACAAGACAAGGATGCCCTCTCTCACCACTCCTATTCAACATAGTGTTGGAAGTTCTCGCCAGGGCAATCAGGCAAAAGAAATAAATAAAGGGTATTCAAATAGGAAGAGAGGAAGTCAAATTGTCTCTGTTTACAGATGACATGATTGTATATTTAGAAAACCACATCGTCTCAGCCCAAAAACTCCTTAAGCTGATAAGCAACTTCAGCAAAGTCTCAGGATACAAAATCAATGTGCAAAAATCACAAGCTTTCCTATACACCAGTAATAGACAAGCAGAGAGCCAAATCATGAGTCAACTCCCATTCACAACTGCTACAAAGAGAATAAAATACTTAGGAGTACAACCTACAAGGGATGTGAAGGACCTCTTCAAGGAGAACTACAAACCACTGCTCAAGGAAATAAGAGAGGACACAAACAAATGGAAAAAAAAATTCCATGCTCATGGACAGGAAGAATCAATATCGTGAAAATGGCCATGCTGCCCAAAGTAATTTATAGATTCAATGCTATTCCCATCAAGCTACCACTGACTTTCTTCAGAATTAGAAAAAACTACATTAAATTTCATATGGAACCAAAAGAGAGCCTGTATAGCCAAGATAATCCTAAGCAAAAAGAACAAAGCTGGAGACATCACACTACCTGATTTCAAACTATACTACAAGGCTACAGTAATCAAAACAACATGGTACTGTTACCAAAACAGATATGTGGACCCATGGAACAAAACAGAGACCTCAGAAATAACACCACACATCTACAACCATTTGATTTTTGACAAACCTGACAAAAACAAGAAATGGGGAAAGGATTCTCTATCTAATAAATGGTACTGGGAAAACTGGCTGGTCATATGCAGAAAACAGAAACTGGACCCCTTCCTTACACCTTATATAAAAACTAACTCAAGATGGATTAAAGACTTAAATGTAAAACCCAAAACCATAAAAACCCTAGAAAAAAACGTAGGCAATACCATTCAGGACACAGGCATAGGCAAAGACTTCATGACTAAAACATCAAAAGCAACTGCAACAAAAGCCAAAATTGACAAATGGAATCTAATTAAACTAAAGAGCTTCTCACAGCAAAAGAAACTACCACCAGAGTAAAGAGGCAACCTACAGAATGGGAGAAAATTTTTGCAATCTACCCGTCTGACAAAGGGCTAGTATCCAGAATCTACAAGGAACTTAAACAAATTTACAAGAAAAAAACAAACAACCTCATCAAAAAGTGGGTGAAGGATATGAACAGACACTTCTTAAAAATTTATGCAGCCAACAAACATACGAAAAAAAGGTCATCATCACTGGTCATTAGAAAAATGCAAATAAAAACCACAATGAGATACCATCTTATATCAGTTAGAATGGCAATTATTAAGAAGTCAGGAAACAACAGATGCTAGCAAGGCTGTGGAGAAACAGGAATGCTTTTACACTGTTGGTGGGAGTGTCAATTAGTTCAACCACTGCGAAGACAGTGTGGCAATTTCTCAAGAATCTAGAACCAGAAAAGCATTTGACCCAGCAATCCCATTACGGGGTATGTACCCAAAGGATTTTAAATCATTCTACTTTATAAAGACACATGCACACATGTTTATTGCAGTACTATTTACAACAGCAAAGACTTGGAACCAATCCAAATGCCCATCAGTGATAGACTGGATACTGTGATAGACTGGATACTGTATGCACCATGGAATACCATGCAGCCATAAAAAGAATGAGTTCGTGTCCTTTGCAGGGACATGGATGAAGCTGGAAGCCATCATTCTAGGCAAACTAACAAAGGAACAGAAAACCAAACACTGCGTGTTTTCACTCACAAGTGGGAGTTGAACAATGAGAACACATGGACACAGGGAGGGGAACATCACACACTGGGGCCTATTGGGGGATGGGGGACAAGGGGAGGGAGAGCATTAGGACAAATACCTAATGCATGTGGGGCTTAAAACCTAGATGATGGGTTGATAGGTGCGGCAAACCACCATGGCACATGTATACCTATGTAACAAACCTGGACGTTCTGCACATGTATCCCAGAACTTAAAGTAAAAAAAAACAAAAAAAACTCTGGTCAGAATACAAAGAGCAACTACCTAAGGACTCAGAAAAATAAACAATGATAGGTGGAATGGGAACTAGTCAACTTGATTAATAACCTGAAATGGAGATGAATTTTAGTTCCATTTTTACCTCCTTTGTCTCCTGGTTTTGATTTGGGGATAAAACGTTGTTGATCTGTTTAGTAGGCATAGGAAGCAAAACTTCTAGAAGAAAGCTCCTACTACTAGTCTGGTAAAGTCCCTGTAGGATAGTGTTTTTAGGAAAATCCTTGGTTGTTTTGTCCCCCAGTCTTTTCTCTCTTCTGTTCCTAGCCAAAATGTAGCCCCAGTTGTGGAGTGGCACTGTCAGGGTGACAGTGGCACAAGCACCTAAAACACCAAGAGAAGACCTACTTCTCCAACAGAGGAACTGGGAAAGGCAGACTGCTGTTTTGAAGAGCGTGGATGTGGGTAATCTCTATTATTATTACTACTATTTTTTGAGACGGAGTCTTGCTCTTGTCGCCCAGGCTGGAGTGTAGTGGCACGATCTCGGCTCACTGCAATCTCCGCCTCCCAGGTTCAAGCGATTCTCATGCCTCAGCCTCCCAAGTAGCTCGGATTACAGGCACATGTCACCATGCCCAGCTAATTTTTGTATTTTTAGTAGAGACAGGGTTTCACCATGTTGGCCAGATTGGTCTTGAACTCCTGACCTCAGGTGATCTGCCCGCCTCGGCCTCCCAAAGTGCTGGGATTACAGGAGTGAGCCACTGCACCCAGCCTATTATTTTTTTTTAAATATTTTCTCTTGTCAGTTAGACCCAATGGTGGCCACAGTCACCTGGAAATGAATAACATGGTGGCAACTAAGACCTGGGAGAAATCTGTCTTTCTGGCCAGAGAAACCAAAATGGGGGGCCAGACAGTGTGAAGGAAATTCTGAAGAACAGGAGAAGGTGACCCTCTAATTGTGTATGAAGTAACATAAGGCTAGGGCTCACCTCCAAGAAATGTATATGTGAAACAGACCCAAAGAAGCACAGTGAATGCTTCTGACAATGAACTACAAATCACTGTGCAATTTCCAGACTATGAGTAGCACACGCATCAGAAAGACTCAAATAGCACAGCAGAGGCTTTGAAAACTTAACTGACATGGAGACCAATGCCAATAGAAAGTAAAATAAAACTTACAGTCTCAATCTAACCAGTCTAATAACTGGTAAAAACAACAACAAAAATAATTCCATTTCCAAAGGATTTTAACAGAACCCAGAGTGTCAGAACACAACATTAAAAACAGCCAGGATATACTTAAAAATTACCGGACATACAAAGAACCAGGAAAATCTTATGAATTCTCATGAGAAAAAATAACCAACAGACACATACACATAGAAGACTCAAATACTGGAATTATCTGACAATTTGATGCAGGTATTATAAACATCTTCCACAGGTAAAGGGAAACATTCTTAAAGAGAAAGACTGAACTTCTCAGTGGAGAAAAAGAAACTAAAAATAAATAAATAAAAATTTTAGAATTGGAAAATATGTGAAATAAAAATTTCACAGGATGGGCTCATTATCATAATGAAGACAAAAGAAGAAAGAATTAGTAAGTTTGAAGACAGTTCAGTTGAAATGCCCCCAATTCTGAATTACAGAAAGAAAAAATACTAGCCAGGCATGGTGGCTCACGCCTGTAATCCCAGCACTTTGGGAGTCTGAGGTGGGCGGATCACTTGAGGTCAGGAGTTTGAGACCAGCCCGGCCAACATGGTGAAACCCCGTCTCTGATAACAGTACAAAAATTAGTCAGGTATGGTGGCAGGTGCCTATAATCCCAGCTACTCAGGAGGCTGAGGCAGGAGAAATGCTTAAACCCAGGAGGTGGAGGGTACAGTGAGCTGAGATCATGCCACTGCACTCCAGCCTGGGCAACAGAGTGAGGCTCTGTCTAAAAAAAAAAAAAAAAGAAAGAAAGAAAAAGAGAGAGAGAGAGAAAGAAAGAAAGAAAGACAGACAGACAGACTCGTTAATAATAAGCAGAGCATCACAGCACCATGGGACAATATCAAAAGGTTTTACATTTGTGTTACTGGAGTACCAGAAGCAGAAAAGACAAAAAAGGGCACAGAAAAAAATACGTAAAGAAATAATGGCTGAAAACTCCCCCAAGTTGGCTAAAGACATATTCAAGGAGCTCACTAAATCACAAACAGGATAAACTCGAAGAAAATTATACCTAGACATATCATAATCCATGTGCTGAAAACCAAAGACAAAGAAAAAAATCTTGAAAGAAACCGAGAAAAATGACCCTTTACATTGGAAAAAACAATTCAAGACTGGATTTATTCTCAAACACTACAGAGGTCAAAAGATAGCAGACTATATTTAAAGTGCTGAAAGAAAAGAACTGTCAAGCCAAAATTCTATATCCTGTGGAAGCATCTTTCAGAAATGACAGTAAAATGAAAAAATTCTCAAGTGAAGAAAAACTAAGAACTGATTGCCAGCAGAAATGCTTTTAAATGTTAAAGGAAATTCTTTAGGCTGAAGCAAAGTGACCCCAGAAGGAAATCTGGAACTTGAGTAATGAAACAAGAACAACAGAAACAGTAATTTACTATTACTACCAAATGTAGGTAAATACAACAGATGTTTTTTTCTCTTCTGAAATTATTTAAAATATGTATGGTGATTGAGAGCAAAAATTCAAACATCACCAGAGGTTTTCAAGGTATGTGAATTGTGATTGGCAGAATAATATTTATCCCTCTGCCAAAGCTGTCCATGCTCCAATCCCAGAACCAGTGAGTGTGTTAGCCTACCTGGTAAAAAAAAAAAAAAAAAAACTGTGTATGTGTGATTAAGAATCTTTAAATGATGAGATTATTCTAGATTATGTGGGTGGGACTAATGTAATCACAAGGATCCTTTACGTGAAAGAGGGAGGCATGAGGGTGTTGAGAGTTAGAAAGATTTGAAGATGATACCTTGCTGGTTTTTAAGATCTGTGAGCCAAAGAATGCAGGCAGTCTCTAGAAAATGGAAGAGGCAAGGGACCTAATTCTCCCCTGAAGCCTCCAAGAGGAATGCAACTCTGCTGACACCTTTTAGCAGTGTTGGATTTCAGACCAGTAAAATCCACTTTGGACTTCTCACCTCCAGAAGTATACAATAATAAATTCGAGTTGTTTTAACCCACCAGGTTTGTGGTGACGTGTTATAGCAGCAATAGGAAATTAATACATAGAACTTGTAATGCATATGGCAACTATAAGATAAAGGGGTGAAGGTAAAGGGAAATACATAGTAGTAAGACTGTTGTTTTACTTGAAGTGTTAAAAAAGTAGAATACGGAACAGAATAGAGGATTCTGAAATAGATCCATATATATATGACCAACTGATTTTTGACAAAGACCCAAAAGCAATTCAATACATGAAGTTTAGCTAACAGCCTTTTCAACAAATGGTGCTGGAGCAAGAAGTTATCCAGAGGTAGAAAGGAAAGGGGAAAGAGAAGAGAGGAAAGGAAAGGAAGGGACAAGAACTTCTGTCTAACGTTACACAAAAATTAACTCAAAATGGATCATAGACTTACATGAAAAATGTAAAGCTAAAGCTATAAAACATCATAAAATCCTTGAGATCTAGGGCAAGGTAAAGAGTTCTTAGACTTGACACAAAAAGCATAATCCATGAAAGAAAAAATGATAAACTAGATGTCATCAAAATTAAGGGGATGAAAAGTCAAGCTACTTATTAGGAGAACACAGAAACCACACATCCAACAAGGAACTAGTAGCTAGAATATATAAAGAATTCTCTAAATTCAACAGTGAAAAAAACAAGCAAGCCATATGGAAAATGGGCAATAAAAATACATCTCACAGGAGATGACATATAGATGGCCAGTAAGTACATGAAAAGATGCTCAACATCAATAAGCATTAGGGAAATGCAAATTAAAACCACAAAGAGATACTAATACACAGCTCTTAGAATGGCTTAAAACCACCACATATGCCTGACAGTACTTGGTACTAATGAAGAACTAGAACAAGTAAAACTTCCATACATTGCTGGTAGGAATGCAAAATGGAACAGTCATTTTGGAAAACAGATTTCTTCCCTATAAAATGAAAGAAATTTTGTAATTTATATAAGGAACATAAGTAACCATGGACTTTGGTATCCATAATGGCAGGGAGTGGGGAGGGTCTGGAAACCAATCCCTTCTGGATACCAAAAGATAACTCCACTTAGGCGTAAATTTAACCAAGATCTGTATAATGAAGACTATAAAACATCACATCAAACACTGACCTAGTAATCCCACTCCTAGGAATTTACCCAAGAGAAATGAGTCTGGGTGGCTGCGGCTCACATGTGTAATCCCAACACTTTAGGAGGCTGAGAGGCAGGAGGATCACTTGGGCCCAGAAGTTTGAGACCAGCGTGGGTAACACAGTGAGATCCTGTTTCTATAAAAAATTTAAAAAATAGCACCTGTAGTCTTAGCTTCTTGGGAGGCTGAGGTGGGAGGATCACTTGAGCCCCAGGAGTTCATGGCTGAAGTGAGCTATGACTGCACCACTGCACTCCAGCCTAGGTGACAGAGTGAGACCCTGCCTCAAAAAACAAAAAACCAGAAATGAAACTTTACATTCATATAAAACCTGCACATAAATATTTACGGCAACTTTGTTCATTACTTTCAAAAGCAGAATAAACTAAATGTCCTTCAACTGGTGAAGGGATAAATCAAAACTGCTTCAGACACCTATTATGCAACTCTCAGGGAGTAACGTCACTGAAGCTACCTCCTTGCCCAGGCCCACCCCATCTAAAGCCACTGGACAAGTAACTGTTCTCCTGGGATAACTGATCTCTCTGGAGTAGTCCAACCCTTTTTAATCAGTTCCCAACTTATTTTGGAATATATCTGAGATAACACCAGCAAAGGTAGTACAAGGCAATGCTCTGAATAAAATGACTCTGTGTTTTCTTCTGGTTCACAGTATTCCTGGACATTAATCACCAAAGCTTAAGAAACTAGCCTAAAAATCCATCAGTCAGGGCATCTACAGATAAAAACAAAGTCAAGAAATGGAAGAAAAAGAGAAAATGAGGCTGGGCATGCTGGCTCATGCCTGTAATCCCAGCACTTTGGGACACTGAGGCAGGCGGATGGCTTGAGCTCAGGAGTTGAAGACCAACCTGGGCAACCCCGTTTCTACCAAAAAATTAGCTGGGCATGTGGTGTGTGCCTACAGACCCAGTTACTCAGGAGGCTGCAGTGAGCTGAGACTGCACCACCACACTCCACCCTGGCAGACAAGAGTGAGACCCTGTTTCAAAAAAAAAAGAATAAAGAAAAGAAAATGAAATAAAGAAATGACTAATTTTAAACCCTAAGTTTAGATTGAAATGCTCCGGTTTAGAGCAGAATAAAATAATTTCATGGCACTGTTGACTGAATGCAAAGGTGAAAATCTGTAACTGAATTCTGCTCACACTTACTAAAAAGGTATGTAGCTTAACCTATCTATTCCTCAATGTTTTTACTAATATAACTGAGAAAAATAAACGATATCTTGCAACCCTGTCATATGGTAAAATATAATTGTAGAACAAAGATTAATAAAGAATTAGGGGATGGGCTCAAGTGAAAGCTACTTAAGGAATGCCACTGACTCCTTCTGAAGCTCAGATCCTGAATCCCTACAGTCCAGAATATGGTTGTTCAACAGCAGCACTACTGATACTTTGGGCCAGCTAATTACCGGGGAGAAGGTGGCTGTGCACTTTAGGTTGTTGAACAGCACTTCTGCCTTTACCAACTACATGCTAGTAGTGACCACTCTCCCCCTTCCCTGCCCATTCCCTAATAGGGATAACCAAAAATGTCCCATGGGGACTGATCCAAAATGCTCAGCGGGAAGTGTAAAGGGAGCATGGAAGTGAAATGCTATATTGTGTGGCCGAATGCCCCTTCAGGGCCAAGTGCCCTATATGGGAATCCAGGA
The DNA here is from genome assembly GCF_000001405.40 of Homo sapiens. Taxonomy (NCBI): domain Eukaryota; kingdom Metazoa; phylum Chordata; class Mammalia; order Primates; family Hominidae; genus Homo; species Homo sapiens. The sequence continues at coordinate 78,491,433 of NC_000011.10, forward strand.
ATATTACTAACTGCTGATGGTTTATAGTTGAGTGCTTCATCAGGAACTGTCGAGACCCAAAGGTACTGCCTTACTCAAGGTTATGCCCCTTCCAGTGGCTAATCACATCCAATGATTGGTTGATATGGGAAGGCACAAAGTGCTAACGCCTTGCTTTTAGATGGGACAACTGTTCCCATCTGGTTTAGGACCATTCCAGTTCCAAAGTTCTTCACAGAAGAAGCTAAGGCCTCTGTTTGTAAATGGATCACAGTTCACACTTCCCACTGTTCAATGTGACTTTCTTCCTTTCCTTATGAATACTGTTCTCAAGAGCACTCCCTAATAACGCCCCTGCCCACACATCTCTGCCTTAGAGAGTTTTGTTTACTAGGAAATCCAACTCAAGACAGGGTAATAAAATAATTAGTCTGTTCTATTTGTGATATATATGGTATTTATGTTTTAAGTGGAAATAGGTCATTTACTGGGTAAGAGTAGAAAGACATAGAAATGAACAGAAAGGAGAGTTGATGAAAATCACTAAAATAAACATCCCATAATTACAAATCCAAACTAAGATAGTAACCACAATGCTTCTGAATAGACAATTCATAATTTAACAGTTAACAATTCCTGGGTATTTACTAAGTGCCATAAATTATGCTAAGTACTTCATATATATATATATATATATACAGACACACACACACACACACACACATATATAGATTTTATCTACCTGATCTTCTCAAGTAGCCTATAAAGTAGGAATTTTTATTCCTATGTATTGGAATTTTGATGAAGACACTGAGGCCTAGAGACATTAAGTCCCTTGTCTAAGTTGGTCACATAGCATGTGAGTGGTTAAGCATCAAATCTTGGTCCATTCAATTCCACTTGTGTGCACTGTCTGGATTATGTCTACAGCCTCCTAACAAGGCCTCTCTACTTTTATCTACCTCTAAATCATTGTTCATATTGCTGCTAAAAAGATGTGCCTAAAATATAGCTCTGACCTTCATTTTCCAATTTAGAACTCTTGCTCCTTAAATTTTGGGTAAAGTTCAAACTCCTTACTATGGCACTGAAATACAAGGTCTTTCATGATCTGTTGCCTGACCATGACCATCTCTCCAGCCTTGTCCCCTGCTCAACTGAGCTGATAGCTCCTGTGGATGCTTTCTAATATAGCTACATAGGGGTTTATGTAAGTATTACAGACATTTATATAATTATAAAGATGTTTGGTATATTTTCCTAGCAAATCAGAGCTACTATTTAGTGAACCTGCTTGTGTTCCAGACCCCATGCTATATGCATTATATTATATATACAATTTCATTTACCCCTCACATAACCTTAGGAGTAAGCACAATTATTCTCATTTTAGAGTTGAGGAACCTAAAGATCATGAAAGTCAGGGAACTTCATAGCAAAGCTAATGGCAGAGCTGGGATATAAACTTAAATCTGTCTGACTCTTGTATTTTAAACTATTACAGTAAAGGCATTCAATAAGTGTTTATTAAGTAGTTACCCCTTCTTTTCACTTTATGAATACCTGTAACACATAAACGTCCGAGGTAAAAATATATACAGAAACATTTTAATGTCACAGATACCTGGTATTTTAAAACTTGTGTACCTACCTGCATAAGATCTTGAAGGCTGTCAACAAAAGAAATCTCTGCTTCTATCATATAAAACTCTGCCAGGTGCCTCCGGCTCTGAGAATTTTCAGCTCGGAAGGTCGGACCAAAGGTAAACACTTGAGTAAAAGCTCTGCAATTCAAGATTAAGAGAATGCAAATAGAATTCACATGATTAATTTTAAGTATTTAAATATTCAGTGAGCTCTTACGGAAAATAAAGTTTTGTGTGCCTCTGTCTTGTCCACAGACTGACACATATTTGCTGCTACATATTTCTCTAATAGGTGATAATAACAGTTTCATTAAAAATGTTACATTGAGGCTGGGCACAGTGGCTCAGGTCTGTAATCCTAGCACTTCCTGGGAGGACTGCTTAAACTTAGGAGTTCAAGACCAGCCTGGGAAACATGGTGAAAATTTATCTCTACAAAAAATCCTTTAAAATAGCTAGGTGTGATGGCCTGTGCCTATAGGTCCAGCTACTTGGGAGGCTGAGGCAGGAGGATCGTTTGAGTCCAGGAGGTGGAGGCCACAGTGAGCCATGTTCATGCCACTGCATTCTGGCCTGGGCGAGAGTGAGATCCTGTCTCAATAAATGAACAAACAAACAAAAAAAAAAAAGAAAAAAAAAAGTTACATTTATAGAAACCATTTTATCCTGAAGGAATCTGCAACTGCTTCACAAATCCTATGGTTTTACTAAATATAGAAACATAACCACTTCTGGGTGCACTCTACTGCAGCTGCCTTAAAACAGCAGGCAACTACATTTCACAGCAATCAAGAACAAAGTAAAGAAAAAAACACCGCAGCCCAAGAAACCCCACAGAAAATCTAGATAATAACAGTGAAAACTAGAATTTCATGTAGATAAGGTGTGTTCATTTATTTTTTAAACACAAGAAAAAAGAACGTCAGATACATATTGCAGTTCACCTTGTTCAAAGCCCACTCAAGTCCTTGACGACCACCTGTCTTTCAATCAATGGTGAATGACCCCTGAAATGTGGAGGTGAGAGATTTTGAGGAACTACTTTATTCCCTTGATTCCAGAGGACTATAGCTCAACCATCCAAATGGGGAGAAAAATCCCTTATTCTTAAACTCCTATAGTGAAGTGGACACTACATCCGTCATTCTTTAATACTTATTGTTTCCCTCACATTCAAACCAAGTAACAGCTGAGATTAGATCAAGCACATATGAAGTAATAAATATTTCTTGAGGACTTAATCTTTAAATGTTAAGGTTTTGTTAGAACAAAGCAAGCTGTTTGAGGCTCCTTAGCTATGATCCTTGATCCTGAGCACACCTAATCTGTCATTTAGCCAAATAATATTAAGATCAGAAAACTTAGTGTAGAAAATAGATGGATTTTGTATATATATAAGTTTTTTCTTTTTCTTTTTTTTTTTTTTTTTAGTAAAGATACTCTGGGAAAGGAAACATAAAGTAACTATGGTGAAAACCAAGAGATTTACTTCTCTCTCAATTGCCATTTCAGTAAGACCCAATTGGTAGAAGCTTAGGAAGTTATATTTTGGTTCTACAGCTACCTTCCTAAGACCATGATCTGCTAACCTGAGAACCTTAGTTTTTATTGAAAAAATAAACAGTAGGAACTCAAAAATATTACTATGGTTGCCTTTCTTCCAAGATTCAGCTACAGACTTGCCTACTAGAATGTTTTGAAAAAGACTAAACCTACCTTATGCAGAATGAAAATTTTGACCCTGTTCCCCAAAACAAACAAAAGACAAAATGAACAATCCTGCCTTTCTTTTTACATTTCCTCCAGCTCTGTTAATCTCAGTTAATCCACCAACTCAACCAAGACAGATCCCACATTCCCCAGCTTATTACATGGCCCTTATCATTTTGATCACAAAATTTAGTTGTTTACACCTTGGAAAACTCTGAAATCTCGCAGCTTTTCTCTATCTCCACAGCTATTGTCAGTGTAAACCTTTGTCTACTGCTTAGAAAATAACAGCTTTTTAACTGGTGTCTGGCACCTGTCTTCCTCCAGTCCCAAACTATAGGTTTCCAAACTCAAATCTGATTATGTCAGCCCTAATTTTAAAATCTTCAATGATTCCTTAGTACCAAAGAATAAAATTCTAACTCCTAATTTCAACTCAGTTCTTTCCCACACATCCTTTTATCCAGCCACTCTGAAGACCTTCTCCTTTCCTAGCGTGTCCCATGCATGTCCTTTAGTTTTTGCATAGGCTCTTCCCTACCCTGTATTGCCTCCTCCCCTGCTCCTCTACCCTCCAAATAGAAAATTCCCATTCATCCTTCAATACTTGGCTCAACTGTCACTTCCCCTTTGAATCCTTACCATTCCCCCAAGTTTATTGCTCCCTCTCGTATATTACTATAACACTTTTTCATATTTATTATATAGAACATATCACTTTGAAATGTAACTATCTAAGTTATTTTTCTCCCCCAGCGTTTTCCAGAACAGGAATCATGTTTTATTCATATTCGCATCTCTAGTGCCTAAGATAAAACAGGTGCTCATGCTGAATGAATGAGTACTAATGATGATGACAGGCTTCCTCAGTTGTAAACTAAAAAGCACATCCTCACAAACGGTAACATTACAAATATAGAAAAATACTCAGATATATGTCACTGACGCCCTCAGTACCTAAAAGGGGTCAAACAATCCAGGTCTGGCCCAAACAATAAATTCAACAATTACAAGGCCCTGAGTTTCCAATCTGTGACTGTGCCATCTCTAGGTAGGTTGGCAATAGTACAGTACATCTAAATAAGTAAAATGACATTTCTGGTACTTTATCACAAGAAATTGTGTGTATACTTATGGAGCACAGGATGCTCCAAGATGAGCAGCAATAGGGATTTTTAAATTTTGCAGTGGTTAATGATTTTCCCTGGCAATGCAGGGCAAGGTCTCTAGTATAAAATACAGAAGAGGCTCAATAATTTTTATTTCAATTATAGTAAGGATCAGGCTCTGACTGAGGTATCTGAGAGTTAAATATCATTTTGATAGAGTAAGAACTAATGACCACAGTGCTTCCTCTAAAGTAACAGAGTGATAAAATGAACTGGAAGGTATGTTGAAAAATTGCGTAAGAAAGCATCTAATCTTTAAGCAGATGAATGTTTAAATAATTCAATAATGATCACCCTATGTCAGTATCCAAAGATACTGTTCAGTATCAAGTGTTCTATTATAAGTAATAGTAGCAATAGTAGTAGTAGTACTAGTGGTTACCATTATGGAATGATCATTATGGGCCAAGCACTAAATGGACAAGAACCTTAGAGTTAATCCCTTCATAGTTAACTCAGTCTACGTATGTATTAATACACTTATCTTCCAGAATAAGAAACTGCAGTTCAGATGGGTTAAGAAGCTTTCCCAAAAGTCAAAGTCATAGCTTAGTAAATGGTGGAAGCCAAACTCAAATCCACATTTCTGACTCTAATGCTCATAGCCTTAACCATGATACTAACAACAATGATGCTCAAAACAACACTGCAAACTCAGAAAATTAGAAAGAAAAATTTTTAGTATATTCCCCCTTCTCAAAGATAACTAGGGGAAGCAGTTTGGCATATTATGAATAGCTTGTTTTACGTGTTAAAATACAGCTCTCTAGAATGTTATCTTCATGAAAATAATGAGAATGATATATTCTCGTCAATACTTTGTAATCTTTAGCAAGTTATTTAGCTTTTCTGGTCTTCAAATCCTTATAGGAGTAGGGGTTGGGGACAGCTTGGCATTGATCTCTACTGTCTTTTGCAATAATTTTGTCTCTAGCTGCATGTGGAATCACTTCTATTTTAATTTATGTTTCTTTCTTTCTTTTTTCCTATCTTCCACAGACATGAAAGCCATTTGCAGCAAAGACTGAACCAACCAACATTTAAATAAAATCTGAGAACAAGGCCATTTCTAAAATAAGATACAAAACCAGGTGAAAGGCCAGTATTGCTCTGAGAAGAGACCAGGAGAAAAAGAAAACACTCGGCACTAAGAATCATTCTTGTGCCAAACTATGAAGAGAGGAAAGCTATATAAGGAAAATCCATGAGCTTGGAGTTAATGTTTAGTATAACAAAAGTACATTCAATACACATCAACCTAGATAGCTACAAAAATGGCTCTTTGGAAAATAAAAAGCAAAATTGAAAAAAAAAAAAAAAAAAAAGGTTCTACAAAGTTCACTTTCTCCCGTGTATGGAGTTTTATGAAGCCCTCAAGATGGCAAATAGATTAATATAAAGTGGTCACTGATTGCCTGGCCATTTATTCTTTCTGGCCCTGAAATTTCACAGTGAATCTTAACATTTTGAAAGAACAGAGGAACTGCTATTCTTTAGTTTGGGAAGAACTTATTCAGCATAAGACTGATCAGCAACTTTCACTACACCCTTCCCAAACCACCCCCAACCTCCATATCACTTCTTTACTGTTAGTTTAGTAAAAGTTCATTGACCTTAAGTGAACTCCCAGAAAACTATTAAACTGGATTTTAAAAGTTTTTGCCAAGTGCTTTTCTCATCATTCAGGAAAATGAACATCTATTTTACTACTGTTTTGTGTTCACTGGATTGTCAATACTGTGATATATTTTGCATTCATTATTTCTACATGCCTAAAAGAGTAGACTCCAGATACCCCCTTTTCAGCTTTCCCCTATCTGTCCACCATGCAATACACTTGGTGGAAAGGGATTATAAAAGAGATGCAGCCTTCACCATTTCAACAATCATGTCATGTCAAGATGCCTTAGGGAGGGTGAATTCTAAATTCTAAAAATTCTTATCTTTATTGCCAAAAACTTGTGCCAAATAATTTCCTTTAACATGTTCTTAATATTTTTTTTGGAACTGAATTTGAGACCCAAGCAAAATTTAATCTAAATTATATGATGAAATTCCAAGTTTGACAGAGTCTGACAACAATCCTGCTAAAGGGGGAGGAAGGTTAGCTAACCATCTGAGGAGATGACATGTGAAAAGAACATTCTAGCAAAGCAAACACCAACACATAGGTCCCAAGGTAGGAAGGAGCCTGACATGTTTAAAGAATTTAAAGAACAGGTGTAGGCCAGTAGCAGGATCAATGATAAGAGATGGTGGAAAGGACCAGAACATGCAGGGCCTTCCTTGTAAACACAGTAAGCAGTGACCAGATTTTATTTGATACACCTTGAAATACCCTCGCCTCTTGAAACATTTAACACTATTTTCCTAGTACTGTCCTCGTTTTCCTTCTAAATACTGCTCTGACCTCTATTTCTGCCTCCTTTTACATGCCGCTTTAGCTGTTCATTAAGCAGTAGCACTCCTCCAAAGTTACCCCTAGAACCTTTAACTTTTCTCCCGATACTTTTCCTTATATGATTTCCCTTGGCCAATGATTTCAGTTAACTACTTACTGGCACACACAAATTTATACCTTCTAACCAGCCCTCTTCTCTAAGTTCCAAAAGTATATATCCATCTGCTTATTTGGTCCTTCCACTTGTCACAAACTGAACTCATGTCTCCCCCCAGCTTCCACTTTGATTTCAGTCGTCTCCCAACCTTCCTAGGCCAATCTTCCCAATACGCTCTTTTTTTTTTTTTTTCCTGTTGGTTTGGTGAAAAAACCAATATGCTCTTTAATAACACCAAGTACTACTTACTGTTCACAGCACCTTTCAAAATAAAAAATTTACATCAATCGATGTGATTATTTAACATCCATCTCCATTATATTGAAAATTTCATGAGCGACTATATACATATATATATATTTTATTTGGTTCATTATGGCATCCTCATCCTCAGTCTTTTTTTTTTTTTTTTTTTTTTTTTTGAGATGGAGTCTCGCTCTGTCACCCAGACTGGATGACACGATCTCGGCTCACTGCAGTGGCACGATCTCGGCTCACTGCAAGCTCCACTACCCAGGTTCATGCCATTCTCCTGCCTCAGCCTCCCGAGTAGCTGGGACTACAGGCGCCCGCCACCACGCCCGGCTAATTTTTTGTATTTTCAGTAGAGACGGGGTTTCACGGTGTTAGCCAGGATGGTCTTGATCTCCTGACCTCGTGATCCGCCTGCCTCGGCCTCCCAAAGTGCTGGGATTACAGGCGTGAGCCACCGCGCCCGGCCCATCCTCAGTCTTAATCTAGTGCCTAACACATACTAGTCAATATTTGTCAAATAAGTAATTCTTCTTCTATAAAATATGCTGATCCCCAAATTGCACTTTTTTTAAGAGATGGGGTCTCCTATGTGGCCCAGACTGGACTCCTGGGGTCAAGTGACCCTCCTGCCTCAGGCTTCCAAGAAGGAGGAATTACACATGCCCACTATGGCACCCAGCTTCCCAAATGAATATTTGAAACAGCAGTGGGATGGGATTAAGGGTAGAAAAGGAAGGTAAATAGAATATCAATTACTAAACAAAAAATAATTCTGTTCTGCGAAATAATAGTTCACAGAAGGCACTAGAGAGTAACAGCATCAGTTTTTAAAAACTGTCACATATTTTTGCTCTGTCAACAAGAAAATCTTTGAAAAGGACTAGAGCGGGTGAACTGCTCTAATTAGAACAAATTTTAAATTAACTATAACATTACTACAAGAAAATAATTATCCTAGTCTATTCTATGTAAACACAGCAGTATATGATTCTTTGGCTCCTGAGTGAAATGCCACTTCATTCCTGCAACAATGGACTCTTCAGGACTGACTGGATATGGGGGCTTAGAAAATAACATTATTTGAAAAGGTCACAAATTTGACTGTTCTTTCTAACTGAATATTTATCCTTATGTCTCAATAAGACACTAAAATTACCTATATAATTTTGTCAACGGCACTTACTCGTGTCGAAATTATCCCTCTTACACCTCTCATATTTAGTGGTCCTTGCTCTGAGGACCACTAAAGAGAACAACATGTAAGTACTTTACTTTAGTTACATGTACTACATAGTGTTTAAGTGTTATTTAAGTCTACAAATATTTCAAAGGTTCCCTTTTCTCAGGCCTGATACTACAGAGGTAGAGGAGTCATTATAGCATTGAACTATCAACAATTTCCTGGACTCAAGTCCTGTCCAGATGACTCACTTTTTTAAGGTTATGGTACTGATTAAGAACATGTAGTCTAAAGACCCAAGCTGAAATCATGGCTCCTCCACTTATGAACAAACTAAGTTCTTAATTTCTGTAAGACTAAATTTCCCCATGCAAAGATGAGGGTGAGTATATAAATGTCATGGAGGTTATTATAAAGATGAAATGAAATAAATACATCAAAAGGTTAACCTAACACCAACTATATGGTAAGAGAACAAATGGATCAAAGTTACTTTTTGTCTCCTTCCTTTCCATCGGGCTACAGTTTGCATTTGCTTGATTTTATTTATTTATTTTTTTTTGAGGCAGGGTCTTGCTCTATCACCCAGGCTGGGGTGCAGTGGCACAAACACAGCTCACTGTAGCCTCAACCTCCTGGGCTCAAGCAATCCTCCTGCCCCAGCCTCTTGAGTAGCGAGGACCACAAGCATGTGCCACCAAGCCCAGCTAATTAAAAATTTTTTTATAGATGGGGGTTTCACCATGTTGTAAAGATCCCTTTACACTTCAAATTATTGTAGATCTCAAAGAAATTTGGTTTATCTAGGTTGTATCTACCAACGTTTACTACTAAAATTGATAAATTAAAATTATGTTTGTGTTACTTAAAAATAATGACAAGGCCGCACACGGTGGCTCATGCCTGTAATCCAAACACTTTGGAAGGCCGAGGCGGGTGGATCTTTTGAGGGCAGGATTTGAGACTAGCCTGGGCAACATGGTGAAACCCCGTCTCTACAAAAAATACAAAAATTAGCCAAGCGTGGTGGCATGCGCCTTTAGTCCCAGCTAGCTGGGAGGCTGAAGCAGGAGGATTGATTGAGCCTGGGAGGTTGAGGCTGCAGTGAGCTGTGATAATGTGACTGTGCTCCAGCCTAGGTGACAGAGTGAGACCCTGTCTCAAACACACATACACACACACAAAACAAAAACAATGACAAGTCCATTATGTGTTACAAATAACATATTTTTTATGAAACATAATTTTTTCCCAAAACAAAAAAATTAGTAAGAGGAGTGACACTGCTTTACACTTTTATAAGTTTCTTTAATGTCTGGCTTAACAAAAGGTGGCTAGATTCTCATACCTACATTTGCATTCAATCTGTTGCACTATCACATGCCATGAAGACTGGAAAATACTGTATATAAAATCTTGAGACAATGAGAATGAAAAAGGCAGTTACTGTCTTAGTATTAGAAAATAGTTTCAACTTCAAGGATTCCCCTGAGAGGATGTGAAGCCCCAGAGATATCCAGACCATATGCTGAGAACCACTATCTTTGGCAATGGTTCTTAATGAAGAGTATTAGTTCAGGGCTCTACCTCTGAAGACCTCTCTTCAGAAAGTCTAAGAAGGGTCCTGGTCACGGATATATTTAAAAGCTCTACTAGTAATTATGATGTGAATCCTGATAAAGAAATACTGCCCTAAAAAAGGTTTAGACCTCTAATTAATATACTTTTTAAAAGGTTTTTTGATGGCTAAATTTTGAAAATAAAAAATAACAATGTTGGCAAGGATATAGAGATACTCCTTGTATACTGTTGGTGTAAACGTGAAATTGTATAACTGTTATGGAAAACAATTTGGTGGCTGCTCAATAAATTAAACATAGAATGACCCAACTATTTCCTCCTGAATGTATACCTCAAAGAAATAATAAAGACAGGTATTCAAACAAAACTTTGTACATAAATGTTCATAGTGGCATTATATAGCCAAAAAACAGAAATAACCCAAATATTCATCAATGAATGAATAAACTAAATGTGGTATATTCATACAATGGAATAATTTTCAGCCATAAAAAAGAAATACTGATATATGCTATAACATGGATGGAAACACTAGGCTAAGTGAAAGAAGCTAGACACCAAAGGCCACATACTATATGATTTCCTGTATATGAAATATCCAGAAAAGGCAAATCTATAAAAACAGAAAGCAGAAAGTGGTTGCCAGGGATTGGGTGGGGAGGAAATGGAGAGTACACTATTTTACATGAGTTGTTATAACAAAATATCACAGACTGGGTGCCTTAAACAACAGAAATTAATTTTCCTGCAGTTCTAGAGGCCGGAAATCCAAGACCAAAGTGACAGCAGGGTTGGTTTCTGGTGAAGCCTCTCTTTCTGGTTTGCTGAAGGCTGCCTTCTTGCTATGTCCTCATGTGGATTTTCCTTTGTGCACAAGCACCCCTGGTATCTCTTCTTATATGGACACCAGTCATACTGGATTATGGTTCTACCCTTATGTCCTCATATAACTTTACTTTTTAACAGTACTATCTTCAAATACAATCACATAGGGGTTAGGACAATACAACATATGAATCCTAGGGGAGAGGCAATTCAGTACATAACAGAGAACAACTGCTTTACGGGTATGGGCCTTCCTTTTGGGGTGACGGAAATGTTCTGGAACTAGACAGTGATGTTGGTTGTACAATGTCACTAATGGTAAATTTTATCTTATGTGTATTTTGCCACAACACATTTTTTAAAAGTTGACTGAGGCCAGGCGCGGCGCCTCACGCCTGTAATCCCAGCACTTTGGGAGGCCAAGGCACGTGAATCAGCTGAGGCTGTCAGGAGTCTGAGACCAGCCTGGCCAACATGGTGAAACCCTGTCTCTACTAAAAATACAAAAATTAGCCAGGCGTGGTGGCATGCCACTGTAATCCCAGCTACTTGGGAGGCTGAGGCACAAGAATTGCTTGAACCCAGGAGGCGGAGGTTGCAGTGAGCCAAGATCACACCGCTGCACTCCAGCCTGGGTAACAGAGTGAGACTGTCTCAAAAAAAAAAAAAAAAAAAGGTTGAATGACGAGATTGTCTATCAAGCACTTTACACACATTTCATTTCATCCTTGCTACCCTATAAGAGAGGTGATTTCATTCCATTTTATAACTTCAGAAACTGAGGCTTAGACAAGTGAGTAAATAGTCCAGAGCACCACAATCAAAGCTGCTTTAACATAAGCAGTCCAAATCCAGGGCCCACTTACTGTACTGCTGCAAGTGTGCACTCTTAAAAAGTAAAAAGTTCAGCACAGATGCTGAATGGTACACTGAGCTCCTTCACCCAGACTGGAGTGCAGTGATGCAATCTTGGCTCACTGCAACCCCCGCCTCCCAGGTTCAAGCGATTCTCCTGTCTCAGCCTCCCGAATAGCAGGGACTACAGGCGCGTGCCACCACGCCCAGCTAATTTTTGTATTTTTAGTAGAGGCGGGGCTTCTCCATGTTGGCCAGGCTGGTATTGAACTCCTGACCTCAGGTGATCCACCCGCCTCAGCCTCCCAAAGGGCTGGGATTACAGGCATAAGCCACCATGCCCAGCCTGATCTAGCTCTTCTAATTACCACTTATGATTGAAAGTAAAAGGCACAGATAATTGATACGAAAGGTAGTATTTCATAAAAAGGGTACACTTGCAGAGGCCTATATACTATGAATGAAATAAAAATTTTCTAATACTCTTGACAGACTCCAAATCAAACAGAGCTTGGTTTATGAACATAAAAGCACAAAGGAACCATCAAAAAGTAGAAATAGGCAAACTGCTTTTACAGAAGGAGTTAGCCTATAGAAAGAATATATGAAAAATCCCTCTTCATTTTCCCTGAATTGGAGGAGTAAGAAGGAGGAGGAGGAGGAGAAGGAAGAAGAGGAAGAATGGCATGCTCTGCCATGCCAGGCCTTGTAGGCTGCATGAATACTAAAAATGAACACTCTTAATGATAGGATCATGGGATGACCTATACAAAAGGCAGAGAAACTCTGGGTTGAACTATTTGAACCGTTATCTCCAAATTCCCAAGTTACAGCCAACCCTCCACAGCTATATAGGAAATACCAGTATCATCAAATCATACATATATTTTGGCTAAGAAAACTTCTGAGATAACTCTTTCTACAGTAGTCCCTAAAATACTATCTGCCTAAAATTCAAATTTTTCCACTGAACTTCACACCATATTGTCCTAAAGGAGAATCAGGAGGAAAGCCCAGAATAATTACCCAGTTGAAGAAACTAAATAAAAGTCCCTAAAGAATGTTCCAGAAACAAAAAACAAGTCTCTACCTCCTGATCTTTATCCTAATTCACATGCTAAATCCACCTCTTAAATGTGAAATAAGGCTGGCTTGGGTTTTGCATATTCTCCAACTGTAAAGATCTATGTGACACATGTCTGTTTATCCGTCCCTTACACCTGTTTCATGTGGCAAAACACCAGTTTTTTTTTTTTTTTTTTTTTTCTGTGTAGGGTATATGTGGGAAATAAAATAGGAATTGACATCAAAATAAATAAAACTAATGTGGCTAGCAACGAATACATGTGACTAAGCTTATTTGTTATCAGCTTTTACTTGTGAGAGGGAAGGAAAACCATGACTGAATTTATTGGCAATTTTTTCTAAAGGAGCAAAGATAAAATTTCCTTTTATTTTCTGTAAAACACATACAAACACACATACACATATTATTTTTTCCTACAGTCTTTGTTACAGCACATCTTCTACAGCCTATGAGGCATTTCTATTAAGTGGTTCCCTAAAAACAAGCAAATATAACACCGGTGAAGAGAGAAATTTAATCTGTTCGTATCTATCAACTTTAGGGTGATCACAGGTCTTGGTTTGCCCAGGAAAAAACCATTTTATGCTGACTGCTCCAGAATAACTGTTATCAGCCCTCCCTTTCACTCTTTAAAGTGTCCTTGTTTAGATGCCCCAGCTCTGCCCCCAGAACTGCACTTAAGGTTGTTAGTGGGTTTCAGTGAAGTAAAATACACGGAAATGTTTCCGTGGTTTCTATAATTCATGCACACAGTTCACAGGTAAATTTTTACAATTTTGACTTAAAAAAAAAAAAACCACTAAATTTTCTGAATTCATAGCAAGAGAAATTCACACCCACTGCATGAAAATGTAAAATGAAGCCAGGAGTGGTAGCTCATGTCTGTAGTTCCAACAGTTTGGGAGACTGAGGAGGGAGGATCACTTCACCCTAGGAGTTTGAGACCAGCCTGGGCAACATAATGAAACCTTGTCTCTTAAAGAAAACAAAATACACACACACACACACACACACACACACACACACACACACACACACACACACACATACGTATGTATATATCTTATGTTAAAAGAGAAAAAGAAATTTCAGTTTCACATAATAAGGGTACTTTAAGATATCCTAACAGATCCAATAGCATAGTATTTCAAGTTTTTAAATGCATTTTCTGATGGAGTTTTTTTTTTTTAACTGATTTTTCCCCCCAACTAGAATATACTGGTGAACTAAATCAAAAGCATGGAAGTAATTCAAGCTCACAGGTTATAGCAGCAAAGAAGGAATGGATACAGAAGCTTAGGGCCTAGCTATCTGTCTGTATCTTATCATCATTATCTACCTGAAGTCATATTGATTTATTCATTCAACAAATATTTATTAGACTACTAATCACTGTGGAAAATACAGAGGTAAATCAGGTATGGCCTGTACCTTCAAAAAGTTTATAGACTAGCAGGGTCTTCCCTGACCTAAAAATACAAGCTAAGATATAAAATCCCTAGGAAAAAACATGGAAGAAAAATGTTGGCAATCTTTTGGACAGGATAAAGAAATTCATGAACCACATAAGAAAAAGACTATAATACACTAACAGAATAAGAAGCTTCTGGTCTTCAAAAAAACTATTTTAAAATGGAAAGAAAAGGCAGACTGGGGAAAAAAAGTACACCACCTATATCTGATAAAGGGCTTGTATCCAGAATATATAAAGAACTCTTACAACCCAATAATAAAACAAACAACCTAGTAAAAATTGGATGAAAAAAATTGAAAAGATAGTTCAAAAACAAGATATATGAACAGCCAGTAAGCACATGAAAAAAATGTTCAACAGTACTGGTCACTACAGAAATACAATTTAAAACCACAATGACATATCCTATACTCACTAGAATGACTATAATTAAAAATACGACATCATCTTTTGTCAAAGACGTGGACCAACCGGCATCCTCATCCACTGCTAGCGGGCATGTAAATAATACAATTACTTCAGCAAATTACTTGGTAGATTCTTACAAAGTTAAGCATTAACTTAATTCCTAGTTATTTACCCAAGGGAAATAAAAACATATGTCCACACACAGACTCCTGCATGAATTTTCAGAGAGCTTCATCATCACAATAGCTCCACACGCAGGAAACAACTAAGTATCAAACGACAGATGGATTGACAGTATTTTGGGAAGATGGCAGAGAAGAAACCACCAGGAATCTGTCTACCCACCTAGACAAGTGCACTAGTAGTATTTGTCTGATTTAACTGTTTTGTTTTGAGATGGAGTCTCGCTCTGTTGCCCAGGCTGGAGTGCAGTGGTGCAATCTCAGCTCACTGCTACATTCACCTCCTGGGCTCAAGCAATTCTCCTGTCTCAGCCTCCTGAGTAGCTGGGACTACAGGCAATGTGCCACCATGCCCAGCTAATTTTTGTATATTTAGTACAGACAAGGTTTCACCATGTTGGCAAGGCTGGTCTCGAACTCCTGACAGCCTCAGGCGATCCACCTGCCTCAGCCTCCGACAGTGTTGGGATTACAGGCATCCGCCACTGCACTTGGCCTGATGTAACTGTTTTTGAAACTTGCAGTCTATGGAATACCCGCAACTTCCAGAGAAAGGCTTATACAGTAAATTGTAGTTAGTTTTGGTCAATTTCAGCTCTTAGCACAGTAGCAGTTGCCCATACCCCTCTCCCAGCCCTGAGGGAGGCAGCTGTGCACGTCTTCCTGGAACCCCGTGCACACAGCTTGAGGGAGCTGAGTTGGAGAAAAAAGGATCCTCCAAATACTGGGAATCTAGGCCTAGATTGCTGATTGTGGTTTCTAATCACAGAGATACAGAGAGGCAGTCACCTCCTCTGATTGTTACACGCCCCTCCCCACCCCCCACCCTGCCCCGGTATTATTTAAAGAGCCAGCGGACTTCTCCACTTCATTTTTCTTTTATTTTCCTTTGGGAGTCAGACATTAAAGACTAGGATGGTCAAAAACAACTGCATATATGGGGAAAATGAGAAAGTGATGGCACCTGCCTAGGGAAAGAATCAGGCAGGCTCAGAAAGACCTGAGAAGACATTAAGTTTATACTTTGGGCTGAAGCCTGGCATAGAGACAGCCTTCAACAATTTAAAAAAGAAGTCCAAAAGAATAAATAAAAACAGCAAGCCCTGGGGAAGAGAGAGAATTTGATTTCCACAGTTCTCACATGATTAGATACAGATGCCCAGTTTTCATTTCTTTTATTCTTTTTTTTTTTTTTTGAGACACAGTCTTGCTCTGTTGCCCAGGCTGGAGTGCAGGGGCGCAATCTCTGCTCACTGCAAACTCCGCCTCCCGGGTTCACGCCATTCTCCTGCCTCAGCCTCCCGAGTAGCTGGGACTACAGGCGCCTGACACCATGCCTGGCTAATTTTTTGTATTTTTAATAGAGACAGGGTTTCACCATGTTAACCAGGATGGTCTCGATCTCCTGACCTCAGGATCCACCCACCTCGGCCTCCCAAAGTGCTGGGATTACAGGCGTTAGCCACTGGCACCCAGCCCAGTTTTCATTTTTAAAAAAATCACAAGGCATATAAAGAAAGATAAAAATATGACCCAGAGGGGAAAAATAAATCCACAGAAATTGTCCCTGAGAAAGATCTCAAGCCAGATCTACTCAAAAAAGATTTTTAAACAACTGTCTTAAAGACACTTAAAGAACTAGAAGATGTGGAAAAAGTCAAGAAAATGATGTATGAACAAAATGGCAATCTTAATAAAAAAAGAACACCTAGGAAAACAAAAGGAAATTCTGCAGCTGAAAAGTATAATTGAAATGAAAATTTCACTAGAAAACCTCAAAGGCAGATTTCAGCAGGCAAAAGAAAGAATCAGCAAACCTGAAGATAAGACAATGGAAATTATGGAGTCTGGGAACAGAAAGAAAAGACTGAAAAAAAATGAATAGAGATTAAGTGACCTGTGGGATACCACAACACGACCCAACATATGCATGTGGGAGTCTCGAAAGGAGAAGAGAGAAAAAGGCAAAGAGAGTATCTGAAGAAATATGTAATCTCAGTACTTTGGGAAGCCGAGGCGGGCAGACCACCTGAGGTGAGGGGTTCGAGAACAGCCTGGCCAACATGGTGAAACCCCGTCTCTACCAAAGATACAAAAATTAGCTGGGCATGGTGACACATGCCTGCAATCCCAGCTACTCAAGAGGCTAAGGCAGGAGAATCACTTGAACCCAAGAGGCAGAGGTTGCAGTGAGCTGAGATCATGACACTGCACTCCAGCCAAGTGACAGAGGGTGACTCCATCTCAAAAAAAAAAAACAAAAAACAAAAAAAAAACCATTGAAGAAATAATGGCTGAAAACTTTCCAAATCTGATGAAAGATATGAATGTATAAACACCCAAGAAGTTCAATGAACTCCAAGATGGTAAGATAACCTCAAAGAGGTTCATGCCAAGAAACATTATAATCAAACTTTTGCAAGCCAAACACAAAGAATCATGAAAGTAGGAAGAGAGAAGCAACTCATCTCATGTAAGGAATCTTCAATAAGATTATCAACAGGCCAGGCACAGTGCAATCCCAGCACTTTGGGAGGCTGAGGTGGGAGGATCACTTGAGGCACGGAGTTTGAGACCAGCCTGGCCAACAGGACGACATCCTGTTTCTATTAAAAATACAAAAATCAGCTGGGTATAGTGGTGCACGCATGTAGTCCCAGCTACTCAAGAGACTGAAGCAGGAGAATCACTTTAACCCAGGAGGTGGAGGTTGCAGTGAGCCAACAGCACTCCAGCCTGGGCAACAGAGTGAGACTCTGTCTTTAAAAAGGAAAAAAAAAAAAAAAAAGATTATCAACAGATTCCTCATCAGAAACTTTGGAAGCTAGAAGACAGTGGGCAGATACATTCAAAGTGCTAAAAGAAATGTCAATAAAAAATCTTATATTTGGCAAAACTGTCCTTCAAAAGTAAGGGAGAAAGTAAGACATTCCTACTTAAACAAAACCTAAAAGAGTTTGTTACTGGACATGCCCTGCAAGAAATGCTCAAGGTGGTCCTGCCGGGTGAAATGAAAGTACACTAGGCATTAGCTTGAAGCTATATAAAGAAATAAAGATCTTAATCAAAGTAAACACATGATTATAATTGTAAAGATTAATTTGATGCCTCATAATCAAATTATATAAACCTGATGCCTCAGGTGTATATAACTGCTCTGTTTGTTTTCTAACTGACTTAAGAAACTAATACACTTTAAAAAAAAACCTAAAACTAGTATTATTGCAAATTTTGGTTGTAAATCCACATTCTGTTTTCTACAGCTTTAATTTAAGAGGTTAATGCATTTCAAAGATTTATTCATGTATGTTTTGGGGCACACCTGTATAAAGATGTAATTTTGTGATATCAACAACTGAAAGGGGTGAAGAAGGGGCTGTTAAAAGTGCAGTCAAGAATCCCTTGAACTCAGGAGGTGGAGGATGCAGTAAGCTGGGATCGTGCCACTGCACTCCAGCCTGGGTGATGGAGTGAGACTCTGTCTCAAAAAAAAAAAAAAAAGAAAAGAAAAGAAAAGAAAAGAAAGTGAGAGTTTTTGTATGTTACTGAAGTTGAGCTGGTATAAATTCAAGTTAGATTGTTATAATTTTAGGATCTTCAATGTACTCTCCATGGTAACGACAAAGAAAATAGCTATAGAATATATGCAAAAGAAAATAAGAAAGAAATTTAAATGTTTCCCTACAAAGAACCAACTAAAGAAAAACACAGTAATGCAGAAAACAAGGGACAAAAAAGCTATAAAGTATATAGAAAACAAATAGCAAAATGAGAGAAGTTCCTCCTTACCAGTAATTACTTTAAATGTAAATGGATTAAACTCTCCAGTCAAAAGACAGAGATTGGCAGAATGGATTTTTTAAAATGACCCAATTATATGCTGTCTATAAAAGATTCACTTTAGATACAAAGAACAAATAAACTGAAAGTGAAAGGATGGAAAAAAAATT
Source organism: Homo sapiens (assembly GCF_000001405.40). NCBI lineage: Eukaryota > Metazoa > Chordata > Mammalia > Primates > Hominidae > Homo > Homo sapiens. Next base: position 78,510,292 of record NC_000011.10, read on the forward strand.
TTCCATGCAAATAGGAGACAAAAGAGAGCACGGGTGGCTATACTATTATCAAACAAAACAGACTAAATACAAAAGGGTTACAAGAAACAATGAAAGACATTATGCATTAATAGGTTCAATACAATCAGACACAACAGTTATAAATACTTACATACCTAATGATGGACCATCAAATATAAAGCAAAAAATGACAGAATTGAAGGGAAAAAACAGTTTTACAATACTATTGGAAACCTCTCAATAATGTAAAGAACCAGACAGAAGATAACTAAAAAGAGAGAGAGAGGACTTAATACAATAAAACCAGATCTAACAAACATATACAGAACACTCTTCAAATGATCAAAATTTTCATATGTGCATGTGTTATTTATTCAAACTAAAACTGAATATATATTCATTAAAAATGTGTGCTAGTGGTTATAAAAATTGTGAATGTACTTAATGTCACTGAACTACATACTTAAAATGGTACAACAAATGCAAAAAAAGAGAACGAATTAACAAATTTGATGGTATATCCATTCAGTGGGATAATATTCAGCAAAGAAAGGAACAAACTACTGGATAAATCTCAAAAGCATTATGCTGAGTGAAAGAAGACAGCTACAAAGAATAAATACCATACGATTTCATTTATATAAGATTCTAAAAAAACGAAAATCTAACCTATGGGGACAATAGATCGGTGGTTGCCTAAGAGCAGGGGTGGGGAAAGAGACTCGAGCCAAAGGAAAACAAGGAATTTTTTGAGTGACAGAAATAATTCTTTTTGTTGTTACTGTGGTTGTTTTTTGTTTTTTTCAGACAGGGTCTTATTCTATTGCTCAGGCTTCAGTGAAGTGATACAATCATGGTTCACTGCAGCCTTGACCTCCTAGGCTCAAGTGATCCTCCTTCCTCAGCTTTCTGGGTAGCTGAAACTACAGGCATGTGCCACCACGCTCAGCTAATTTTTAAAATATTTTGTAGAGATGGAGTCTCACTATGTTGCCCAGGCTAGTCCTGAACTCCTAGACTCAAGAAATCCCCTCGCCTTGTCCTCCCCAAGTGCTGGGATTACAGGTATAAGCCATGTCACCCAGCCTAATTCTATATCTTGATCATGGAAGTAGTTACTGAGGTGTAAGAATTTGTCAAAACAGGCCAGGCGCAGTGGCTTATGCCTGTAATCCCAGCACTTTGGGAGGCCAAGACAGGCGGATCACAAAGTTAGGAGATTGAGACCATCCTGGCTAACACAGTGAAATCCCATCTCTACTAAAAATACAAAAAATTAGCCGGGCGTGGTGGCAGGCGCCTGTAGTCCCAGCTACTCGAGAGGCTGAGGGAGGAGAATGGCGTGAATCCCGGAGGCGGAGCTTGCAGTGAGCTGAGATCGCCCCACTGCACTCCAGCCTGGGTGACAGAGCGAGACTCCGTCTCCAAAGAAAAAAAAAAAAAGAATTTGTCAAAACATGTATTTAAAATATATTTAAAACGATGTATTTTAAATGGGTTCATTTTTATTATAAAGTATACCTCAATAAAGTTGATTAAGAAACAACATTAACTGGTATGGGCTGGTTGAAGGTATTTAAAAAAAGAAAAAGAAACAAACAATGATAACAGGAATAACTTACCAATAAACTGGTTTATTCTGCTACTTAATTATTTAAACTATAATCTTGTTCCAACTATTGTATAAAAGCAGAAGTATCAGGCTCCAGGAACCCCAGAAGGGGCACAACAACAACGTCCTTCCAAGAACAAAAGAATCTGGAACATAGTGACACCTCATTGCCAACATAAATGACTACAGCTCTTAGGGCAGATTATACCCTAACTTGCTCTCACTTCTTAGTTCAGTTCTGACTTAGTCTTCAAACTCTGACAGTTAATTGATTTCTCTGTCTTAATTCTTTCCTCCATTCCAGGTGCTGATTTAGTTTAAACTTCTGATCTGTCTTGTGAGAGTCCTGAAACCCAGCAGCTTGTTCCAATCCTCTGCTTTGTATGAACTCCAGTTCTGTCAGTAATATAAAATAATTTGATTATTACCTGCCAGCTATTTCTTCCTGGCCACACTACCTTGGCTTTTCTCTGCAACTAGTCCTTTATAATTCACCCAAGGTTCTCCAGGACCCAGAGGCTCTCATTACCATCAACATAGCACCTAATATTTCAGTGCCTGCACAGGAGTAAACACTGGGCTTTACATGGTATCCAATGCTTACAGCAGCTCTGTAATGTGGCCACTATAATGTATTTTTATAGATTAGGAAGTGGAGGCTCGGTCATTAAGCTTATAAAACTAGTATATAAAGTAGCCAGAATTCCAATTTATCTCTGTACTGCATTTACCTCAACTAACACAATCATTCATTTGAACAAGATCAGTACTTTTTGGCAAGCATAACATTATCTTAGTAGCTACTTCATTCTCTAACAGCACTGGTCACCCTCTATATGAGACTATCTCATATTCTTTTAAAAAATTTTAAAATTTTTTAAATATTTTTAATTTTTGTGAATACATATTTATTCACAAATATGGGATACATAAGATATTGTGTACAGGCACTCAATCAGTAAAAATCACATCACGGAATATTGGGTATCCATTTCCTCAAGCATTTATTCTTTGTGTTACAAACAATCCAATTACATTTTTAGTTATATTAAAATGTACAATTAGGCCGAGCACAGTGGCTCACATCTGAAATCTCAGTAGTTTGGGAGGCTGAGGCAGGTGGATCACCTGAGGTCAGGAGTTTGAGGCCACCCTGGCCAACATGGTGAAACACTGCCTCTGCCAAAAATATAAAAATTAGCCAGGCATGGTGGCGGGTGCCTGTAATCCCAGCTACTCGGGAGTCTAAGGCAGGAGAATCGCTGGAACCTGGGAGGCAGAAGTTGCAGTGAGCCGAGACTGCACCACTGCACTCTAGCCTGGGTGACGGAGTGAGACTGTCTCAAAAATAAAATAAAATGTACAATTAAGTTATTGACTAGAGTCCCCTTATTGTGCAATCAAATATTAAGTATAAAATACTAAGGTCTTATTCACTCTTTCTTTTTTTTTTTTTGTACCTATTAACCACCCCCACTTCACTTGCACACCTGCCCACTACCCTTGCCAGCCTCTGGTAACCATCTTATTCTCTATCTCCATGAGTTCAATTGTTTTGATTTTCAGATCCCACAAATAAGTAAGAACACGTGGGCCGGGTGCGGTGGCTCATGCCTGTAATCCCAGCACTTAGGGAAGCCGAGGCGGGCGGATCACCTGAGGTTAGGAGTTTGAGACCTGCCTGGTCAACATGGTAAAACCACGTCTCTACTAAATATACAAAAATTAGCCGGGCGTAGTGGTGGGCGCCTGTAATCCCAGCTACTTGGGAGGCTGAGGCAGGAGAATTGCTTGAACCTGGGAGGCAGTTATAACTCCAATTACTGTACATATTGGTCTACTAAGGATTAATCTGATGCCTCATGATATAGTTGGGCTACCTGTCTCTGCCCCAATCTCATGTTGAGTTGTAATACCCAATGCTGGAGGTGGGGCCTTGTGGGTGGTTTCTGGATCATAGGGGTGGATCCCTCATGGTTTGATGCTGTGTTTTTGACGGTGGGTTCTCATGTGATGTGATCATTTAAAAGTATGTGACACACCCCCCTACACACACACTTGCTCCCATTCTCACCATGTGAGACGCATACTCCTTTGCCTTCTTCCATGATTAGAAGCTTCCTGAAGCCTCACGAGAAGCAGACACTACTATGCTTCCTGTACAGCCTACAAAACCGTTAGCCAATTCAACCTATTTTCCTACCAATTACCCAGTCTCAGGTATTTCTCTCTTTTTTGAGACAGGGTCTCACTCTGTCACCCAGGCTGGAGTTCAGTGGCACGATCTCTGTTCACTGCAGCCTCGACCTCCTGGACTCAATAAATCCTCGACCCTCAGCCTCCCGAGTAGCTGGGACTACAGGCGTATGCCACCTGTCTGGCTAAGTTTTGTATTTTTTGCAGAGATGGGGTTTTGCCATGTTGCCCAGGTTGGTCTCAAACTTCTGGGCTGAAAGTGATCTGACCACCTCAGCCTCCCAAAGTGTGGGATATCAGGCATGACCCAATGTGCCTGGTCAGGTATTTCTTTATAGCAGTGCAAAAATTGCCTAACACATCTCACTACAGTAACCTGCACTTGCTTTTAGAGAATATCAACAGGCACAGCATTTCAGGCACAATGTGTTCTATTTATATAATTGCTCAAAAGGCTCACTGGGAATTTTTTAAAACAACTCACATGAAACTTGCTTATTACAAAGGCACTCAATCCTTCATATACTTTTTCTGCTTAGCCAGACAGACCTCAGTGAATTAGGTAACAGAAGAGTGGAGTCCCATACACTTGAAATGGAGAAAAGGCAGGTTAGTATTCCCTTCACAAAGGAATTCAATACTAGAAACGGGTAGAGAATCCAGTATTTAGATTTCCAAAGGCGGCAAGCAGACACTGCAGAGTTAGCACATTAGACAGAGACACTAAATCATTATGCAAATAATGTATAACCTAACTAGCAATTAAAGAAAAGCAAATTAATACCATTCAAGCTAGTAAAAATGAAGTTAAAATGGTGAATTAAGCAGATATTTCTATTCACTTCTTCCTGAGACAACTTTAAAATAATAATAAAAAAACTAAAAGGAAGAATCATGAAGGGGGCCTTCAGTGGACAAGAGGTCGCGACAAATTACTGAAGGACAGAAAACAGATGGCTGAGTGATGACCAATATGGCAAAGCATGGAAGCTGTTATCTGGAATATGAAGTATGCTGCAGCAGAAAATTAGTGACTGACACACAGAACCTTGGTGAGACTGGGGGTAGGAGAAATGGGGATGCATTAAGAGTTTACATATGAACAGTAAATGCTCCCCCACCCACCCATCAGCATAGCTAGAAGCCAGATGTCCTCACCACTCAGGGAACAAAGGATCTTTCTCTAAAGCATTGGTTCTCAGCATCAGCATCACCTGGTGGCCTGTGACACAGGTTGGGAGGTCCCACTCCCAGGGGTTCTGATTCAGTAGTGTTTGCTAGGGGTTGGGGGTAGGAGAAAATGGGAAGTGACTGCTAACGGGTTTGGAGTTTCTTTTTGGAGTGATAAAAATGTTACAAAATTAGGTAATGTTGACGGTTATACAACTTTGTGATCATAGTAAAAACGACTGAATTGTTTACTTTTATTTCTTTTAAGAGACAGGGTCTGGTTCTGTTACTCTGGCTGGAGTGCAGTGGTGTGTTTATAGCTCACTGCAGCCTTGAATCCTGGGCTCAAGCAATCCTCCTGCCTCAGCCTCTAAAGTAGCTGGGACTACAGGGGTGCACCACCATGCCTGGCTGATTAAAAAAAAAAAAACAAAACAATTTAAGAGGGAGTCTTGCTATTGTCCAGTCTAGTCTCAAACTCTAGGCTCAAGCCGTCCTCTTGCCTCGGCCTCCCAAAGCCCTGAGATTACAGCCCTGAGCCACTGCACCTGGCCTGAACTGTGTACTTTTAATGGATGAATTTTATGGTATGTGAATTATATCTCAATAAAGTTGTTCTTTAAAAAAATCATTTACTCTTCTGTATATATCTCTTACAGAAACCCACCAGATAGACTTCAACAACTACAGAATCATGTCTCCTCTTTGTCTTCCCTGTACTAAACATATCCAGTATCTTCAACCATTTCTCTGGGCCATGAAAAGTTGGGCTATAAAGGAACAACTTCTTCATGTAAAGGTTTATAAAAGATTCTAAGTATTTGGAAGTTGATAAAGACACAGGGCAGAAAAGCTACAGTTTTCTATCTTTGGATAATGTGGCTAAATAGAATTTATTCAAGTATAATATATCAAACATGACATAAAAGTACAGAGACATCCCAGAGCCAAACACAAACAACATGTATTAGGATAACTAAAAAATTGTACACCATAAAATGCTCTACAATAATGGGGAGAAAGAGCTACATTAACTGGATTTCTGTTTGTCCAAGAATACAAAAGGAATAGAATCTACATCAAATATAACAGCCAATGGTCATTAAACATGAATGACATTTAAAAATGCACTTCCGTGTAATCACTCTACTGATAAGGTTACTTCTAAATTCAATTTGACGTAGACAAGGCAAAATTTTCTTGACATATGCTCTTCTTGCCCTCAGGACAGTAATCACACTCCTAATTTCTCGTTTAATGCTCATCTTGCTCATCAGACTCTATAGGGTCACGAAGGTTGAAATTATATCTGTCTTGTTCATGTCTACTTTTTGATACACACAGTTTCTCAATAAATTGAACTGAGACTGATTTTTGAGCCCTGGATCAGGCAACATGATAGTAACAGAAGCTAAGACAACAAAGAGGAACAAGATACAGATTAAGGACTTTATAGGCTAATGGGAAGATAAGATAATAATTTCAATATTTTCTGATAAATAGAATTGATAGAAACCCCTTTCCAATAGATAACTGTCTTTATTTTGTATTAATAGTTACAAAATTAAATAAGACAATCCCTAAATTGAAAAGCTCACAGTCAAAGCTATAAAGAAATAAACCAACGATTCCATGTTACAAAATAGGCACAAAGCAACATGGGCACACAGAAGGACATTTAAACAAGGAGGAGGTGATGGTGGTGGTTAAGGTTCTGGGTGACATCATTTTTAAGCTGAGTTTAGCCTAATAGGCAGGAGTTAGCCAGACAAAGGCATGGCGAAAGCAAATTCCAGGCAAAAAAACAGCATATGCAAAGGAATACAAATGGGATGATGTGTGAAATGGGATGATGTGCTTAGAATATTATAAGCAGTTTAGGAGAGCTGAAGCAAAGGGACATGGAAGCAAATGAGTGAAAGGATTCAAAGGGTATGGAACAAGAATTTAGAATGATTTCCATAAATCTCATCTGACAAACAGGAAGGTTGGTAGTACCATTTCCTGAGACAGGGAATTCAGGAAAAAACAGATTTAGGGAAAAAGATGATGAATTTCATTTTGAACATGTTGAGTTTAAGGTGCTTGTTCCTCAACCAAAGAACACAACTGGCATTCAGTTCATAGGTGGGGAGCTGAGCAAAGAATCCATGTTAGAAATAGGAATTTCACAAGAGCAATACTTTGACTACCACCTCGTATTCATCCAGGTTTTTACTTTAGTATTTCCACTCCAACAATTTTTCATTAAGACCTCCAATTCTTTATGTTCAACCATTTTTTCCATTATAACCCTCTACCTCCATTTCCTCACTTCTTACCCAGCAGATTCCTTGGTCCATCATTATAACCTTCTAAGTCTATTTACTTCCATCAAATTCACCTAGTGATACCCAACCCCTGGTTAACTAAAATATCTACATTCTATTTTAACCCAGGGAAGCTAAATATTCCTACTTAAAAGCCATTGCACTTGCTGATCGATCTGCCATAAACACTTGCCTTCTGTCAATACTATACAGAAAATGCAATTGGCAAGGAGTTTATGACGAAGTTCCTCATTTATACCGATAGTCTGTTAATTCATATTTCTATCCACACAGGGTTAACTTTGAACTTAATTAATACACCCTTTAAAGAAGTGTATTTATCATCATTCACACACATTCAGTTAACAATAACAATAAAGATCCTAGGTTTCACGGTTATATAATTTCCATGAAGTAAAAGGAATTATTAACATAGACTTAACTCCCATTGTGGGCTCAACACTATAGTACAGTCGGCCCTCTGCATTTACAGATTCAACCGACTTTGGATTGAAAATATTTGGAAAAAACAAAAAATAATGCAACAATAAAAAATAATACAAATTTTAAAAATACAGTATAACAACTATTCACATAGCATTTAATGGTTTTAGGTATTATAAGAAATCGAGATTAATTTAAAATATATGGGAGGATGTGCATAGGTTATATGCAAATACGTGGGCATCTGCAAGTTTTGGTATCTGGAGAGGGATCCTGGAACCAGTCCCCCTCAGATATATGGAGACGAACTGTATAAACCAGTAGAGGAAAATTATAAAAGAATGAGAATTTATGCTTTACAAATTCAGTTTAACTACTACTTGCTAGTGATTATGAGGACATGGAGCTGAGACAGACTTGTCTTCAAGGGATTTAAAACCTTTGAGAATTACATATGAAAAAGAACTACAAAATGGCTAAATGTTAAAAACAAACAATTTCTTTTTTTTTTTTGACACGGAGTCTCGCACTTTCACCCAGGCCAGAGTGCAGTGGCGCAATCTCAGCCCACTGCAAGCTCCGCCTCCTGGGTTCACGCCATTCTCCTGCCTCAGCCTCTGGAGTAGCTGGGACTACAGGCGCCCGCCACCACGCCCGGCCAATTTTTTGTATTTTGAGTAGAGATGGGATTTCACGGTGTTAGCCAGGATAGTCTCCATCTCCTAACTTTGTGATCTGCCCACCTCGGCCTCCCAAAGTGCTAGGATTACAGGCATGAGCCACTGCACCCGGCCAGAATTTTTCTTTATGACGTGAAATGAATGAGTACTATAAGAGAGCAGAAAAAGATAAAAATAATTTCTATGAGAAAAGCAGGAAGAGAGTCAAGTAGAAAGTCGTTATTTCAGTTGAGCCTTTAGGAATGACCACATATGGAAAACGCAATCTAATGCTATAGAGAACAGCATCAGAAACGCAAACATGCAAGACACGAATCATAATCAAAAAGATCTCAAAAATCAAATGACTATAAATGAACAAAATTCAGTATCAAGGGAATGAAGAATGAGAAAGTCTTATAAGCAGATGGGAAGTCAGTTTCACACCCAATTGTAAAGCTTTAACTCAGATTCACATGATGACATTCCCACCACAGCCACAAAACAGGGTAAGAGCATCCTGAGTACGAATTTTTCATGGCTTTTGAGCTCATTATCTGAATTGATTAAATAATCGAAGGGAGTCAATTTAGAACTGCATGTACCAATCACAAACTAATCAATTAACCAAACAGGAATGAAATCAGCCCAAAGCCCAAGTTGATTGCCCCAAACTGAAAATAACTAAGTTTTTTCCTGATTATAAAAGTAATGAACACTGATTTTTCAAATCTGAAAAAATAAACTTGAGGAAGAAAATAAAAATTAGCAGAAATAGCCATTTTTACAAGTTGAATATTGTTATATATTCTTCCAATCTTTTTCTATAAATATATGTATACAGTTAAAAAACCAGAATCATACTCTACCTGTTTCATAACCACTTCTTAAAAAACAGCATGATGTAAAGACTTATGATCAATCTTAATAGCTGTACAGTAATCCATTATATGAACAAATCATAAATAATTTAACCTTTAATACACTGCCAGGACTCATTATACCCAATTTTAGTTGTTGAGTTTTTTTTTTTTTTGAGACGGAGTTTCACTCTTGTCGCCCATGCTGGAGTGCAGTGGCACGATCTCAGCTCACTGCAACCTCCGCCTCCTGGGTTCACGCGATTCTCCTGCCTCAGCTTCCCGAGTAGCTGGGACTACAGGCGCATGCCACCACGCCTGGCTAATTTTTTTAGTAGAGACGGGGTTTCACCATGTTAGCCAGGATGGTCTCGATCTCCTGACCTTGTGATCCGCCTGTCTTGGCCTCCCAAAGTGCTGGGATTACAGGTGTGAGCCACCACGTCCAGCTAGTTTTTGAGTTTCTTGGTCAAACAGTTATATTTATAAAAACAGCTAATATTTTTAAAATATTTTAAATATTTATAAAAAAATAATAATTCACGACTCATATACTCTTAAAGGTTGTATTAGTTTCCTAAGGCTGCCATGAGAAATTGCTATATTCTGTTGGCTTAAAACAACAGAAATGTATTCTCTCAGCTGTGAGGCTACAAATCTGAAATCAAAGTGCCAGCAAGGTTGTGCTTCCTCTGAAGATTCTAGGGAAGAATCCTTCCTTGCCTCTTCCTAGTTTCTGGTGGCTCTCAGCAATCCTAGGCATCACTCAAATCTCTGCTTTTGGCTTCACAGAATGCTCTGTCTTAGCATTCTTCCCTGTGTGTGTGTCTCCTACATCTCTATATCCAAATCTCTCTCTCCTTTCTCTTATAAAAATACCAGTCACTGGATTTAGGGCACACCCTAATCCAGTATGACATCATCTTAGCTTGATTACATCTGCAAAGACCCTGTTTCTAAAAAAGGTTGCAATCACAGGTTAGGACTTGTCTTTTTTCAGGACACGGTTCAAGCAACTGTGGAGGTTTATCCATAAAAACAGAAATTTATATTAAATTTTAACAACAGAATAAAGCCCACTGAATCCTTCCATAAATCTAAGCTATATATGGGGTTTTGGTGTTATTTTTCCTGTGTCTTAAAACATTTTGCCATTTCATCATCTTAGTAATTATTCATCATTACTAATTGTTCCTAATTATGTTAAGTAAGAGTAAAATAGTAAGAAAATAGGCCTGGCACAGTGGTTCATGCCTGTAATCCCAACACTTTGGGAGGCCGAGGCGGGTGGATCACCTGAGGTCAGGAGTTCGAGAACAGCCTGGCCAACATGATGAAACCCCGTCTCTGCTAAAAACACAAAAACATTAGCCAGGTGTGGTGGTGGACACCTGTAATCCCAGCTACTCGAGAGGCTGAGGCAGGAAAATCGCTTGAACCCGAGACGCAGGGGTTGCAGTGAGCTGAGGTCAGTGCCACTGCACTCCAGCCTGGGCGACAGAGCAAGACTCTGTCTCCAAAAAAAAAAAAAAAAAGTAGAAGAATGATGGGTGCGAAGAGGAAAATGCAAAAGTAAGATAAATTGTCAACATTATATCAATTTGTTTTCTTATTCTCTCTCTTTCTTTTTTTTTTTTTTAAGAGGTGGGGTTTCATTCTGTTGCCCAGGCTGGAGTGTAGTGTTGTGATCACAGCTCACTGCAGTCTACAACTCCTGGGCTCCAGCAATCTTCTTGCCTTACTCTCCCAAGTAGCTAGGACTACAGGCACATGCCACCATGCTTGGTTTTTGGTTTTTTTGTTTGTTTGTTTGTAGAGACTAGGTCCCACTATGTTGCCTAGGATGGTCTTGAACTAGTGGCTTCAAGTGATCCTCCTGCCTCAGCCTCTCAAAGTGTTGAGATTGCAGGCTTAAGCCACTGCGCCAGGCCTGTGTCATCTTTAAAGAAGGTATAAGAAAAGCCCGGGGCCGGGCGCGGTGGCTCACGCCTGTAATCCCAGCACTTTGGGAGGCCGAGGCGAGCGGATCACGAGGTCAGGAGATCGAGACCATCCCGGCTAAAATGGTGAAACCTCGCCTCTACTAAACATACAAAAAATTAGCCGGGCGTAGTGGCGGGTGCCTGTAGTCCCAGCTACTTGGGAGGCTGAGGCAGGAGAATGGCGTGAACCCGGGAGGCGGAGCTTGCAGTGAGCCGAGATCCCGCCACTGCACTCCAGCCTGGGCGACAGAGCGAGACTCCGTCTCAAAAAAAAAAAAAAAAAAAAGAAAAGCCCGGATACATGGTTGTAGCCTTTTTGTAGTTTTTGCAGATCACAGTTCAGAATTCAGATCTTTATTTTTCACTCACACTAACAAAGAGAATTAAAATGATAAAGGTATTTCATAGTTATTAGACAAATCAGAACATGAATGCAAAGAGGCAGCAACAATCTCCTCCCCTTTTTGTTGCCCATGCTGGAGTGCAGTGGCATAATCATAGCTTACTGCAGCCTCAATCTCCTGGGCTTAAGCGCCCTCCTGCCTTAGCATCGCAAGTAGTTTGGAATACTGGTATGTGCCACTACATCCAGCTAATTTTTTTTTTTTTTTTTTTGGTAGAGATAAGGTTTCGTGTGTTGCCCAAGCTGGTCTCAAACTTCTGGTCTCAAGTGATCCTTCCACCTCAGCCTCCCAAAGCACTGGGATTATAGGCATGAGCCACTGTGCCTGGTTGACAATCTACTCTCTAATGATGATGGTAAAATTGGTTGTGTAAGTGAAATCTCAGACAAAGAGCTTTCAGATAATGATACCTATCTAAGTGAATTTTCTCAAACATAAGAACTGTTAAGTGAAAAATACATTTCAAGTCAAAAAACAAATTCAGTACTTCCATCCAATGAGTCATTCCACAAGAAGGATTTCATTATGTAATAATTTATAAGAATTTGGACCATCCCATTTTCTAAAAGGATATGTGGCAATATTCCTTCATCATTTATGATATTTGTACACCAAAATTTACTTACTAAGGTTAATAAGTGAACAAATGCTGAAGCAAGTATTTTATAAAGGTGTTTAGGAAAAAAAAAGATGATGTAGAAACAGAAGAATTCATTAATTTGATCATTCTAATTGGTGTACAATCTAAAAATAAAAATGTTTTGCAATTATGGGGCAAAAAAGATGGCCACTCTTCCTTCAACAAAATTATAAGGGGACAAAATACTCAAAAGCATTTTTTTTATAATGTAAGTATAAGTTTCAGAAGTAATAATAAGTTAGAGCCTATTAAAGATGTATTAAAAATCTGGAATCAGTATTCAAAGGACAGCATATGTTCCAGGTTCATGCATGGCAGTATTCAGCAGTTTGCTGAATTCAATAGGCTATGCCCATCTGGAGTACTTTCAAAACCCAGAAAAGTGAAAATGAAAATCTGAGTTTGCCAACATCAAGGATGTGAAAAGAAAATCCACCAAACAGGGAAAAAATATTTGCAAATCATATATTTAATAAAGGACTTGTATGCAGAATATATAAAGAACTCTCAAAACTCAATAAAAAGACAATCCAATTTTAAAAATAACTCAAGGACTTACATAGACATTTCTCCAAATAAAATACATACAAATGGCCAACAGGCACATGGAAAGACGCTCCACACCTTTTCATGTGCTCATTGACTTTAATGATGAAAACCCATCATTAGTAGTCAGGGGAATGCAAGTCAAAACCATAATGAGATACTACTTTACATTTGTCAGAACAGCTACAATAAAAAGACAATAATAAGCATTTGCAAGGATGTGGAGAAACTGGAATGCTTTTGCTATTGCTGGTGGGACTGTAAAATGGTCCAGCCTCTGTGGAAAACAGACTAGCAATTCCTCACACAGTTAAACATAGTTACTGCATGACCCATTAATTTCGCTCCTAGGTATCTACCAAAGAGAAATGACAACATGTCCACACAAAAACTTCCACCCAAATGTTCACAGCAACATTACTTACAAGAGCCAAAAGTAGAAACAACCCAAATGCTCATTATCTGATAAATGAAGCAAAATATTATATGCCCATGTAATGGAATGCTATTTGGGAATAAAAAGGAATGAAGTACTGATACATGCTGCAAGTTGGATGAACTTTGAAAACATTTGCTAAATGAAATAAACCAGTCACAAAATACAATTTACTGTGTGATTCTATCTATATACGATAAATATTCCAGAATAGGTAAACTCATAGAGAGAGAACTTAATTAGTGGTTGCCCAGGGGTGGGGGCAAAGAAGAGGATAGGGAGTGAATGCTAATGGAAAAAATTTGTCTTTTGGGAGTGATAAAACCTTAAAATTATAAATATTGGAAAGTATTCTAAAATTATGTCAGTGATACTTGAATATCTTCAAAATATGCTAAAACCCACTGAATTGCACACTTCAAATTGGTGAATTTTAGGGCATATACGTTCTCTCTCAATATAACAATTTAATTTTTTTGACTTGCTATGTTTAAATTCTCCTGAAAATTTCTAATAAAGTTGATCTTCACTGTCCCTTTATTTATACTTCTGTGTATTAACTACAAGATGGCTTTAAAATATTTTTTAAAAATAAGGCCCATTAGCCCCAGATGATAAATGATGATGACTATTTTTCTTGGTATACTTAGGTTTAACAAATCTTGAATGGACATTTAGATTATTAGTAATTTTTCACTATTATAAATAAAAGTTGCTTTCAACATTTTTGTTTAGGCTTCTCTGCAGAGTTGTCAGATCATTTCCTTAAGAAAAATTTCTAGAAATGAAATTCTGGGTAAAAAGGTATTCCTCTAGAAAAACTGTACTAATTTATTCCAACAACAACAGTCAAGAGAAAAGCATCAGTTTTAACCTAAAATATGCTTGACTTCATGGCTAAGCATTAAAATGCCCAAGAAGGAAACAAATCCCTCTAATAATAATAAACATTCTTTCTTTTTAGGCTGAGCCTTTCTCCAATTCTGACTTTAACTGATGAGAAATGGAATACTTCATTATGTGACATTTCTTAATTGCAGGTTTTACAATTTAAATCTCTCTTGGAATGAACTTACCACTTATAAATTATATTCATAAGCAAAATGCAATGAAAACTCACTTAGCTTTCTCTAGTTTAAAAAAAAAAACTCTGTCTACTGAAAGGTTTAAAAGCAATAATCTCTCAGTAACAGCAAACATATCCAGTGACCCAATTTTGGCTTCTAAATACCATCTTCTAATAAAAGGAACTAGGGCTCTTTGGAGAAATAACTAATTTTTAGGACTAGGGAAGGGAAAATAAAAAATAAGCCTGGGAAATCTGCCAAAACTTGGAAACAACCAAAAGATGTCTTTCAACAGGTGAACTGATAAATTGTGTTACCTCCAGGCAACAGAATATTATTTAGCACTACAACAAATGAGCTATCCAGCCATGAAAAGTCCTGGAGGAACTTTAAATTCATATTACTAAGCAAAAGAAGCCAATCTAAAAGGGCTCTATGGTGTATGATTCCAACTACGTGACATTCTGGAAAAGGCAAAACTATGGAGATGGTAAAACGATCAATGGTTACCAGTGGTTAGGAAGGAAGAATGGCTAGGCAGAGCATAGAAAAGTTCTAGGGCAGCAAAAACTATTCTGTATGTTACTATAATGGTGAACGTATGTCATCTGTCCAAAAGCATAGAATGCAGACAACTAGGAGTGAATGCTCGTAAAAGCTATGGACTTTGGAGGAATAATAATATGTCAGTGTAACTTTACTGACTATAAAAAAAATAAAAACAAATAAAGGTGGTGAATGAATGTCAAACAACAAACAAAGCTGAGGCATCTTGCAGTAGCAGAGAATAAGGAATTAGTCAAAGTACAGGGGCGTATCAAAGGGGCGTAAGAATCAATCTGAATGAGTTCCCAACAACAAAAACTAAAACAGTTTTAAGCATCAAAGTAAATAACACAGCACTGAATTATAACCCAAACTATGAAATATACAAGTCTATTAAGATATAAATGATTACACAAATAAAAAATAAAGAAGGATAAAGAGACAACAAATTTTCATATAGAATTCCAAACATTCTCCCTCCTGCGGGTAGTTCTTAACTCCATCTCCCTCTTCCCAAACCCCCATCCCCAGTGAGGGGAGACTAGACTTAGTGACTCACTTCCAAAAATTAGAGTAAGAAAAGGGAAAAAATAGTGTATTTTCAGTAAAGAAACTTGGCAAACACTACCTTATCCAAGTAATGAAGGTTAACATCATCATATGGATATCACGTATCCACTGATACAATGTGACGGGACAAGCCTTCGCCTCTGTGGTATTCTTTCAAAATACCCAAATAACCCTAGTCTAATCATGAGAAAAATGTCAGACACACCCAGATTAGAGTACATTCCACAGGTCGTAAAAAAGAAAAATTGAGAAACTGTAATAGAATGGAAGAGACTGGGGAAACATGACAACTAAGTTTTATGTGGTACCCTGAATTGGATCCTGGAAAAAGAATAAGGGTATTGATGGAAAAGCTGGTGAAATCCAAATAAAGTCTAGAGCTTCATTAATAGTAATGTGATAACATTTAATTCTTGGTTTTGACAAATGTATCATGGTCATGGAAGATGTTTACAATGGGGGAAACTGGATAGAGAATACACAAAACTATGCATTATCTTTTCAACTTTCTATATATTAAAAATTATTCCAACATAGAATATTTACTTTAAAAAAAGCTTTAAAATGGAACCATAAACCCACTAAAGCAACAGAGATATCCTTTTGGAAAATGTTAACTGTCTAAATTTAACTACCATTTTCTCCATTTTAAAAGTCTGTTAATACTCTGGTTTCTCTTCAGATTGCATAAATCTTTTGCCTTTTACAAAGTCTGTTAAATTGAATTCAAGAAAAAACAAAGCTGAGGGAAAAAGGACTAACAATTTCTTATTGGAGAATAAATCATACTTTAATCAAAAACATTATGTTCTGCATATTAATAGTCCTAGAACTGTGCATATTAAACTAGGAACATTTGAATGACAGTAGTACAAATACTTCATGGCACACTAAAAAATACAAAACCTAGTATTCTACCAATTTAATCTTCCGTCAAGTTTCACAGAACACTGTGTTCTGTGGTTCACTGCGCTTTACTGGGAAAGAGGCATATTTAATACACTAGTGGTATTATAATAGAGAAACAAACATTTGCTAAGTTTATATATTTCACATATGACACTTCTGAGGGATGAGACACCTTGCTTCTAACTTTATAAATAATAGAAATGAATACTAAAAGGCTGTTAAGAAAGGTTATCCAAACCTTGAATATAAGGCCAAAAGCTGTAGCCTTAAAAAGGTGATGTCCTTTCAAGGTATTACACAATGAGGGGACAAAGGCCCATTCGACGATTACTTAATTACTTAGGGAAAGGGAAATGTACTTGTTCCATTAGTCTATTTAATATTGAATTAAATAACCCGTATTAAGTGAAGTTACACGCTAATTTACAGATCTTTCCCAGCAGAGTTGCAAATAACTCTACCAGGTAGAAGAGATAATCCCAAAGTTTAGGGTGTGTTGGTCCTGTAGGACATTAACCAGTTTATAACTGACCTAGCACTCTTATTCCAACTATTAAAATGTCTATAAATACAGAGGTCTTCAGATGCTCTTTGAAACAGTTTTCTATTTTACTTGTTTCCTCTGTAATATAATCAACTGAATGAAAACTTTGATACAAATTCATTTTGTATTTGAATGAGTCATGTTTTTAATTTTTTTAAATTATAATTCCGTAGGCATAAGAACATTCCATGACAGGCTTGACACGGCCTTTCCTACATCCAGATCTGCAAATCCTATAATCTCACCATGTTATTATGACACTTTTTCTGCATAGTATTCTGCTAATATTGCCAGTCATTTGGTTATTGGAACTATCAAATAACATATTTTTGTTTCAAAGATAAATCAGAAAAGAACATGTTACTTTCAAGACCATCTTTATTCCACCACTGACTTTCCATTCTTCTAGCAAAGTACAAAAGTAAATATGCAAACTATTCTATTACATTTTCCTTGAGTTTTCTCATCTGTGCATTTTTAAAACAATGGAAAACACCAAAAGATTCCCTTCCTTTCAAGTGAGCTATTTCCAGAAAAGATTTTTTTAAGTCCTAATCTCTATAATGAGAAAATATTTAAAGAAAAAGATACATAAAGAAAACTCAGTACTTGATGAGTCTGCATTAACAAATTACCCCCAGAGGCCAGGCTCAGTGGCTCCTGCTTGTAATCCCAGTGCTTTGGGAGGCTGAGGCGGAAGAACCACTTGAGTCAAGAGTTTGAGACCAGCCTAGGACACATGGTGAGAACCCACCTCTACAAAAAATTTTAAAAATTAGCTAAGTGTGCTGGCACATGCCTTGAGTTCCAGTTACTTGGGAGGCCTAAGGCAGGAAGATCACTTGAGCCTAGAGTTTGAGATCAGCCTTGGTACATAGCAAGACCCCATCTCTACAAACAATTAGCCAGGTTTGGTGGTATATACCTGTAGTCCCAGCTACTCAGAAGGCTGAGGCAGGAGAATCACTTGAGCCCAGGAGTTTGTGAGCTATGACTGTGCAACTACACTCCAGCCTGGGCAATAAGCGAGATCCCACCTCTAAAAAAAATAAAAATAAATGGGAATTACCCACAGAATTACAGAATATAAGATTTAGACAGGATTTTAAAGGTCTTCTTTCTCAATCCCGTTTTAAAGAAAAGGTAGGCCCCAAGGAATACAGTGACTTTCCAGAGGTCTGACAGTTGCTAAAATTCATTTGATCTGACTTAAAAGATGTAATTTGCTGTACACCTCTCAAAATGTAGGTATGAGTTAATTTTATTTAAACCAATTACTGAAAAAAAAATTATTCCGTCTGTTTCAAATACTACTCTCTTTAAAATGAAATAGACTAATACCCGGTTCAGGTATAAACTATAAATTGCCTTTACTTCCATAAATATGATTAATTTAAATAAATTCTGATTACATGTTTGGGATTCAAGCAAGAAAAATTAGTAAAAAGAAAAAAATGACAACTTTGTATTTTCAGTGTTACATTTTTCACTAAAAACAAAAGTCTGTACTACAAGTAAGAAGCTTAAATATTTTGGAAAATTCAAGTGAACTAATGATAAAGACTAATTTCAACTTTTAGGTTTGAGCATGGGAAGGGAAGCACTCTCAACCAAACCATAATATATCAAAGCAAAAGAGAAAGGAAAATTTCATACCCTGACATCACTTCTAGATGAAGTTGTCCTGAGACAGTTAAGAAAGCAGGAACATTGAAGAAATTCTCCTCAGGTACCTTAAGTTTGCCTGAAGGCTGCAAATCAAAAACATAAGCCACAAAAAACTATTAAATGTTTTGCTTTGCATTTCACATTCATATACATGTCACAACTAAAAATCACAATGCAATTAAATCTATGTGAAGGCAGGTTGTTCTCAGGAAAATAAAGGTAGTTACACATCTAAGACAAAACGCCAGCTTGGAAAGTGCTAATAAAGGCAAGGAAGTTTGTTCCATATTTTCAAAACATACAATAACCAAAGGACCAAAGTACCTTTGTCACAAAATATACTTCCCCCTAAAAAGTGATTCTGATTAAGAGGCAATCTAAGGCAAGAAATTATGAATTAATTTTTAATGTGAAGAATTACATAACCTCAAAAGGTTGACTTATGATTGAGACTTAATTATCTCAAGAGAATAGCCTCTGGAACATGCGAGGTCATATTTATTATTAAAATATTAATAGTAATGCTTTTAACACAGATTTTTATAAACACATTATGAACTTTCAAAAACAGTATTTCATTTAATTGTCACCATAACTAGGTAGCAGGAAAAGCATGACTCTATCTTTAAAAGATACACTGAGCAACAAAACCTTTATGAACTTACAATATAGAAAGGGTGATTATTCCATCTGAAATGAGTAGGAAACAAGCCATTCAACATTTGTTAAGAGTTAAGCTAAAACAAACTACCTGGAGGCTAAACACAAACAGTATAATAAAGAAAGCTTCTGAATCAAGTTATGAGTATCATATCCTTTTCTGGGGAAGAAAGTTACACTTGTTTTTGTTGATTTAAACACAGGGTCTCATTATGTTGCCCAGGCTGGTCTTGATCTTCTGGGATCAAGAAATCCTCCCACTTCAGCCTCCCAAAGTGCTGGGATTTATAGGCATGAGTCCCTGAGCCCAGCTTCTTGTATTTTAAACTGTGCACTTATTTGAAAATGTTTTAGTGTAAAGGTGTAGTCACTGTAAAAGCAATATAGCCAATTTAAAATATGTAATGGAGAATGTAAGACTCTTTTAACAGGCTTAGTACCAAATATTAAATTATGGCAACACAGGAAATAAAGTTATTTAATTTCATTGGTTGTTCTAAAAATACTGCATATCATGTATCGGTATCTGTGGATAAATAAAAAATGTACTGTAAAAATTATCAGTTGAATCTTTTATTTTTATAATAACTGCCTTTTTTTTTCAAACTTACTTTGATACTAGTCAGAGATCGATGAATGCCTTTTTTATGAAAAAGTCCATCTTTAAATCTCATTATCAATGAAAGGGTATTGCTTCCAAAGATATTTAGTACTCAAGACTAAATACTTGATCTGATATATGTTAAGATTTTAAAATAAAAGATCTGTTCTCTGATATTTCTTCATTATTTACTAAAGAATTGCTTTCCGAAATGAGGTCCAACAAATTTATAAGACTACCATACTTTCTCCTTTCCTTCACCACTTTAGTCTATAATTTGTACTAATTTAACTTCACTTCAGATGGTTTCTCTCATTTCTTGTATTTATATAAAAAAAAAGTCTGGTCTTAATAATAAGATTTATTTATTTATTTTTGAGACAGAGTCTCACACTGTCGCCCAGGCTGAAGTGCAGTGGCGCGATCTTGACTCACTGCAACCTCCACCTCCCAGGTTCAAGTGATTCTCCTGCCTCAGCCTGCCAGTAGCTGGGATTACAGGCATTGGCCAACATGCCCAGCTAATTTTTGTATTTTTAGTAGAGATGGGGTTTCACCATGTTGGCCAGGATGGTCTCCTGACCTCAAGTGATCTGCCGGCCTCAGCCTCCCAAAGTGCTGAGATTACAGGCATGAGCCACCGTGCCCGGCCTATGACTAGATTTTAGATTTTCATTTATCAGCACTTGTACAGAATGATTTCTGATTTTTCTTACATTTCTTTAATTCAACTTATTTAAAACATACCACTACTTCATTATGCTTTCCAATGTCATGTTAGCGTTTACGTAACAAACTGATACTACCTTACTATAAATTACTTTTCTTTTATATTACAATTAAAGTATTATACTGATTTTTTAAACTTCCCTTTGTATTATCACCTATATATTTTATCTCAGAATATTAAAGAGGGTATATAAAATATTGGTTGTAAAAAGTAATTACAAAAAGTGATATCAGCAAATATGGCAGGATAGGTAGCTCCAAAGGACTGTCCTGCCACAGAAAAATAAAAGAAAAAAAATGAACAAAACTGTCAGAATCAATTGTGGGAACTCTCGAAGAGAGTTAAAGGTTTATAGCAATCAAGCAAATGCTGAGCCAAAAAAAAGGCAAATTAAAAATGGTAGACTCCACCCAACAGCAGCAGAATATACGTTTTTTTCAAGTGCACAGGGACCATTCTCCAGAGTAGACCATATAATAGGCCATAAAACAGTCTCAATAAATCTTAAAAAACTAAAATCACACAAGGTATCTTCTTTGATAACTATGGAACGAAACTAGAAATGTACAATAAGGGGTTGCGGTTACTAGGGAAAAAAGTTTGGTGGTTCCTTAAAAAGTTAAAATTGAGTTACTAAATGGCACAGTAATTCCATTCCTAGGTACATACCAAAAAGAATTAAAATGAGGTACATAAACAAACACTTGCACACAACTGTTCAAAATAGCACCATTCACAACAGCCAAAAGGTAAAACCACCTAAATATCCATCAATGGAAAAATGAATAAACAAAATATGATATATACATAGAATGGAATATCATTCAGCCATAAGGAATGTATATACCTATATATTAAAATTAAATGTTTTAGCATGTACTTATGTATGTTAAAACATAGATGAACAATGAAAACATGCTAAGTGAAAGAAGACAGACTTAAAAGGCTATGTATGATTACATTTATATGAAACATACAGAATAGGTAAATCCATAGAGACAGATGGATGAGAGTCATGGTTTGTGTAGAGGGGAAAATGGGATGTAACTACTAAATGGGCACAGGGTTTTCTTCTGGGGTGGTAAAAATGTTTGGAACTTAACAGAGGTGGCAGTTGTAAAATACTATGAATGTACTAAATGCCACTGAAATGTACCTTTTAAAATGCTTAATTTTATGACATAAATTTCACCTCAATTCTTGAAAGTAATTATTGAATCTTAGTAGCTTCAAAAACTACCAACCTAGGATTGCAAATTTAAGATTTAGGATTGTAATCTTAAATTTGTAATCTTACGTACTTATGGTAGTGATAAAGAAACAATACAATATATGAATTAAACACCCAACTTTGTGACTTTATCAGTGGGGAAGGATTTCTTTAACAAAAGCTCCAAATTGCCAACGATAAAAGGAAAAACTGATGAATTTATATATGTTAAAATTAAGAATTTCTATTTAATAAAGGAAGATATAGGCAAAGTTAACAGACAAATGACAGATTATGAATGAAATATTTGCAACATCTAAAACCGCCAAGTGATTAATGGACAGAATATATAAGGAACTCCTGCCAAGAAAACAAAAAAAGAGAAAATAATCTGCTCCCCAAATGAGAAAGAAGATATACAGAAATGAAGACTCAAATGGCTAATGTGAAAATAATTTAAATGAAAGCTGCTGAAACTTTAAATTACTCTGAGCCTTGAATAAAATGTGATTGATTGTAAGACCTAGCTCATACGGGCAAGTCACTACAACTTTTGTTTCTTCCTATTACAGATTAACCTTCTTTCTTATTTTTCTTGCCCTGTAAAACGTTGTGAAAGATTAAATGGTGCCCCTTACCTCTTAGTTACTAATTCTTTGTTATAGATTAACATCCTTCCTTTTTCATGTACCCAGCTCAGACCAGATGGCGAAAGGCCCCATGACTACCAAATTGATAGGGATGCAATTTTAAATATATCTTTCCTGAAAAAGAATAAGCTGTAACCAATCAAACTGCTGTAACTCATAAATCAGCATTGTATTAAAAATGTGGTAATACTTGTAAACTTCTTTGCTTCTACTTATATAAGTGAAGCCTCAGCTTCTCCACTTCTCAGCAATGACCCAACTACTCTGGAGTCTTGTTTTTTCTGGGTGGCCAGTCTCAAATTTTGCACTTGAACAAACTCTTTTAAAATTGGATTCTGGGCCTCTTGATTATTTCAGGGTGACATTTTGGTGAACCAGATGGGACCCAAATTAGGCCTTCATTGACTCCTGCTGTTTTGCCAACAGCTGGAGCCCCAGCACCAGCATGGACCGTTGCATCCAACTGACCTCGCTGAAGACTGCAGAAGCCCTTGGTCAGACTACTCTCAAGGTTGAATCTCCCTGGCTTGACTGAGATTCAGACTTTATGGAACCTGATTCAACAACTGATGAGACTGGAATTGAAGCACTACTTTAAGGTAGGCGTTTAGTTTGTTATTCTCTTATTCCATTATTTGTGTATATTTGTGATTTTTTCACTTTTCTCTGAGATTAAAAAGTCTTGCTTGTCTTATTCACTACAGTTTGTAACCTTTTCTCTCATTTGAAATTTTATCATGGAGAAAGCAGTTTCTCTTTGAAAAGAGGAAGTGAATGTCTACAGCTTAGGCAAATTTTCTTAAACTGGCCAGATCTAAAGCTCCATTCAATTTGGCACATTTAAAATTTCCTTTTGAGTGACCAAAGTTTATAAAAGACTTTATGAGCACAAGAAAAGTCCCAAAGACAAGGGGAACTGTACCTCCTGGCTGAAAGGCACCTTAGGCAACCAAGGAGTCTCCCAGGAGTGTCAGAGCATATCACTCATAACATGTAACAGTCCCACAGGATTTGGACAAATACATACTGACATGTATCCACCACTACAGTATCATACAGAATAGTTTCACTGCCCTAAAAATATGTGCTCCACCTAGTTATCCCTCCCTTTCCCCTAACCCCTGGAAACCATGATCTTTTTACTTTCTCCATAGTTTTGTCTTTTCCAGAATGTCACACAGTTTAAATCATACAATATGTAGCCTTTTCAGATTGGTCTCTTTGACTTAGTAATTTGCATTTAAAGTTTCTCCAGGTATTTTCATAGCTTGATAGCTCATTTTTTTTCAGTGCTGAATAATATTTTACTGTCTGGATGTAACAGATACAGTTTATTTCTCCATTTACCTAATAAAAGGCATCTTGGTTGCTTCCAAGTTTTGGCAATTATGAATAAAGCTGCTTTGTAAACATCCATGTGCACGTTTTTGTGTGGATATAAGTTTTCCACTCCTTTGGGTAAATACCAAGGAGCAGAACTGCTGGTTCTTATGGTTGGAGTATATCTAGTTTTGCAAGAAACTGCCAAACTATACTGCAAAGTGGCTGTTAAATCTGCTGCTCCACATCCTTGTCAGCATTTGGTGTTGTCAGTGTTATGGATGTTGGCCGCTCAATAGGTACATAGTGGTACTGACTGGCTTTTTAGTGTGCTTTGTGCATCATTTTCTACGGATCACATGGTTCATACACTACTACCTTCAGCCATTACACTGAGTAGCAGTTATTTTTTTTAGGAATCTATGAGCCAGAATTTCTTGGAATGTTGGTACACCTAAAAAGTAAGAAACATGGGGAATGTTCTGTAAGTTCCTTTAGGCTGCTGACTGACTGATAATGAGTGAATAAATCAGAACTTTGTCAGTGTAACCTCCTCCAGATACATTCACAAATTCTCAAACCTCTTAAGATCAAAGATTCATACTAAATACCTTTTGTTTCACAGTGTTATCTCATCAAATTAAGAAATATTGGGGCTCCTAAGGGACACGGTCTCTCTTATTACTGGATCCTGCATCTAGCCTATTACCTGGGAATAGCAGTTACTCAGTAAATATTTCTTCAATTGAAAAACGAATTGAAGTAGGACCTGGAAATATGGGAGATACCTAAATCTGAGCGAGGACACAAATTTCTCAATGGAAAGAGCATGGAAAAAAACCTCCATTTGTGTTAATCCTTGGGAATTAAGGAATAATGTAATCCAAGGAATACAGCAATAAAAGAAATGTTTGAATAACCAAACGTTAAAACATAGTATAAAGCCTCTAAATTAATACAGTATATTAGTGGTACACAAGTAAACCTGTGGGATATAACTGAAAGCCTAAACACAGACTTTCACATATAAAAGTATTATATCAAATCAGTGAGGCAAAGCTGAACTTTTTAATAAGTAGAACCAGTTAACTGGGTAGCCATATAACTGTATCAACCAGAAATAAACTGCAGAATTTTTTTGTACATTGTGGCAGATAGTGTGATGTGAATATATGGGTGTTTTCCCCCGCCAAGGAATCTCTGCATAGTAATGCTGTGGTAATTTCTGTTGTTTCCAGCACCTAAGTCGTCACTTCCGATTCTTGAAACAATGGTACATAAATTCATCTACTTTGATCCCATCTTCAATATATTTCTTTCAAATCCTTGAGAGAAATGGTACAATATAAAAGAATATAAAAAACATTTTTTAAAGTACTGCACATTGAGATAAAATCTCAAAATCAGAATTCTTATTCATTATAAAAAATATTTCTGAACATAAACCAGCAAAAATACTTTATCTCATTGTCTCACACTTCTTATTTATTTTTGTCATTATTGTGTTTTGATATTGCAACAAAGATTTTAATTTTTCCTTTATTTTTAATTATTTTGTTTGCTTTTAAGATACAGCAGAAATATAACATTCAGAGATCCAGAAAGCTCTTTTTTTTTTTTGTGAGACAGAGTTTCACTCTTATTGCCGAGGCTGGAGTGCAATGGCACGATCTCAGCTCACCACAACCTCTGCCCCGCCAGGTTCAAGTGAGCCTCCCAAGTAGCTGGGATTACAGGCATGCACCACCACGCCTTGCTAATTTTGTATTTTTAGTAGAGACGGGGTTTCTCCATGTTGGTCAGGCTGGTCTCAAACTCCTGACCTCAGGTGATCCACCCACCTCAGCCTCTCAAAGTGCTGGGATTACAGGTGTGAGCCACCGAGCCCAGCAAGTTCATTTTTAACTTGGTTATTTTGCATCTCAGAACTCATTTTCCCTTAAAGAAATACATACAATAACTATATTCACAGAGCAGCCACAGTACTCTATATGATGAATAATACAGATAAAATATAGTCATGTACTACATACTGACATTTTGTTCAACAATGGACTGTAGATATGACGCATCCATAAGATTATAATAGAGCTGAAAAATTCCTATTTCCTAGTGATGTCACAGAGCATGGCATTACTCACGTATTTGTGGTGATGCTGTTGTAAACAAACCTACTGCACTTCCAGTCATATAATGATAATAAACAACTATGTTACTGATTTACATATTTATTATACTATACTTTTTATCATTACTTTAGAGTGTACTCCTACTTATTAAAAAAAGAAGTTAACTGTAAAACAAGCTCAGGCAAGTCTTTCAGGAGGTATTCTAGAAGAAGGCATTGCCATCATAGGAGATGACAGCTCCATGTGTGTTACTGCCCCTGAAGACCTTTCAGTAGGACAAGATACAGAGGTGGAAGACAGCGATTCCACCTCTGTATTAATGATGCTGCCCCCGTATAGGCCTAGGCTAATGTATTTTTGTGTCTTAGTTTTTAACAAAAATGTATAAACAGTAAAAAAGAAATCTCTAATAGAAAAAAGCTTATAGAATAATGAAAGAAAATATTTTTGTACTCATACAACGTGTTTTAAGTATTATGAAAGAGTAAAAATATTTTAAAAAATTAAGTTTATAAAGTAAAAAAGTTAGAGTACGCTAAGATAATCTAGTATTAATAATTAATCTATTACTGAAGACATTTTAAAAAATAAATTTAGTGTAGCTTAAGTACATAGGTTTGCAAAGTTTGCAGTAATGTCCTAGGCCTTCCTACTCACTTATAATTCACTTACTGACTCATCCAGAGCAGCTTCCAGTCTTGCAATGTCCATTCATGGTAAGTGCCCTATACAGGTGTACCATTAAAAGAAAAAAACCTTTTATACTGTATTTTTATCGTACAATTTCTATGTTATGTATGTTTAGATATACAAATACTTGCCATTTTATTACAGTTGCCTAGGGTATTCAGTACAGCAACATACTGAATAGGTTTGTACCTAAAGAACAAGAGACTAGACCATACAGCCTAGGTGTGTGGTAGGCTATACCATCTCGGTTTGCGTAAGTACACTCTATGATGGTTGCACAATGATGAAATCACCTAAGGGTGCATTTCTCAGAAAGTATCTCCATCGTTAAGCGACACATGACCATATATGGATGGAGAGATGCAGAGAGAGTGTGTGTGTGTGTTAAGTCACGATACAAAAAAATGTGCATGTGGATACAAATGAATGAATGAGTGCCTGGATTCATTTCTATCAATCTCGGCAAATGTGACCAAGAGGGAGATAAAGTCCTCAGACAGAGTACAGATAGTACCAGGAAGCTGAAGAGGTGGCTTGTATTCATGTAGGGTACAACTTGATCTTTACTCTAGCTTCTTTATTGCTAAGATGAGACTCAGAAACAGGATTTTAACAGTTTGAAAATGTGTCTAGAAGTTTCAGAATTAGATGATAAAACCAGTAATTTGAGGGGCCAGGTATAGTGGCTCACAACTATAATCCCAGCACTTTGGGAGGCCAAGGTGGGAGAACTGCTCGAGTCCAGCAGTTTGAGACCAGCCCTGGGCAACATAGTGAGAGGTCCATGTCTAAAAATGCAATTTAAAAATTAGCTGTGCATGGAGGCACGTGCCTGTAGTTCCAGCTACTGAGGAGGCTGAGGAAGGATTGCTTGAGCACAGAAGTTCAAGGCGGCAGCAAGCCGTGATTGCACCACTGCACTGCAGCCTTGGCAACAGAGCAAGATCTTGTCCCTAATACGTACGTACATACATACATACATGCAAACATACATACATGTTTGTCTGACTTAATTATCACATTATTCAAAACATTCCTTAAGTAGGCATAGTAGTCTCCCCTTATCCACAGTTTTACTTTTCATGGTTACAGTCGCCTATAGTCAACTGCAGTCTGGAAATATTAAATGGAAAATTCCAGAAATAAAGAATTCTTAAGTTTTAAACTGCACTGTGTTGAGTAGCATGATGAAATCTCAGGCTGTCCCACTCCATCCTGCCCTGGACATGAATCATTCCTTTGTCTGGGGTATCCATGCTCTATATGCTACCAATCTTATAGTCACTTAGCAGCAGTCTTGGCTACCTGGTCCACTGATGTCACACTGCCTACGTTGTTCACCTCACAGCAGTTTAGGACCACAGCACAATACATTCACCTCAAAAATCACTTATCCATGAGGCCTTCTTACTGCTAATAGCCCCCAACTCCATGCCTAGACTAGTAAAAATGACCCTTCTCTGCATTTCCGTGATAATCTGTATATACACCTCATTCATTCATCTAAGCACTGTGCTACATGAGAGAGAGCAATAAATAAGAGAACATAAGCTCTCAAAGAGCTTACATTCTAATGGGGAAAAAAGAAAATAACATGTAAACTAATAAAGAATCAAGATAATTACAAGCTGGGATAAATGAGTTGGGTACTGGGGTATGGGAAGGGCTCTTAAGCAGTAACAAGCAAGCAGAGACCTGAAAGATAAGAATGTATCTGCTATACTATAAACTGGGAAAAATACTCCAGGCACAAGGAACAGCCAGTAGAGAGATCAGTACGTGGGAAGGGGGTGTCATACCTTACGAGAGTGGAAGGCAGGTGACTGTAGCTTGAGGGACTCAAGAGTAAGACTGTTAAAAGATGAGGTTAGGCCGGGCGCGGTGGCTCACGCCTGTAATCCCAGCACTTTGGGAGGCCGAGGCGGGCGGATCACGAGGTCAGGAGATCGAGACCATCCTGGCTAACACGGTGAAACCCCGTCTCTACTAAAAATACAAAAAATTAGCCGGGCGTGGTGGCGGGCGCCTGTAGTCCCAGCTACTCGGGAGGCTGAGGCAGGAGAATGGCGTGAACCTGGGAGGCGGAGCTTGCAGTGAGCCGAGATCGCGCCACTGCACTCCAGCCTGGGCGACAGAGCGAGAATCCGTCTCAAAAAAAAAAAAAAAAAAAAAAAAAAAAAAAAGATGAGGTTAGACAGGTAGGCAGAAATCAGATTATGGGTCCTTTATAGATCATGATAAGGAGTTTGAATTTTATTCTAAGATCACAGAGCAGCCACTGAAATGTAAGCATGGGGTTGTGGCATGATGAGTTAAAAAATTCTTCTAGTGTCTTAGCGGAGAACAGATAATAAAGGGATAAGAGTAGAAGTAGGGGCACCAATCAGAAGACAAGAAGAGTAGCTTGAATTAAACTGGTAACATTGGAAACAGAGAAATGGAGAGGTTGAGGATTTATGTTAAAGATGAGCCAACAAAGGACGGATAAATTAGATGTGAGGTTTGGGGAGACAGGCAGGGGAGGTATGAATTAAGTCTGACATCTAGATTTTTTACTTAAGCAAATGAGTAGATGGTAACTTTCACTGAGATAAAAAAAGAAGAGGAAAAGGCTTTGGAGGAAAAAATCAAGAGGTTTATTTAATACATACTATGTTTGAATGCATATTAGACATCAAAGGAGAAATGTCAAGTAGGCAGATGCTTCTACAAATCTGGAGCTCAGAAACAGAACCTGGAGATAAACAGTTTGGGACTGCAGATAAACAGTTTGGCAGTCAGTATGTAGATGGTATGGTACATAAAGCCTTGGAAGTGAATAAAATCGCCAGGGGAGAGATTACAGATTAGTGCTTCTCATTGATGATGATAGTGTTCCCTAGAAAATACTTCAGGAGTCTGTAGAGCATTTAGTGGGCAGGAGTCCAACATGTCCTGCAATATATACAAAGTCCTGCGTAACTAAGCCTTTTCCTGCAATCTCCCAAGTTCCCAATGCTCTGTTAAGGCATTCATATAGTCTATCAACAAAACCACGTGGATTTGAGCTATCTGATAAACAAAGTCATTCCTTTTATCTATCTTCTATAGAGGGTCTTGGTATAAGATTTTGTTTGGAAAACACTTTTGAACAAAAATGTTTGAAAATCAATATAAAGGATGATTACCTCCCATCCTAAACAGTCCATGATAGACTAACCTTTCCCTGATCATATAAAACTTACGTTAGTGCAATAAAACTTAACCTAGCCTTTCTCTATTATGCAAAACAAAAATTTTTGCTAGGTTATTCTGCCACTGGAAGACAGTAAATAGCACAGCCAAGAAAGGGGAAACCAAGAGCTACCAAAAAAATTTTTTTAATGTGTGTATCCCAGTGAATTTCTTACCACACGGATCTAAAATCCTCCCTGTTTCTTTGAGGATTTCCAAGAAAATATTAAACAAGTATTTTGAATTGCCCTCCAGTTATTTGTTCTCACAGCAGAACAAATTTAGCTGAGCAGTTTCACAATCTCAGGAGAATTAAATAGAAAAACCCACACAAGTCCGACTCTGTCTCCATGTAAAATATATAGCAAGGAGCGAGAGTAAATAGCAGTAAGCTGAACAGTGGAAAGGAATATAATCAACAATGGAAAACTTATTTGACCTCTACAATCACTGAAACACCCAATCTATTTTTATCTCCTTTTACTTTTTCCATTTTCTACTTTGTACCCTACCCCCACCTTTTACCCAGTTCTATTTACTCATAATCCCAGAGACAAAAAGTTGGGAAGAGAATACATAAAGATGAAGCATGGTTCAGAAATTTAAAAGGTTTAAAATCATAATGGCATGCTATTGTCCTGTTTACCTCAATCTGCAATTTCCTTTGAAGATCATGAAGAAAAGGGAGAGTACTCACCATCTGTAAGCTCCATATAACCACTGAATATCCTATTTTCTTTCTTGATCCCAATTAAGAGATTAGAGGGAGGCTATGCCTTTCACGATACAGATAGTAAAGAATAAAAAAATCTAAGTTAGATAAAACTTTAATTTTTTCACGCCTGTAATCCCAGCACTTTGGGAGGCCAAGGTAGGCGCATCACCTGAGGTCAGGAGTTCGAGACCAGCCTGGTCAACATGGTGAAACCCCATCTCTACTAAAAATACAAAAATTAGCCAGGCGTGGTGGCGCACGCCTGTATTCCCAGCTACTTGGGAGGCTCAGTCATGAGAATTGCTTGACTCTGGGAGGCAGAGGTTGTTGTGAGCTGAAACTAGTACTATTGTACTCCAGCCTGAGTGACAACAGTGAAACTCCATCTCAAAAAAAAAAATTTTAATTCAACTTCCCTCTTGTAAAAGATGCTAAAGCTTAAAAATGTTAAATGTCAAATGTTAGAATAAATGTTATATACAACTACTTTTTGGTAAGATCAGTTGTAGAATCCAGGTTTCTCAGCTTCTAGTACAATCACCTTTCCAATAAGTCATGTCACTTTTTTTTTTTTTTTGAGATAAGGTCTTGCTATGTCGCCCAGGCTGGTCTTGAACTCCTGGGCTCAAGTGATCCTCTCACCTCTGCCTTCCGATGGGACTACAGGCATATACCACTGTGCCCAGCTCTCGCATTTTTTATCCTGTAGTGTTGAAATAAAGCTTTGGATTAAAATGCTTTTAATATTAGTCTCTCCTAAGTATGAAATGCTGATCATATAACATAAAACAAGCCAGGTGTAGTGGAGGGTGCCTGTAATTCCAGCTACTCGGGAGGCTGAGGCAGGAGGATCACTTGAGTCCAGGAGTTTGAGGTCAATGAGTTATGATCATACCACTGCACTCCAGCCTAGGTGAGAGAGTAAGACTCTGCCTCTAAAATCAATCAACCAACCAAGCAATCAATCATAGGAACTAAATCTGTCATACAGTCTCCAAAGATTTGTGGGTTGGTAGTTTCATGATCCCTATCAAGCTGTATCTCAAATGCAGTTGCTATCATTGCTGCAGAAATTGTTCTGCATGCCATTAGACTGCATCTCATACGTAAAAACCAAAGCCAAGGGAAACAGGCTCAATAAACTGCATTCTATTTTGCCGGTTATGTTAGTTTTGGGATTTGCCTATTAACAAGCCATATATGTAGGTCTTTCACTAATCTAAAAATTTCCAATAAGTCCAGTTTATGTTTCCATACTTTCCACTTGCTACAAATGTGTATCTTGGTGTACACAGAACTGCTAGTATAAAAATAATCTTTCTTAAAATAAGGGTTCATTTACATTCCAGAACACCCACTAACTAGAACACCCACTCAGCCCTGAGAAAGGTTTCATTTAAACAACTATTTGATCAGCAGGAAAGGAAGTTATTAAGTCAGACTGTTTGTAAACAGTGTTTTCCTGCTGAGCAGTCTGAGAAAGAATGAATCAAGAAAAGACGCGTGGAGTCTAATATTAGAGGGTAAGGTTGAGGCAAAACAGAAAGTGAATATACAATGCTGCCTTATTTTTCTTTTACAGGAGATAAACACAAATGTAAAATTGCAAAACAGCAAACTTATTCCTAAATGTAAAGGGGTCGGTGAAAAATGAACCAAACTTTTTTTCACTATTGCTTGAAAAATATTAATTTTGGCTTATTCATTGTCAGATTGGGGCTTTAAGGATGAATATGATAAGATATGGTCCTAGTCCGTTAACTAGGACTTCTGTGAGAAGGGATACCTATGCTCCAGAGTTAAGTCTCCAAACCACGTATCCACACAAAGGACTTGACTACCACTAAACACAGCAGGTACTCAATAAATACTTATAAATCCCAGCACTTCGGTGGGGTGGAGGCAGGAGGATTGCTTGAGACCAGGAGTTCAAGACCAGCCTGAGCAACATAGTGAGACCCTGACTCTACTTTAAAAATTAGCTGGGTGTGGTGGTGCGCACCTGTAGTTTTAGTAACTCTAGAGGCTGGAGTGGGTGGATCACTTGAGCTCAGGAGGTCAAGGCTGCAGACAGCCATGATCGCTGGCTCATCACTGCACTCCCAACAGGGCGACAGAGCGAGACCTTGGGTCAAAACAAACCCCCCCACAAAATATACTTTCTTGCAGTTGCTGCAAGGAGGAAGTTAAGTTATTGATAACTGGAACAGAAGGGCTTGGTTGCCCTTTACCTCTGGCTGTGGTAATCAAGAGTAAGTTAGCCAAGTACGGTGGTGGGTGCCTGTAATCCCAGCCACTAGGGAGGCTGAGGCACAAGAACTGCTTGAACCCAGGAGGCAGAGGTTGCAGTGGGCTGAGATGGTGCCACTGCACTCTAGCCTGGGCAACAGAGCAAAACTACGTGTCAAAAAAAAAGAATAAGCCATTATAAAGCATACTCATATAAAAGTCACGATTTTGATGCTATCCAAAGATTATCCAAAAGGGATTCACATCATTTTTTGAGATCAAAGTGTCTCTTGAAGTCAACAATGCCATGGAATGCTTCCTTCAAAGATGGCATGCATAAAATAAATGTCTAATTTCCAACAAAAACCAATTTCCCCTAATAATTAGATGGTATTGGCCCTAAAGAGTATAAACTCAAAAAACTTTCCAGTGTTTATGAAGCTGACATTTTCTTTTCATTTATGATTACTTGAATTCTAATGTCCAGACTAGCAACATGAAAGTTCATGTTTTTTAAAAAGAAGAAACGCTACTTTTCTACTTTTAATTAGCAATGGAAATAACCATTTGTAGGAAAAAAAATAATTCTCTCTATATTAAAAGTTCAAAAGTCTAGCAGAGGTGAACTATTCAACATAATCACTTCTGGGAAAATACACAGCAGGAATAGATACAACAAAAACAAAAAACATGTACCCTGGTACCAAGATCCAAGATGCATAAGCTACTTTCTAAATATATCCAGAATCCGGCCAGGCAGAGAGGCTCATGGCTGTAATCCTAGCACTTTGGGAGGCCAAGGCGGGCAGACCACGAGGTCAAGAGATTGAGACCATCCTGGCCGACATGGTGAAAACCCGTCTCTACTAAAACTACAAAAATTAGCTGGGCGTGGTGGCGCGCACCTGTAGTCCCAGCTACTCGGGAGGCTGAGGCAGGAGAATCGCTTGAACCCGGGAGGTGGAGCCAAGATTGTGCCACTGCACTCTAGCCTGGCAACAGAGTAAGACTCTGTCTCAAAAAAAAAAAAAAAAAAAAAACTCTCTCTCACTCTCCAGAATCCAACCACATTTGAGGATGTACAATTTCAACTCCTGTGTAAATCACTATCTGTCCACCTAAAATACAGCATTAGACTTTTAACTGGTTTCTCTTCTTCTGTACCTCTCCCTGATTTAATCTCCATATAGCAGCCAGAATGATCTCATTAAAATATAAGTGATTTATTACTCCTTTGCTTATAACTCTCCAAAGACTCACAGCCAATATTCTTATAATGGCCTAAAAAGTCCTTTTTAGAGGGAATGTTTCTGGTTGTCATAACTGGGGAGAGCTACTGAAATTTAGTGGGTACTACCCCAAGTTTCAAATATGCAATGGAACATTCATGTTAGTGAATTAGGTAAATTGTATTATTTTAATATGCTCTGAATTTTCCAGAATGCATCTTCCATGTAAATCAAGGGAAAGCTAATACTTTCATGCGGAACTCTTATCAAGAATGAGTTACCGGCTGAGCGCAGTAGCTCATGCCTGTAATCCCAGCACTTGGGAGACTGAGGCAGGCAGATCACTTGAGGTCAGGAGATCGAGACCATCCTGGCTAACACGGTGAAACCCCGTCTCTACTAAAAATACAAAAAATTAGCCAGGCGCGGTGGTGGGTGCCTGTAGTCCCAGCTACTCGGGAGGCTGAGGCAGGAGAACGGCGTGAACCTGGGAGACGGAGTTTGCAGTAAGCCAAGATCGTGCCACTGCACTCCAGCCTGGGCGATAGAGCGAGACTCCGTCTCACAAAAAAAAAAAAAAAAAAAAAAAGGATACAGAAAATTAGCTGCGCGTGGTGGTGGGCACCTGTAATCCCAGCTACTCAGGAGGCTGAGGCAGAAGAATTGCTTGAACACGGGAGGCAGAGGTTGCAGTGAGGTGAGATCGCGCCACTGCACTCCAGTATTCTCATCACAAATAGCAAACTGTTCATGATATGTGAGTCACCAATATAACACACCTGTTTAAGTCCTAATTTATAGTGGTCAAAGTCAGCAGTTCTTTATATCTCTATATAAAGGCTACTTACATTCTTCTAGACCACAGTATTTACATAATAAAATACACTGATTATATTACTTTTCTTTCTTTTTTATATTAAGTTGGAAGCACTATATTTTTCCAATTAAGTGTATAAAAAGTTTATATCATCTACATTTCATTATACATATTATCTATATTTGGGAAAGAAAAGGAGTTATGAAAATTCTTTTTTACAAAAGTGTTACACCTCATAAAGATGAACATCACTCACATATATAATTTGCACCTACTCCCAACCTCTATGCCTAACCTCAGTTCCCACTAATCTTCCTCTCTTTCCTATGCTCGATCCATACCTGCCTTCATGATTGTTTCTTGAAAACCTGAGGCTGCTCCAGCCACAGAATCTTTGTACTTGCTGTTCCTTCTGACTGAAATGTTCTTTCCCAGGTATCAACATTACTTACTCCCATATGTCCGTCATGCTTTTTCCTTTTTTTTTTTTTTTTTTGAGACAGAGTCTTGCTCTGTCACCCAGACTGTAGTGCAGTGGTGTGATCTCGGCTCACTGCAACCTCCACCTCCTGGATTTAAGCAATTCTTGTGCCTCAGCCTCCCAAATAGCTGGGATTGCAGTTGTGCATGCCACTGTGGCCAGCTAATTTTTGTATTTTTAGTAGAGATGGGAGATGGGGTTCTGTCGTATTGGCCAGGCTGGTCTCGAACTCCTGGCCTCAAGTGATATATACGCCTGCCTTGGCCTACCAACGTGCTGGGATTACAGGTGTGAACCACCGCACCTGGTCCACTCATGCTTTTTGAACATCTTTTCAGTAAAGCTTTCCTTGACCATCCAATTTAAACTAGAATCTCTCTCTCCCTAACCTTTTTCCCAATTTATTTTTCTTCGCAATACAAATCACCATCTGTTCTGATTACCTATTGGTGAGCAACAAATCATTCTAAAATTTAGCGGCTTAAAATGATAATCTACTGCTATCTTTCACAAGTCTATGGGTTGCCTGGCTTCAACTGAGTGGTTCTTGTATGGAGTCTCTCACATGGTTTCAGTCAAATGGCTGCCGGCACTGGAGTCATGTGAAGGCTAGATTCAGCTAGATATCCAAGATGACCTCCTTAATCACAAGTCTGGTGCCTTAGCTGGGATGGCTGAAACAGCTGAAGTGTAGCCAGGTATCTCTGTCTTACCATGCAGCCTTCCCACACAAATAGTTTGAGGTCTCACAGTAGCACAGTACCTCTTACACAGATGCTGGCTTCCCCCGGAGCCATTCCAAAAAAACAAAGGCAAGGATATTTCATTTCCACCATGTCCTACTGATTACACAGAACCAGCCCACTCTTTAACTGTGGGTGAGGACAACAGAAAGATGTGGGACTGGGAAGCATAGTGCACTAGGCAGCTATCTTTGGACAGTTACCACAATACTTAACATATTCTCTATTTTACTTTTAGATTTATTGTCTCCTCTTCTACAAGGATATACATTCAACAAGGAAAGAGATTCTTTGTTCACCACTTTTCCTCCAGCACATGTCATGTAGTCAATTAATATTAATTGATAAAAGGAATAAATTATTGCATTAGGTAAGTGATATACATCAATAATTCACTATATCCCCTTGCTTCTCACTATAGGTCACTCTGCCCCAATCTTACCAATTTGCCTTTCTGAAAGGTACCTGGTATGAATCTGGATAATTTTGGAAGTAGAAAATGACAAAGTTGGAACAAAAATCAAAGACGGAACTATAAACAAGGATCATACACATTGCTTTGTCCTGTGGACATCTCTGATCACTCCTGTACCTAGTTTTTCCTTGTCAGAAATCTCTCCTAGAGCACTTATAAAAAGTGAAGCACTACTTGATGCAACAATTCTGTATATTCTGTATAATTACCCTTAAAAAAGGTAAAAGCCAATTAAACATTTAATTATTCTGCTACGATTTCACGTGTCAGCTTTATCTTCTGGATAAACACTATACATTTCGTGGCTGGGTATGGTGGCTCATGACTGTCATCTCAGCACTTTGGGAGGCCATGGGGGGAGGACTGCTTGAGCCCAGGAATTAGAGAACAGCCTGGACAACATAGCAAGACCCTGTATCCATAAAAAATTTAAAAATTAGCCAGGTGTGGTGGTGCACACCCATAGTACTAGCTACCAGCTACCTGGGAGGCTAAAGTGGGAGGATCACTTGAGGTAAAAGAAGAAAAAAAAAGAACTCAGAAACTGTTCATTTCTTGAGAACCAGCTCATTTTAATTTAAAGAACAAATTTTAATTCAAAATTCTCAACACAGGACCCAATACTAACTTGTGCATACTATCATGTAACAGGAAAAAAAAATAGCCAATGAATTCTCCATCAGTAAAAGAATAGGTTAAATACATTGAAATACATATATTGATACACTGAAACAGCACATACTTTTAAAAGAATGAGGCAGAAGCAGTAAGAGGTACTGATACGTGAACAAAATGAACAAAGCAGGTATAAGCCAGGCATGGTGGCTCACGCCTGTAATCCCAGCATTTTGGGAGGCCACGGCAGGCGGATCACCTGAGGTCAGGAGTTTGAGATCAGCCAAAATGGCAAAACTCTGACTCTACTAAAAACACAAAAATTAGCTGGGTGTGGTAGCTAATAATCATGAACATCATTATGTTATTTATGAACGTATGACTAGACTAGTCTTAAGGCTGAAAGTTCTACAAAACTAAAATTGCCGTTAGAAAATAATAATAAGTATTTAAGTGTTCCAGGTAGTGTGGAGGACACAGGTCTTCCCTAAAAGGAACTTACCATCTACACAGGGAACCAAAACTGGTAAGTAAGAAATCATTGATGAACAACTGAATGTTAAAACAGGCTATAGTAGGCCAGGCACGGTGGTTCACGCCTGTAATTCCAGCATTTTGGCAGGCTGAGATTGGAGGATCGCTTGAGTCCAAGAGTTTGAGACCAGCCTAGGCAACATAATGACCTTGTCTCTACTAAAAATTAAATTAGCCAGGTGTGGTGGTGTGTGCCTGCAGTCCCAGCTACACAGGAGGCTGAGGTGGGAGGACTGCTTGAGCCCAGGAGTTGGACGTTGCACTGAGCGATGACAGTGCAAGTGCATGCACTCCAGCCTGGGTGACAGCAAAACTGTGACTCAAAAACAAAAAATAAAACCAGCTATAGCAACTGAATACAAGTTTAACAGGAGTTGGAACAAGGGAGGTATTAATATTAGCTAGAAAAAAGTTGTTTTGAGAAGAGGTTTGACCTGGGTTAGCCCACATACCATCTAAAAACGTTTAAAAGAAAATAGGTAAGAGTAATCAAAAAGTGAAACCATCTAGCACAACCAAAATGATGTGTGCCATAAACAACTTAGTCATAAAAATGTATAAGCACCAGAATTTCTGAGGTCTAGTAACTTTGTGTTACCATTTCTAGAATGCACAACAGTTTAGAGAAGAGAAATGCTAGTGCTTACATCAGCCTGCTTCTGCACACTGTTTTACCTATTTTGGATTAGCAATATGAAGTTTTCATATATGTCATTTCACTAATCCTTACAACCGATAAGAATAGTGTTCTTCACATTTTACAAGAGAGGAAATTGAGGATCGTGGTGGTAAAAAGTAGCCAAGAGGTGGCTAACCTGTTTTTCCTCCTCCCTTCTGACATGACAGTGTGGGGAGCTCCTCAGACCCATTCCTCAGTGAAATGCGTAAATGTTATTTAAAAAAAAATTTTTTTTTAATCCAACCATTTAAAGTCTCTAGAAATCGTCTTAAGGGTATACAGCAAATGAAGAAACATCTATTCAAAAAAATCTACTAAAGCTCGGTGAGGACAAGGAGAGTCTGTAATGTCTGAAACAGAGCCCTCTTCCTCCTTTCCCCTCACAGCTTGGCAAGACAGAAACTCTACCCCCCAATTAGAGCCAAGATCACAGGGCTCTAGCAAGAGGGGCAGCATGCAGGCATTTCTCCCCTTTCTCACAGCCACCTGTAGCTGAGGCTAAGTTCTGGGCAAGTGTGGCTGAGAGGTGGAGCCTCCCTTCCTCAGCCCCAGTCCCACTTGGGGGATGGAGGCTCCACCTTGGGCATGGTGCTGCTGAGAACACTAGGGTCCTGACAGCTTTTGCCCCAGATCCTGG
Organism: Homo sapiens; assembly: GCF_000001405.40. Taxonomy (NCBI): domain Eukaryota; kingdom Metazoa; phylum Chordata; class Mammalia; order Primates; family Hominidae; genus Homo; species Homo sapiens. Next base: position 78,549,211 of record NC_000011.10, read on the forward strand.
GGTGGGGGTTCCATGCCAGGAGAGACAAGCCAAGAAACCTGGGCTGCTGCCTCTTGCTCCACTGAACACTCAGCTCCTAAATCAGGAGGTCTTGTAGTGAGAATGATCCATTGTCCCTTCCGCCAGCACTGGAGCCTGACTCCAACACTGACTGGGCAAAGAAGCAGGCCATAAAACAGAGCTCCAAATCTTTACCCAAAGGAACTGACTTCATTGCAACAAAGTATGTAAAAGTCCAAACTGAACGGTGCTCTCCAGAATAGTGGTGGTTGTGATGAAAGGCAGATTGAAAGAGTCACTGGTGATAAAGGCTAAACTGTAGATTTCCTAGTATGCTGGAAAGAAACAGAAACAGCTGGGAAGAGCCTTTTTGGGGTCAGAACAAACTCAAACGCTGCCCTTGAAAACTATGTCCACAAAGGAGTATAAATTTGATTGGATCAGTTTGTGAAACAATTTATGCCCCAGACTTTGAAAACAATAGCACAATCAGTCTGCAAGTAATGGAGCTTAAGAGGTGGGTGTGGTCAGGGGAAAAGACAGCCAAAGAAAGCTCTACCAAAACCAGTGCCATCCTTATTGTGGGCATACTCAAGGCTATTCCCCCTGAGTGGCAGCATCAGAGGCTTCACACTGGTAGGGGGTGGGAGGGAGGAGAGGGGCAAGACTTGTATCTAGAATATATAAAATACCTCCTACAGGCCCAACAACAAAAAGACAACCCAATTAAAGTCTTTTAAGGCAAAAGACTTAAATAGACATTTTTCCAAAGAAGAGAAATAAATGGTCAATATGTACATAAAAGACGTCCAACATCCTTAGTCATGTTAAATAAGGCATTGTTTTGGGCTAAGCTACTGCACTAGGCATAGTGCAGTAATGGAGTCACTCACACTAAAGTTCCATACCATCAAACTGAAACTGAGTTATCTGGCATTCCTAGAAATCAGGAGAGGGAGATGGCTGAATTTCTCAAGCAGGCCACTTTTAATCAGCATGATAACAAAGTTCCCTCGACCTTTAATCCTTCCAACAAAATGTAACCTGAAGTGACCTAATGTTAACCAATCAGTTACTTTCTATTGTTCTGTTTCACTGTTCCCACCTTGCGCCTTACAAGGAAAGTAACTTTAAAGTGACCAATACACTTCTTGTTCTTTGTTTATATTTCCTTCAGTCATTTTCTGTCTATAAAACCTCAGGTCAGCTCATCAGAATACATTCTATTTTACAGAATGAAGCGTTAGCCCATTCTAGAATTGTTAAATGAAGAAATTTAAATTTTAAAAAATTTGTTGTAATTTTGTCTTTTGATAGTCATTAGGAAAATGCAAATCAAAGCCACAATAATATGCCACTTTACACCCATTAGTATGATTATAATCAAAGAAACTGAAAATAACAAATGTAGGCTAGGATGCAGGGAAAGGAGAAGCCTCAAAATGCTGCGGCCACTCCGAAAAATAGCTTGGCAGTTTTTAAAAATGTTGAACTTAAGGTTTACAACATGACCCAGAAATTCTACCCAAGAGAAATTAAATCATAAATTCATCCACACAAAAACTTTTCAAAAATGTTCATAGCAGCATTTTTCATAGTGAAACAGGTTAAAGGTTATGTAGAAACAATACGAATGTCCATCAAGTGATAAATCAATAAACAAAACATGATACATCCACAAAAGGGACCAGCTTGATATAAAAAGGAATGAAGTACTGATACATACTACAATACTTTATAAGTGAAAGAAGCCAAACACAAAAGACCATACATTGTACGATTCCATTTATATGAAAAGTTTCAGAAGAGGCAAATCCACAGAAAGCAGATTTGTGGTTACCTAGAGCTAAGGGTGGGAATGGCAAGGGGCTGCTACTGGGTACAGTTTATTTTTGGGGTGATAAAAATGTCCTCAAATTAGACCGTGGTGATTGGCTGTACAACCCTGAGAACATACTGAAAACCATGCAACTTTATACAGTTGTGCATAGCCTGAGGCAGACACGTTCTGAGAAATGCATCACTAGGTAATTTCACTGTTGTGCGAACATCACGGAGTCTATTTACACAGACGGGGTATAGCCTACTACCCCCAGGCTACAAACCTGTATAACATGTTACTGATACTACTGAATACTTTGGCAATTGTAACACAATGGTAAGCGTGTGTGTATGTAAACATATCTAAATATGGAATTGGTACAGTAAAAATACAGTATTATAATCTTATGGGATCACCATGGTATATGTGATGTGTCACTGACTGCAATGTTGCTATGCGGCACATGACTACACTTTCATATTTTATGGTATGTGAGATATGTTCCAATAAAATAGTTTTTTAAAAACCCTGCTCCAGGCTGGGCGCGGTGGCTCATGCCTGTAATCCCAGCACTTTGGGAGGCCAAGGCGGACGGATCACCTGAGGTCAGGAGTTTGAGACCAGCCTGGTCAAGATGGTGAAATCCCGTCTCTACTAAAAATACAAAAATTAGCCGGGCGTGGTGGCAGGCGCCTGTAATCCCAGCTATTTGGGAGGCTGAGGCAGGAGAATTGCTTTAACCTGGGAGGTGGAGGTTGCAGTGAGCCAAGATTGCGCCATTGTACTCCAGCCTGGGGAACAAGAGCGAGACTTTGTCTCAAAAAAAAACAAAAAACAAACAAAAAAAACCCACCAAAAACAACCCTGCTCCATCTCATTCCTAAAGCTATCCAACTTTATTTCCTATGATTCACCAATACGAACCTTCTCATGTATCTCTCCACCCAGAGTCTAATAAAAACCCCTACATTCATTTTATATTTTAGGTTTGGGGATACATGTGAAGGTCTGTTACATAAACACGTGTCATGGGAGTTTGTTGTACATATTACATAACCCAGGTATTAAGCTCAGTACCCAACAGTTATCTTTTCCGCTCTTCTCCCTCCTCCCATCCTCCCCCCTCAGGAAGACACCAGTGTCTGTTGTTTCTTTCTTTGTGTTCATAAGTTCTTATCATTTAGCTCCCACTTACAAGTGAGAACATGCGGTATTTAGTTTTCTGTTCCTGCATTAGTTTGCTAAGGATGATAGCCTCCAGTTCCATCCACGTTCCCCCAAGACATGATCTCATTCCTTTTTATGGCTGCATAATATTCTACGGTGTATGTGTACCATATTTTCTTTATCCAGTCTGTCACTGATGGGCACTTAGGTTGACTCCGTATCTTTGCTATTGTGAACAGTGAGGCAATGAACATTCACGTGCATGTGTCTTTATGGTGTGAAAGGAAAATGCATCTTGGGCCCCAAAATCACTAAGCTAAAGGGAAAAGTCAAGCCGGGAACTGCTTGGGCAAACTTCCTCTCATTCTATTCAAAGTCATCCCTCTGCTCACTGAGATAAATGCATATTTGATTGCCTCCTTTGGTGAGGCTAATCAGAAACTCAGTAAGAATGCAACCACTAGTCTCTTATCTACCTATGACCTGGAAGCCCCCTCCCCACTTCGAGTTCTCCCATCTTTCTGGATCGAACCAATGTTCATCTTACGTATATGGATTGATGTCTCATGTCTCCCTAAAATGTATAAAACCAAGCTGCACTCGGACCACCTTGGGCACATGTCATCAGGGCCTCCTGAGGCTGTGTCACAGGCACGCATCCTCAACTTTGGGAAAATCAACTTCCTAAATTGACTGAGACTTGTCAATTTTGGAGTTCACAATATTTGGGCTTCACAATGATAAAATGCTTTATATTCCTCCGGGTATATACCCAGTAATGGGACTGCCAGGTCAAATGGTAGTTCTGCTTTTAGCTCTTTCAGAAATCACCATACTGCTTTCCACAATGGTTGAGCTAATTTATACTCCCTCCAACAGCATATAAGGGTTTCCCTTTTCTCTGTAACCTGGCCAGCACTGTTATTTTTTTATTTTTTAATTATCGCCACTGACTGGTGTGAGATGGTATCTCATTGTGGTTTTGATTTGCATTTCTCTAATGATCAGTGATATTGAGCTTTTTTTCATATGCTTGTTGGCCTCAAGCATGTCTTCTAACAAGTGTCTGTTCATGTCCTTTGCACCCCCCCTTTTTTTTTCTTTTTTGAGACAAAATCTCGCTCTGTTACCTAGGCTAGAGTGCAGTGGCATGATTTCAGCTCACTGCAACCTGCACCTCCCGGGTTCAAGCGATTCTTCTGCCTCAGCCTCCTGAGTAGCTGGGATTACAGGCATGTGCCACCATGCCCGGCTAATGTTTGTATTTTTAGTAGAGAAAGGGTTTCACCATGTTGGCCAGGCTGGTCTCGAACTCCTGACCTCAAGTGATCCATCCAACTCGGCCTCCCAAAGTGCTGGGATTATAGGCATGAACCACCATGCCTAGCCATTTGCCCACTTTTTAATGGGGTTGTTTTTCTCTTCTAAGTAAGTTCCTTATAGATCCTGGATATTAGACCTTTATCAGATGCATAATTTGCAAATATTTTCTTCCATTCTGTAGGCTGTTTATTCTGCTGACAGTTTCTTTTGCTATGCAGAAGCTCTTAAGTTTAATTAGATCCAATTTGTCAATTTTTGCTTTTGTTGTAATTGCTTTTGATGTCTGTCATGAAATCTCTGCCAGGATGGTATTGCCTAGGTTGTCTTCCAGGGTTTTTACAGTTTTGGGTTTTACATTTAAGCCTCTTTAATCCATCTTGAGTTGATTTTTGTACATGATGTAAGGAAGAGGTCCAGCTTCAATCGTCTGCATACGGCTAGCCAGTTGTCCCAGCACCATTTATTAAATAGGGAGTCTTTTCCTCATTGCTTGTTTTTGTCAGCTTTGGGGAGGATCAGATTGTCATAGATGTGCGGCCTTATTTCTGGACTCTTTATTTTGTTCCATTGGTCTATGTGCCTGTTTTTGTACCAGTACCACACTGTTTTGGGAGTGGAGCCTTGTAGTATAGTTGGGTAACATGATTCTTCCAGCTTTGTTCTTTTTGCTTAGGATTGCCTTGGCTATCTGGGCTCTTGGCTATCTGGGCTATCTTGGCTATCTGGGCTCTGTTCCATATAAATGTTAAAATAATTTTTTCTAGTTCTGTGAGGAATGTTGTTGATAGTTTGATATGAACAACATTGAATCTGTAATTTGCTTTGGGTAGTATAGCCATTTTAATGATATTGATTCTTCCTACCCATGAGCATGGGATATTTTTCCATTTGTTTGTATCTTCTCTGATTTCTTTGAGCAGTGTTTTATAATTCTCATGTAGAGCTCTTTCACCTCCCTGGTTAGCTGTATTCCTAGGCGTGTGTGCGTGTGTGTGTGTGTGTGTGTGTCAACTGTGAATGGGACTGACTTTCTGCTTTGGCTCTCAGTTTGGTTGTTGTTGGTGTATAGGAATGTTAGTGATTTTTGTATACTGATTTTGTATCCTGCAACTTTGCTCAAGTTATTTATCAGCTGAAGGAGCTTTTGGGCTGAGGCTATGGCATTCTCTAGATATAGAATCATGTTGTCTGCAAACAGACATAGTTTGACTTCCTCTCTTCCTATTTAGATGTCCTTTATTTATCTTGCCTGACTGCTGTGGCTAGGACTTCCAATACTATGTTGAAGAGAAGTGGTGAGGGCATCCTATAGTCTTCTGCTGGTTTCCAAGGGGAATGCTTCCAGCTTTTGCCCATTTGGTATAATGTTGGCTGTGGGTTTGTCATAGATGGCTCTTATTATTTACAGGTATGTTCCTTCAATATCTAGTTTATTGAGAGTTTTTAACATGAGATGTTGAATTATATCAAAAGCCTTTTCTGCATTAGTTCTATTTATGTGATGAATCACTGTGATTGATTTTTGTATGCTGAAGCAACCTTGCATCCCAGCAATGAAGCCTACTTCATGGTGGATTAAATTTCTGATGTGCTGCTGGATTCAGTTTGCAAGTATTTTGTTGAGGATTTCTGCATCAATGTTCATCAAGGTTACTAGCTTGATATTTTCTTTTTTTGTTGTGTCTCTCCCAGGTTTTGGTATCAAGATGATGCTGGCCTCACAGAATGAGTTGAGGAGAAGTTCCCCCTCCATAATTTTTTGGAAGTTACTGTTGGAATGGCACCAGCTCTTCATTGTACATCTGGTAGAACTCAGCTATGAATCCATCAGGTCCTGGGCTTTTTTGGTTGGTAGACTATTTATTATTTATTCAGTTTTAGAGTTTTGTTATTGGTCTGTTCAGAGAATCAATGTTTTCCTGGCTCAGTCTTCAGAGGGTGTATGTTTCCAGCAATTTAGAGGTGTTCGTAGTAGTTTCTGATGGTTGTTTACTACTCTGGAGTCAGTAGTAACATTCCCTTTGTCATTTCCAATTGTGTTTATTTGATCTTCTCTCTTCCTAATTAGTCTAGCTGGTGGCCTATCATCAATTTTTTCAAAAAACTAACTCCTGGATTTGCTGATATTTTGAATGTTTTTTTGTGTCTCAGCTTCCTTCAGTTCAGCTCTGATTTTTGTTATTTCTCATCTTTTGCTAGCTTTGGGGTTGATCTGTTCTTGCTTCTCTAATTATTTCCGTTGTGAAGTTAGGTTGTTAATCTGAGAACTTTCTAACTTTTTGATGTGGGCGTTTAGTGCTATGATTTTCCCTCTGAACACTGCCTTACTTGTGTCCCAGAGATTCTGGTACGTTGTATCTTTGTTCTCATTATTTTCAAAAAACTTTTTGATGTCTGTCTTAAATTCATTATTTACCCAAAGGTTATTCAGGAGCATGTTGTTTAGTTTCCCTGTAATCATATGATTTTGAATGCTTTTGTGTTGACTTCTATTTTATTGTGCTGTGGTCTGAGAGTGTGTTTGGTATGCTTTCAGTTCTTTTACATTTGTTGAAGATTGTTTTATATCCAATTATGTGGTTGGTTTTAGAGTAGGTGCCACGTGAAGACAAGAAGAATGTATATTGTCTATGCCTCATTTTAATTATCTGATTCTTCTTACATTATTGCTCTTACCTGGAATATTCTCCCTAAGGTACAGTCAGGTCACATATTCATTTTGAAGGTTTTTCTGACCAAGTCAGTACTCACTGACCTACCTCATTTTCCTCTAGATTCCATACCACTTATAACTGGTAACACTATATCCTCAAATGTATACATAAAGCAATTCCACCTTATTTCCCATCAACTTCTAGTTATACTGAAAACCATGGAACTGTATACAGTTGTGCATCGCCACCAAGCCAAAACTAAGATCTTCACGTTACCTTCTGAGAAGTCAGAAGAGGAGTAACAGCCACATCACCAAAGAGAACAATTTTAGCCAGCATAAGGAAGTCCCCTTTGCTTTAACCTTTACAAGAAAAATAACTTTGTAAAGATCAATTGCTTTTTGATTTTTGTTTCTGCTTTCCTCAGCCTTTTTCCATCTATAAAACTAGCCTCTTCTATTTTATAGAAGGAAGTGTTGCCTGATTCTTGAATGGCAAATGAAAGTCAATTAAGATCTTTAAACTAAATTTGTAGTAATTTTGTCTTTGACAGCCACAACCTACAATTCTTGCCTTAATCTCTTTTATCTCCTCAAAGACAAACTAATTCTTCCAAATTATAAAGACCAAACCTAATTTTGGGAACTCAGCCAGGGCCTTAGGACAAAGAGGAAAACGTGTACAAACAAGGAATTTTGTAGGATAAGTAACATCAACAGTGAATGAAAAGCATGCTCCTTCCCTTATCAACTCCTGCCAACTTACCGGCTTGACAGGATAGAACCTCAACTACATCTTTACAGCATAGCATCTTGAACACAGATGGCACCAAATGTCCGTTAATAACGAACAAATGCCTTGAAGGAAACTTCTTACAATGTATTCAGTAGTCCCCAAACCTTAACAAATATCAAAGTAGGAAATGGAGATGAGGGAAAGGAAGAGTAAAATGATAGAGCATGCATTCACTTCTCAACAGAATATTAGAAGTGCATGTTCTTACTGTGTTTTTTCAAGGTGACCTCTTAAAGCTGCCCTCTTATCTTTAAATGCAGTACTTAATGACACTTCATTTCTGTCAGAGAAAAAATGTGCACCATTACGAGAAGCAAGAATTTAAATATGAAAGCCCACCTCCTCCTAAAAGGGGTACCAAAATTCAAATTCTTATGCTTCTACAGGCAGCCAGGAGGAATTCAACACAATGAATCTTGGAAGTGAAGTATGTGAGGTGGGATAAGAAGGAGCTCTGCTTTCAAAGGATAGAGGGTTGGCAGGGACAGAAGACAAGTCTTTGTAGTCAAACTTCTGAAAGCAACAAAGACAGTAGGTCGACACAGCATAAAAGCCAGATAGCACAGATCAGCTGAAACCTGAGCTAGATCCTGACTGTAGGAGCCTAGGATCAATGAATTCAAGAGTTTCTCTTTCTGATATTCTGCATGGGCAAATTCAATCCCACAAATTCCTTTCCCTGGCTCTGAAATAATATGAACATAGTACACTTCTCATTTGTTTAGCTTCAGAAATACATTTTTTTCCTCTTCCTATTTATTCACACTTATCTGATAATTTGTCTTAGGTTATTTAGAGGTCAAGATATATATATAAAATATGTATATATATCATATATATCTTATATTATATATATATATCTCTCTTATATTTTATATATATACAATCACTCAGAGCTGCTTATGGGATTTCCCTGGTAGCAATGCAGTTATCTCCAAATGTATCTTTATTTATGCACATTAAAAACTTTTTTACTTGTTTCATTTGGGTCTCTTTAACAATTCCTTTTTATTTGTAAAGACTCCTTTAAATTATACCTTTTTTTCCCAGCCATTTATTGAATATTCAGTGGTTTAGACTAAGGGATTTAGAAATGTATTTACAGTAATTCTTGGCTTCACTATGCAGAAAATTAAAGTGCAAAGAGAAAATAAACACCTAGAAGAGAATGTTTTCCAGAATTTACATATGGTTATTTTGTCACCTGCTGCCTTCTTTGAACTCATATACACAGATGCTAATACCCCCACTCTAAATGTTCAACAAGGCATTTTTATTCTGCTTTTTTGCAGAATGCTGATCAACGTCAAGAATTCTTCCAGTCATGTATAATGAAGACGGCATTTGATTATCATTCTGAATGACTTCAACCTATCAGGACAACTTCTCCCAGAGACTACTTTGTTCAATAATATAAAGCACCACCACCATTATTAAGAGTCAAAAAGCACTGAACCGGAGAAAGCAGTTACATACAAATTTTGTCATTTGATAGAATCAACCAAATATATAAACAAGAATCCTGACATCTTAAAGATAAAGAAATCAGTAAACAAATAAAAGAAGTACCAAAGTACCACTCATGATCATACCATTCTCTCTGTCCATTATTATACAACCGGCTAATGATTTTAAATAGCTATCAAACTGGTAAATGCAAGGCTTTCGACTGCCTCCAATAAGAAAAACTGATAACTTAAAAAATATCTGCAGTAAGGGCAGGCTGACAATGCCTGGCATATACTAGGAACTCAAAAAATGATTGCTAGACAAATTTAAGAGCCTTCATGGGATGAACAAAATATAAATCAGTTCTTATGAAAAAATGTATTTTTTAAAGACTTTGAAAAAGAAAATGATATTCACATGTATACTCTTCTATTTTTATTTATATTTTAAAATATGACTTACGTCCACAAATATTAACTGTGGATTGAATCTGCGTAAGAGAGAGCTTAAAATCCTCATTTGCCTCTTCAAATCTCTCTAGTTCAGCAATTCACAGTAACTTAAGAAAAGTAAATAGAGTGCTAAATTAAAAATTCACTCTTGGCCAGGCATGGTGGCTCACACCTGTAATCCCAGCACTCTGGTAGGCCAAGGCAGGTGGATTACAAGGTCAAGAGATCGAAACCATCCTGGCTAACCAAGAGAAACCCCGTCTCTACTAAAAATACAAAAATTAGCTGGGCCTGGTGGCAGGCACCTGTAGTACCAGCTACTCGGGAGGCCGAGGCAGGAGAATCGCTTGAACCCTAGAGGCGGAGGTTGCAGTGAGTCGAGATCACACCACTGCACTCCAGCCTGGCCACAGAGTGAGACTCCATCTCAAAAAAAAAAAAAAAAAAAAAAAAAAATTCATTCTTACCTGTCACAGCATAAGACTGCTGGTACTACAGGAAATGAGACTGGTTTGAATTGTCTATGTAAGTTTTTCAAGGATTTTTATTGACAATTTCAGGTGCTGCTCATAGTCTTCTGTCCACAAAACTATTATTAAATTTCAAACCCTCAAATGAAAAATATTAAACAGCAATGTACCCCTCAAGATGGGAAGCAAAACTTACTTCAAGTTGAAAAAGTTCTCCAGCTCCCTCAGAGTCATTGGATGTGATTATTGGAGTATGAATATGTACAAAGCCACTGTCCTGAAAAAGAAAACCACTGTTTTCAGGATATTTGCACATTCAACAATTCCAAGAACACACATCCTCTTATAGTATTAAAATGGCACACTAAGCAGATGCTGTATCAAATCCCTCCCTAATCCCCTAAATATTAAGACTACTGAAAATCAGTTGAGTGTTTTAACTACCCACAGGGGCACAAATAATTTTAATTCAGGAACACACTTAGACATTAACTAGTCCAACATCTTCATTTCAAAGATAAGGAAGTTAAGGCCCAGACAGATTTAGTGACTTTCCACAAGTTACACAATTAGTCAGTGGCTGAGCCAGGACTAGAACCTAGGTCTTCATGCTCTCTCTTTAGTACTATATTCTCTTCCCATTTCTCTAACATTTTGGTGGTGATTTAACAAACACATACGCACACTATAGGCTAATGCATAATGATGCTGCCCACGTTGCTAGAGGAATACAAAGCGATCAGTATAAACTTATCTTGAAATATGACCTCAATTGTAATGAACCACCAAAAAAGGAGAAAAAGTAGACAAATAGAGACTGAATAAACAAACAGCAAAAAAAGGCAGAAATGATCTTTAGGAGGTCTCTGTCATTAAACTGATGGCACAATGGACTCCACATGGCACAGGCAGTGTACTTCCTTTGCCTGAAGGAATATTCTGAGCAGCAGCAAATCCATCCATTACCGAGGTCCCCAAATGGAGCTCTTCCGAACAAAAGTCTGAGACTATTTCCATTAGTGAACCACAAAAGCTGTTGCTAGTCAGCAACTTCAAGGTTATGCTTCTTTCATTTTGACTATGGATGTAAGCAAAAGGTTACACACAATGTAGATGTTTGCAGGGTGGGACTGCAGGTAACGAAAAGTGAATTTATAATAGAAATGTAGGATAGTACATGCTTAATGCAAAATTTTGGTCTTGGAATCAATACAATAAATTCTTAAATACATATCTCTGCCAAGTTTGGTGGAGTGTAGATTGTCTCTATGCATTACTAGGGACCTCCCGAATATGATCCTTCTCAAATTCAAGTATTCTGGCTATAATACAAAGTATTCAGTCAACAACTTGCCTTATGATGTGGACTGATTAAATATTCAAGCTCTAAATTAGCAGTCTCAGAAAGTATTAAAATGTACACTTAATCTGACAGCAACATGCCCAGAGGTGCTGCACAGAGCACATTATAGAAAACCAATAAAATCTGATCAATAACATTACTGCATAAAATTTTTATCTCCTAGGAGCCAAGAATCATGGACATGAAACATTTCTTCCACATGAACGTAGGCAACTATGAACATGAGTGCAGTAAACAAAGAAAGGAAGTGAAAAATCCAAAGGAAACGAGGGTGGGGAAGGGGAGGTGGAGAGGGAGGAGAAAATTTAACGGCTAAACATGATTGCCCAAGTTAGAACTGGTCAAATGCCACAAGAAACAGCACTGTAAATCTTAGGAAAATAACTGAGATTTTTTTTTAAATCACACACCTAGTGGGAATTATTTTTAATACTTAACTAATGCTAAACATTACAAAAGGGCCCAGCAGCTTTCGCTGCTTTAAAACTGCTAGCAAGGCTTATCAAAGTTCCTAACGTTACCAAATGCTAATAAAGGAGAGAGTACAAAGGAAGAATAATACAGCCGTGCAAACAAAGTCCAAAAAAGTGAAAGCGGGTGGGGGAGTAAAAAGAATAAAAGGAAAGTAAATAGCAAGGAGTGGTTAAGTATTGTCAGTATGTGCCTCAAATAGGTTTCCAGTGTCACTTATTTATACTGTCCCGCAGCAAAGGGGCTCCTAAGTAGAAACATGAAGGCCAGAAAAGAGGCCAAAAATAAAAGCAACCACTTTCACCCAATTTTTCAGATTCCACCCATCACCTCCAAGTATTTAAATATTTTAATACACATTCTAAAACCAGATATTTTATAAGGCTCTGAGTATCCCAAAATTATAAAGTTCATACATTACGGCCCATACACATCAGTAAGAGAAGACTAATAGATTATCTTTTTCTTTCACGTGAAACTGAAATAACTATTATTTAATCAGAATCAACAAAAAAGGAAACGTGAAAGGAATTGCTAGCCACAGGCAGGCCATAGACAACATAAAGTGACAGCAAGAACAGATTTTAAAATTCCATAAAGAGGCCAGGAGCAGTGTCTCACGCCTGTAATCCCAGCACTTTGGGAGGCTGAGGCGGGTGAATCACCTGAGGTCAGGAGTTTGAGACTAGCCTGACCAACATGGTAAAACCCAGTTTCTACTAAAAAATACAAAAATTAGCCCGGTGTGGTAGTGCACACCTGTAGTCCCAGATACTCAGGAGGCTGAGGCAGAGGTTGCAGTGAGCCGAGATCACGCCACTGTGCTCTAGCCTGGGTGACACGGCGAGACTCTGTCAAAAAACAAAAAACAAAAAACAAAAAACAAAAAACATAAACAGCAGTCACAGGAACTCAAAGGCATAGCAATTTGGAGACATTCTACACAAAGGTAAAGAATACTCCACATAGGCTGGGGCACAGTGGCTCATATCTGGACCCTAGCACTTTGGTTGGTCCAGGCAGGATTGCTTGGGCCTAGGAGTTCAAGACCAGCTTAGGCAACACAGTGAGATCCCATCTCTACAAAAAATACATTAAAAAAAACGAGCCAGGCACAGTGGTGCATGCCTATAGTCCCAGCTACTTGGGAGGCTGAGGTAGGAGGATCAATTGGGCCTGGGGGATTAAGGTGGCAGTAAGCCATGACTGCACCACTGCACTCCAGCCCGGACAACAGTATGAGACTTCATCTCAAAACAACAACAACAAAAATACTTCACATAGTCAGTGGCAGGCTTTGAAAACGCTGCCATACAGAGAAGAACAATCCCTGATACTCACAGGAAGAACCTCGACTCACTGAGAAAGAAAGAGCAGAATCTTTTCTACTGGCTCACTGAGGAAGAGGGGAAAGTAAGTAATTCATTTTAGGAACACTTCCACTGGAATTTAGAAAAAATTGGTGCCTAAAGAGAAAATTCCTCAGTTATTTCAGAAACTTGGCTTTACTGAATGACTCATTCCTTGAGGATTCTAAATAGCCAAGTTTTAGTACATAACAAGTATGTCAGTTTTATGAGCAAACAAGGTTATACAAAAAATATTTTTCATACTCAAACCAAGAAATAACCTTAGATCCTTAAAGTGTCTTAAAAGTACTGTTCAAGTTTCCATTTTTCCCCCACATTTCTATATTTTAATTAACAAAACTGAAACTTACGAAAATTTTTTATTTGGAGGCTTAACATCTTTTAGCAAACCCAAAGTAACAGATCAAAGAAACACTACAAAATACTAGGTAACATATAACTATTACTTAATATGCCTTATAGTACTACAGAAAGGGTTCTTTAAACAACTAATCCTAAGTATCACACATAAAGGTAGATAACTATCACACATAAAGGTAGGTAACAGAATTATATTCTCCAGGTCTTTACAAATACTAAGTGAATTTATTACTACTCAAAAAGTGTCTATTTTTGTAACTACTCTATCACGAATGGTGCTAAAATTCAAGTTATTTCCAACCACTTGAATTTTTTTTTTTTTTTTTTTTTGAGACAGAGTCTTACTCTGTCGCCAGGTTGGAGTGCAGTGGCGCAATCTCGGTTCACTGCAACCTCCGCCTCCCGGATTCAAGTGATTCTCCTGCCTCAACCTCCCAAGTAGCTGGGACTACAGGCACGCAACACCACGCCCAGCTAATTTTTGTATTTTTAGTAGACACGGGGTATCACCATGTTGGCCAGGATGGTCTCGATCTCTTGACCTCGTGATCTGCCTGCCTCGGCCTCCCAAAGTGCTGAGATTTCAGGAGTGAGCCACAGCGCCCGGCCATGAATGTTTTTCAAATTTCATTTTAGTAATTTTTGGCCAGGGTTGGTGGCTCACGCCCGCAATCCCAGCACTTTGGGAGGCTGAGGTGGTTGGATCACCTGAGGTCAGGAGTTAGACCAGCCTGGCCAACATAGTGAAACCCCGTCTCTACTAAAAATACAAAAATTAGCTGGGTGTGGTGGCACGCACCTGTAGTCCTAGCTACCTGGGAGGTTGTGGGAGGAGAATCCCTTGAACCCAGGAGGCGGAGGTTGCAGTGAGCCAAGATCATGCCACTGCACTCCAGCCTGGGCAACAGAGTGAACTCTGTATCAAAAAAAAAAAAAAAAAAAAAAATATATATATATATATATGTATACACACACACAGTATTATTATTATTATTATTATTATTATTATTATTGAGATGGAATCTCGCTCTGTTGCCCAGGCTGGAGTGCAGTGGCGCAGTCTCTACTCACTGCAACCTCCGCCTCCCGGGTTCAAGCAATTCTACCTCAGCCTCCCGAGTAGCTGGAACTACAGGCACACGCCACCATACCCAGCTAATTTTTTTGTATTTTAGTAAAGACAGGGTTTCACCGTGTTGCCAGGGCTGGTCTTGAACTCCTGAACTCAGGCAATCCGCCTGCCTTGGCCTCCCAAAGTGCTAGGATTACAGGTGTGAGCCACTGTGCCCAGTAATAATAATATTTTTAAGACAGGATCTCACTCTCCTGCCCAGGCTGGAGTTCAGTGGCACAAACACGGATCACTGCAGCCTCCACCTCCTGGGCTCAAGTGATCCTCCTGCCTCAGCTTCCTGAGTAGGTGGGACTATAGGCACATGCCACCATGCCTGGCTAATTATTTTTACTAGAGACCAAGTCTCACTATGTTGCCTAGGCTGGTCTCCAACTCCTGGGCTCAAAAGATCCTCCTGCCTCAGCCTCCCCAAGTGCTGGGATTACAGATGTGAACCACTGCACCCTGACTACTTTATTTTTTTATTTCAATTTTTTTTTAGCTTGTCTTACTTTTTAATTGTTTACATATCTCTAAAAGTTTCAAGTAATCAATGTATAGTGTAGTCTACTTGTCAATACCACCACCTAGTGGCCAAAAGCCTACAAAACCTTCAGAACTAATAATTTATCAGCTGTTGAAGCCATGTGGTTAAAAAACAAAAAGGTATTTTTACAATTGTGTGGTTCAAGCAGTACTGAAAATCCACATGGAAGCTGCATAGCAAAGTTTCTGACAGCATGTGTAACTGGACCCCTACAAACTATAATGGGATAACATTATATAATTTGATTTATTTTCCTTTGTCTTATCAAAAGCATATGCCTTAAAGCCATGATGTTCTTTAGCTCTTTGACCAAAAGTGAATCTGAAGGAGCTTTTTCAAGGGGCAAGAACCTTCTTGGTGAGACTGGGGCTGTGTGAATTTGGATACAGCCCAAGGGAAGTCTATAACCACTATTACACAACCTCTGCAAATTAGGTGGATCTGGAGAAGTACCACAGGAAGCCTCACAAAACCACGTGGAATAACAATAAACTTTATCTGCTGGATCACTCCTTGTCTTTGGGGCCCTCCCATCCACAGGGAGAGAAGGTCCCTTCACCTTAGCAACTTGTCAACCACATTAAACTGTGGCTTTCCCAGGTAGAGGGAAATGGTTGAGAAGCAAAGCTAAATGAGACAAAATGTCCTTAGTCATTAGATAGACCTACTTGATCAACACCAGTAACTCTTTAAAATTAGTGCTTACTTTACACAAAATATAGATCTATGACCAAGATGGAGAAACAGGAAACCAAAAACACTGTAAAACAACAACAAAAACAGTAACAATAAAAAGCAAACCTCATGAAACAATAGTTTTCAAGACAACAACAAAAGCCATCTCTCTCTGAGATGGGAAACAAACATGGTAAACCCCTACCAGTAGACCAGCTTACTACCTTGAGATCTTTCAGGCCACAGCACAGGGAAGGGGAAAAAGTAAGGTAGAGCCCAGCAGACTCCCTGAGTTGAAGAGACACAACTCAGAGTCTGGAGAGACCCAAGTGGCTAGAGTTCATACGCTAGAATATCAGAGAGAGAGCTGCAGAGGGCCACCTTGCAGTATTAGGTAGATCAGTGCATTTGTGTGAGGAAACTATCCAATGCTAGGGAAAGAACCATCTAAAAAGATTAGAGAAAACAGTGCCCAGTGCTCACATGCTGGCTGGAAACAATACCTGTTCCACAAACTAGAAAAACTCATCATTCTCAAGGCTGTAGGTCGGGACCTGAGGAAGGCTTTGCCTCAGTGAGGAATAAATAGTACTAGACTGAGCACTGCTACAGACCTGCTTAACAAATCACATAAGCAAGACCTCAAAGGATCAAAGCGATATCAATAGCTGTGTGCAAACCCACAACACCCAACAAGGTAAAATTCACAATGTCTGGCACCCAAAGCTAGGTCATGTAGAGTCAAGAAACCATAACCCATAATGAAGAGACCAATCAAAACTAACCCATAACTAACAGACATGTTAACATCAGGAGAAAAAGACACAACTGTTTTTAAACAGTTATTAAAACTGTTTAAAGGGTCAAGAGGGAACTTTTAGGATCTTACCTTAAAGAAAGAATGAATAGCAGCTGTCGCTTCACTGCGAATCCTCAATATAGAACCCAGAACGTTAGTCCTACACCTAAAGTGAGGATATTGTCGCAGATACTCCAGAGGATGCCTCTCTTTATATTTGATGGGGAAATCCTGCCAATAAATGAAAAGAACAAATTAGAAGTCAAAAGAGATACTGTTTAATAAAATCAGTTTCCAGGGTATTTCTTAAATAGCGCTTTGGAACCAAACTAAGATCCTTTCCTTCTTTATTTCTTAATATAACTGATTTTAATCCACATTATTTCCACCAGGTAAGTGGAATGGTAGGACGGAATCAGAGACATGTAGGTTTGAATCTAGCTCAACTACTTATTAGCCAAGTAACTGAGCTAATATCACTGAAGCTCATCTGTTATTTATCAAGTTTGTATCCATTAGCTGTGAACCACTTCCTACAAATAGGTTAGGATTAATTATGCAAAATATCCACTGTTTGGCACACAGGAGTTCAAAATATTGTAGATATTAAAGATGTACACACAAGGCTGGTGTTCAATTTTAAAATTACCTATATGTCTTGAAAGCCCATATCATTCATAATCAATTGGTGCAATTCATTACTATTATCAACGTGCTACTTCCATCTAGCAGAGTAGTAAAGATTTACAAAAAATTTGAAAGAAAATTATGGCTCCACATTGAAATATGTCTACACTGCTCACATTCATGTTACAAGATTAAGACAGACACATCCTTTCAGACAAAAATCAAAGTTTTAATTAAAAAGATAACAGAGAAGCTAAAAAAGAGCTACACTGGCAGCCTGTTTCTTTCAGTCTCATCCATTCTAAGTCTTGTACAAATACAAACTTTTATGTCGTATAGAAACAAGCACTATACTTACTAAAAGTGAAAATGTGACCATATCATAATTCTAGGGGTCAGAATTCCCTAATGTTGGAATACTTCAAAATGATACTGAATCAGAGGGCTTCAGGGAAGATGAAGCCATCAACACCAACAGAAGCCAAGGAAGAACAATTTAAGAATATAGTAGTCCCCCACTTACCCACAGGGGATATGTTCCAAGACCCCCAGTGGACGCCTAAAACCACGGACAGTATCAAACCATATAAACATTATGTTTTTTCTTCCACAACAATGGCCAGGTAGTGTATAAAGTACAGATAAGCAGGACAAAAGGATGATTCACATTCTAGGCAGGATGGAGCAGGACGGCTCAAGATTCCATGACACAATGAGAATGGCATGCAATTTAAAATTTAAGAATTATTTCTAGAATTTTCCATGTAGTATTTTGAGACCATAGTTCACCGTGGGCAACAAACCGTGAAAAGCAAAACCACAGACAAGGTTGAACTACTACAGTGAAACACACGGCAAATTTTTAGTAATCACAGATCCCTCTAAAAAAAACAAAAAGAAAAATGGTTACCGTCTATATTACGCTCTTGATTTCCAAATTATTCTACACTCTATTTCTCAGAAATCTTAGAACCTGATTTCTGATTTTACATCAATTAGAATTTCTTGGAAATTAAGGATGACATTTTAATAAAAATTGCATTTTCTTCTTTTATTTCCTTACATTTCTTCCTATTATACTGAAAGAATACACAATGAATTAAAATGATGCAATTTTCCTATATTTCCTCATTTTTGTTCATTAAATATTTGAAGACAGGTGTAGCAAAAACACAGAGGATTCAAATGGCTAGAATATAAATTTCAGCTGTGCCACATCAGCTCATAATGTTAAGCAAATCACTTCATCTGGCTGGGCCTCATTTTCTCCACTGTAAATTTAAAGAATTTCATTAATAATCTTTTATTCTCTCTAACCTCTTTATCAAGCTTATATATATGAAGCTAACAGAAGAGTCTTGCAAAAACAGGCATAAACATGTCTTAATACAGAATTTCTTGCCTCTATTCGGCCTAAGCCTTACAATACTACTGATCGGCATCACCCAACAGAACTTTCTGTGATAAATGGAAATATTCTGTGCTATCCAATATAGTAGCCAGTAGCCACATGCAACTACTGAGCACTTGAAATGTGGGTAATGCCACTGAGGAACTGGATTTTTTTAATGAATTTTAATGGATTTAATACCAAACAGCCAAAGGTGGCTAGAGCCTACCATTATTGGATGATCGGTTCTACATCATGCAAAAGTCATTCTTGGCTTTCCTAAGAATGAGCCCACCCTGGTATATCATGGTGGCTGACTGGGCATGCTTGTAAAAGCAGCAAGTTTTAACTGTGACACACACCACAGAGATGCAAAAATCAACACTTACCTCTCACTAAGCTATGTACATAAATAATTTTTGCTACTGCCTCTACAGGTCATATGGCTTGTTTCAATTATCTGTCACAAATGAAATATATTCTAAGTTTCATCTTCCTAATAATCACACTTAAAACAGATTGCTGTCTTAATTAAAGCCTAAACAGCCTCCACAAAAGTGTCAGAAATCATACCTTGGCATCACAATTTCCAATAACTTTAATTTTTTCTGCCTTCAGTTCCACATTTTGCCTTTTGGATGGACTTTTTATCAGCTGCCCTTGTACTTCCACAGAACTCCCAAAATTTAATTCTCTATAGTAACAAAAAACAAGATAAACAAGATATCATTATATACAACCTTCATTTTAATATCAACTTTGCAATAAGAATATTAAAATACTTAATGACAAAAGCTTTTACCCTTATTGGGTTAAATAATCTTCAGAATCTATGGATAATCTGTCGTATAAATAGAGCATAAAGTTATAAAATGAATTCCATAAGCTTTAAAATGGGAATAGAGTTAAGAATTTGTATAATTAATTCAGAATTAAGAGGTTGTACAATTGCCCTTATTAAAAAGTTAGTTGGCCAAAACACTTTTTAAAAGATTACAGAATACATGGGAAAACTGCAAATCAAAATAAAATTTGCCGGGAATTCTCTGTCCTATTTTTGCAATTAAAAAAAAATTTTTTTTTACTTAGTTGACTGGTGATCTAAGCACATAAGGTGCTACTTTCTAGTTAATAAGACTAGGTTCGAGTTCAAGTTCTCCCATAGATTAACTGTATGACAACTATGGAAAGTCATCTAAGCTCATTTAAGAATCATCTATCAAAAAAGGAGCTGGTAAATGATAGTACATCTGTTCTAATTCTTTTTTCTTTTCTTTAAAGAGACCAGGTCTCACCATGCTGTCAAGGCTGGTCTCGAACACCTGGGCTCAAGCAATCCTCCTGCCTTGGCCTCCCAAAGTGCTGGGATTAGAGGCATGAGCCACCACGCCCAGCCCATCTGTTCTAGTTCTAACATTTCATAATTACAGTAAGTATGACAATAAGTGCCTTCCTAATAAACTATTGAAATATTGTAATATAGCAATACAATAAATTTTATTGAAGTAAATAAGTCAGGAGATTCTCCATCCAGTTTTGTTTGCTTGCTAAATATATGCTATTCTTATATAATTTATATAAATAAGATTGTCCACTATTGCATTATGGGTGGGGAAATCTGGTATACTTTCATCAACCTGAGAGGGTAATTTGAGATGCTCTGACTTAAAATATGTACTACCTGACATATATGAATATAAGTATATCCTAAGGTTTCCTGGGAATATCTCAAAGAGACAGTCATCCTACAGAAATCTAAAATCTAGGTCCCATTAGACCCATGTGATTGCTATACTGATATAATCAAAACAATTACAAAGTTGTTTAAAAGGTTACCATTAATATTAGGGCCAGGTGTGGTGGCTCATGCCTGTAATCCCAGCACCTTGGGAGGCTGAGGCAGGCAGATCACTTGAGGTCAGGAGTTCGAGACCAGCCTGGCCAACATGGTAAAATTCTGTCTCTACTAAAAATACAAAAAATTAGTCCAGTGTGGTGTCGCACACCTGTAATCCCAACTACTTGGGAGACTGAGGCACGAGAATTGCCCGAACTCATGAGGCAGAGGTTGCAGTGAACCGAGATCATGCCACTACATTCCAGCCTGAGCGACAGAGTCAGACTCTCTCCAGGAAAAAAAAAAGTTACTATTACATCAGAACAATTTTTTTTTGTTCTGCCCAGTTAACCACATAGTCTCTGATCCATGAACCTATTCAATGTGTAAACAGCATTAACCCTAACAATCCCCGGAATAGCAAAGCACTCTAACAAATTAGAATAATGTTCTCTTCCTCAGAGCTGATACCTAACATTAAAATGGTGTTAGTTTTTGGTTTGGGGGGTTTTTTGGAGACAGGGCTCTATCACACAGGCTGGACTGCAGTGGCAAGATCTTGGCTCACCACAGCCTTGACCTCCAGGGCTCAAGAGATGCTCTAGCCTCAACCGCCCGAGTAGTGGAGATTATTGGTGCACATCACCATGACAAACTCATTTTTATATTTTTGGTAGAGACGGGGTTTTAATATATCTAGACTGGTCTTAACTTGACTCAAGTGATCCGTCTGTCTCGGCCTCCCAAAGTGCTAGGACTACAGGCGTGAGCCACCACGCCTGACCTAGTGTTAGTTTTAAAACCTGATGAATGAGACCATAAAGTTTCTTCCATTTATTCAACAGGCAATAATTTGTCATATTGTCAGCACTATGCTAGAGGCCAAGAATACAAAAAAGAGTGAGATGCCATTCCTAACCTCAGGAAATTAAGAGTCTAGCAGGAGGATTCAAATAGGAATACAGTTGATTACCATTCAATGTGATACATTTTAAGACAGATGTAGGCACGGGACACTATGGGAGCACAAAAAAGGGGTACCTGACATAATCATGGGATGGGAACATCAGATGATGCCTAACTAAGCAGGAACTATGAAAGACAAGAGGAGAAGAGGCTGTATTGGGCAGAGGCAGCAACATGTACAAATGCTATTAGGAAAGAGCAGAACAGCTTAAGGGAGCCGCAGGTAATTAAGAAAGACTGAAGTGAAGCATAAGTAGGGGATATCAGCATGTGACAATGTCAAATAGAGGAGGAAAGGCCTGAGCTTGAAGGATCTTGATTCCAAATATTCGGAGTTGATCCTCAAAGCTATTAAAGCAGATCTGTTTCAAAAGATTACTCAGGGGTCCAACGTAAACACTGGAGTAGGGAAGTGAGAAGCACTAGAGGTGAAAAACAAAAATCAAAGAATTCTTTTAAAAAACAAAACTCACCTACTGTCAAGGCCTGAATCTGCAACAACCTGAAGGCTTTCCAAAGATGACCCATCATTTACATGCAGGAACAAGACTTCCTTCTGGGATCGGACAGAACGAATCCATCCCTAAGGAAGAGAAATATTTCCAATGTGAGCGTAAAACATTTTACGTTTTCATTACACATACACACACAGACTAAATGAAAGTAAAACATGTACTCACAATCCTGCCTCAACAAATCAACTTCTTTTAGTTCACCAATATGCATACTTAATTTTATATGTTCCAATCACAATAGGATACACACTTTGGTATTCTATCTTTTGTTTTCGTAATAATGCACAACATTTCGAATGGATGCCTAACATTCCTTCATGTTGATGAGCCTAATTCATATAATCAATCCTCCCAATATTGGCAATTCCAGGTATTTCCTCCCAGAGCCCTGCCCTCTGGCCCAACAATAAATAACAGGGCACATATCTTGGTGCCTTTCTCAGGATGTGGGGTGCGCCCTTCTTTCTGGTTTCATCTCACTGCGCTGCCCAGAAGGCATCTCCTCTTTGGTGATTCTAAATCAACAGTAATTTCCAGGTTGGGCACAGAAATCTCAGCACTTTGGGAGGCCGAGAAGGACGGATCACTTGAGGTCGGGAGTTTGAGACCAGCCTGGCCAACATGGTGAAACCCTGTCTCTACCGAAAATACAAAAATTAGCCGGGAGTGTTGGCGCTCGTTTGTAGTCCCAGTTACTGGGGAGGCTGAGGCAGGAGAATCGCTTGAACCCACGAGGCGGAGGTTGCAGTGAGCCAAGATCGCGCCAGTGCACTCCAGCCTGGGTGACAGAGCAAGACTCCATCTCAAAAAAACAAAAAAACACAAAAACTAATTTCCAAACGACTACTTTCTTACTTTCACTTGTTAAAGTTAACATTTATTGAGCACTTTGTAATGTGCTTCTATTCTAACCTCTTTATAAATATTATGCTACTTAATCATCAGAAAAACTTAACGAAGTGGTTATCATTTTAGAGCTGATGAAACATTATTTAGAGATGTCACGATAACCTCTCTAAATAGTCCAGGACATAGTCACCGATTAGTAGAGTTGAGATTCAAAAGGAATTTCTTACTTCAAAGTTCATGTTCTTATCAACGAGCTTTTCTGGGATGCTATTATAATTCTGCCCCATCCCCAGCTCCTCTGCCTAGGGAACACATCTTTCAGGACTTGGCTGAAATATCACCTCATGCAAGATATCTTCCTTAACCTTCTCAGTTACGTAACTTCCTGTTTTCTTATAGTTCTTTACTTACCTTACTACCAACTATCCTATTGCTAAAATTATTTGTTTTAACCATTGGAGCAGGGCTGTCCAACAGAAACATAATGTGAGTCACATGTTTAATTTAAAATTTCTTTTTGTGGCCACGTTAAACATAAAAATAGATGAAATATTTCACTTTAACCTATTATGCCCCAAATATTATCAACATATAATCAATATAAAAACATATTGAGATATTTTGCATTCTTTTTGGTTCTTCAAAATTGGTATGTATTTTACACTTATAGCACATCTCAATTTGGACCAGACAAAGTTCAAGTGCTCAGAGCCAAAAGTGGCTGGTAGCTACCATATCAGACCTCACAGGACTAAACTGAAATCCTCTAACCTGGGCAGCAGGTTCTCTTTTCATCTTTGAATTTTCTCTTGACTAGCACACAAAGTATCATTAATGTATACCCAATCAATAGACCAACAGACCTATGGAAAGAATATGGAACTCAAAGAGGAGCAGATTGGTCATACCGCTAAAAAGTAAAGGATATGTGAGGACAACAGAAATCACTGCAACGGCAAGCCATGACTGTGTCAGTACAATCATGGGTGACAAAGCAAGAACCTACTCAAAAAATAAGTATTTATTATAACAACATCTACCAGGCTTATGCCTGTAATCCCAGCATTTTGGGATGCCGAAGGAGGAGGACTGCTTGAGTCCAGGAGTTTGAGACCAGCCTGGGCAATACAGTGAGACTCATCTTCACAAAAAACTTAAAAAATTATAGAGTGTGGTGGTGCATGCCTATAGTTTCAGCTACTCTGGAGGCCGAGGCAGGAGGATTGCTTGAGCCTGGGAGATGGAGGTTGTAGTCATCTGAGATCACATCACTGCGCTCCAGTCTGGGTGACAGAGCTAGACCCTGTCTCAAAAAATAAATAACCACATCAGTGTACTTCAGCAACCTAATAAGAAACAGTCAAACACCTTGTTTATTCTGCACCTCTTCTATGTGGAGCTGCTGCAAATAATATAATCAGCAAGAGAAACAATAGCAGCTAACATTTGTAGACTATGAGCCACTGTTCTAAATATCTTACTTCCATTACCTCATTTAATTTTCAGGACTCAGGGACAATTATTATCTCTTTCCATAAGAGGAAAATAAGGTGTAGAACGCATAAACGCTATGCAGAGATTTAAACCTAAGCAGCTTAACTCCAGAGCTCTTTCAAACTGCTACATTCCAGTCTTTCTCCGAATTCATTAAAAATAAATTACATGCAGACCCCCACAATAGGCACTGAGGTCGCTAAAAGTTTAAAAGGCATGGTTTGAACAAGTATTTGCTGTCAGCCATGTGTGAATACAAAGGCAGGTAAGACACGGTTTCTGCTCTCAAGGAGGGAGGTCAAGACAACCACTTTATAAACCTGGATATTCATTATAAGGGATAAAGATAGAGAAAGGGGGCTTGTTCATTTACACTTTTGGTATGATTAACAAGTTTACAGGTAATACCCTGGAATCATGAAAGCAAAGTTCCAGCGCTTTACAGTTATCGGAACAGTTTTGTGAAAAGTAATGGAAATCAGAAAAGTGCAAACCCGCGACGCCTACACTTTCTAACTTTTCCCTGCTGGCGGTTGTGTCTGACCCGACTGTAAAAGAAAAGCTAGATGTGGATGTGCCATATAAAAGTCCCTACAAGAAAAAACCCACTCCCTTCCCATTCACCAACCTGGATCTTAATGCGCTCCCCACTCGCGTTCTGAGCCCCGAGAGCGTCCCGCACGCTCAGTTTGGCTGAAGGTTTGTGCTTGGGGAAGGGGGCGGAGGAACAGAAGCGCACGGACCGCAGCAGGCAGCGGACCCCCAGCATCCCGCGTCCGCCCAGGCCCTCCGCGGGAGCAGCCCAGACCCCACGGTTCGAACCCCGCCTGCAGCGGCCCTCCTTTCTCAGCTGCTCCCCTTCCGCGGCCGCAGCTCTGCTCTAAGGCACTCCAGAGCCCCTCGGCTGCGCGCTTTCTCCTTCAGGACTCCCAGCTCTGTCCCCACAGAACCTCTCCGCTTCCCACTTCCCAACGGGGCGGAATGGACAGGACACTAGGCAAACGCCAGAAAGAAACCACGTGCAGTTGGCAGCTGGGGCGCCCCACTACCCGCGACAATTGTAAACCTACGAACAGAACCCGGGCCGCAACACGCGCAACCACTCCTACCACACCACGCCAACGCCGCTTACGTCATCACGCTACGGGGAAGAAGGGAGAGCATGCGTACTTGTGACCCAGGCTTAGGGAGGCGTGCGGGAGGGGGCGGGGTCAGGAGCCGAGACGGGGCGGAGCTAATGCCCTAAGGTTGTAGAGATTATCGCTGAAAGAACGTGGGAGCACATCTGAGGGTCTTCATTTCTAAAGTTTCCAGGTGAGGCTGAGAAACTGAGAGGCAAGGAGTGACTGATGGAGAGGGAAACCGTCTCCATCAGTCAACAATAGGGATCCAAGTAAGAGGAGGCTCTTAGCTGTTAACAGGATTCGCTTGAAGAGATCAGTCGTTCCTTTCCTGAGTACTCCGCAGAGAAAAATCAGACATAGCCCCAATGCGCAAGTCACAGTTGTGTGGTATCAGACAGCTAAACAGACAGTTGCATAAAAGGGCGATCAGTTTGCCTGACAGAGCCTAAGCGTGGGACGCCAGAGATGGCTTCCTGGAGAAAGTAGTCCTCTGACAGGTAAATAAAAGGAACTGGAGGGACCTTGCATATGGCAGGCAAGACGGTGGGAAGATGTTGCAGAGACTGGAGGAAACTCGAGTGTTTCCTGCCAGAATCCTCCAAGTCTCCCTCTTCCCTCTGCCCTCCAACACAGCTATCTGCATTTGTTTGACCTGGAAACAATGACCCTTTTATATATTAGGCTACGTTTTATTAAAAAAAAAATTCTGTAACTCAATGACGGTCATTAAAAGGTTTTTAATCTAATTTAAAAAGTAAAACGTTTGGCCAAGTGCGGTGGCTCACGCCTGTAATCCCAACTCTTAGGGAGGCAGAAGCAGGAGGATTGCTTCAGCCCAGGAGTTCAAGACCAGCGCTCGCCCTCGCTGTCTCTCTCCCGCTCCCTCTCACTCTCACTCTCTCTCTCTCACTTTTACCTTACTTAAAGTTGCTACTATTATTATACCCATTTTACAAATGAGAGAACTTACGCACAGAAAGGCTAGATGACCTACTTAAGGATACACATTCCCTAAGTGTGAGATTTAAACCCAGAAGTGCTGGCTCTATGCACTTAAGCAGTATGCTGTATTACATAGTGTCCCAAGGTGATCTGTTCCATCAAGGAGCTCATGCTTTAGAGATGGAGACAAGCAAGAAAAGAGACTACTGAAATATAAACCAGTAAGTGCACACATAGATGTATGAGTTGTCTGCATTTGTTTGGACTGAAAAGTCACCCTTATATATTAGGCTACCTCTTAAATTTATCCAAAAAATTATTTTTGATATTTTATCCAAATATTATATTGGATAAAATATAATACAATTATAATATATACATGTATCACAATTTTATATTTTATATAATATAAATGTGTTCCCTGGTTCTTTTAATAAATTAAAATTATAAATATAATAAAATTATAATTATAAATTATAATATATAATTAAATTATATTGGATATATTATATATTATATACTTATAATATAAAATATGTTGGATAAAATATAATATAGTCTAGAGAAGGAGAAAATTAAGCTGAATTTTTGAAGTGGATCAATATTTTGCCAGGTAGGCATGTAAGAAAATTTCCTGCCAGAAGGTGAACACGGAAGGTTGCCAGGAGGGCAAATGGCCTGGAAAAATTGTAAAATCATTCTTAAGACAGGCTAGAAAATATCTCATCTGAAAATACTTGATGTTGGAGGTGGAACCTAGTGAGAAGTGTTTGGATCATGAAGGCCTTGGTGCCACCCTTGCAGGAGTGAATTCTCAGTCCATTAGTTTTTGCAAAGCTGATTGTTGAAAAGAGCCTGGCACCCCCCTCCCTCTCTCTTCCTTCCTCTTTTGCCATGTGATGTTTGCTCCCCTTTGCCTTCCTGAATGGCTGAATGACAACAAACCTTGACATTATTTACTTTGAGTGGAAGCAGATTCTGGTGCGATGCTTCTTGCACAGCCTGCAGAACTGTGCAAATAAATGAATACACTTCTTATCGATCAAAAAAAATATATAGGCCAGGCGCAGTGGCTCACGCCTGTAATCCTAGCACTTTGGGAGGCCAAGGTGGGCAGACTGCCTGAGCTCAGCCTGGGCAACATGGTGAAACCCTATCTCTACTAAAATATAAAAAATTAGCTGGATGTGGCAGCATGTGCCTGTAGTCCCAGCTACTCGGGAGGCTGACGCAGGAGAATTGCCTGAACCTGGGAGGCAGAGGTTGCGGTAAGCTGAGATCACGTCACTGCACTCCAGCCTCAGCAACTGAGTGAGACTCTGTCTCAAAAAAAAAAAGAAAAAGAAAAGAAAAGAAAAGAAAAAAATACTTGGGCACTTCTTGAACCTTGAGAAAGGAAAAATGGAAACTTGCAGCCAATGCCTTCAGAATTATGCAGCTATGGACTTTTAAGGGAAAAAAAGTTCGCTCGTTCAAAATCTGGGGAACAAGACAGTCTGGGGTACATAACAATGATGTTTATCCCAGTGAAAATCTTTTCTTTGCCTATGCCTACCCTGTCCAAGTGATCAAAAGTAGTAACCAGTTGGCTCATTTCTTACTCATGCCATTTTTCTGTCTTGCCTTCTGCTATGGCTTGGATATGATTTGTTTGTCCCCACAAAAACTCATGTTGAAATTTAATCCCTGATGTGGTGGTGTTGGGAGATGAGGCCTAATGGAAGTGGTCTGGTGTATGGGAGCAGATCCCTCATGAGTGGCTTGGTGCTGTTTCCGTGGACTGCATGAGTTCTTGCAAGAATGGGCTTGTTTCCACCACAGTAGGTTGTTATAAGGCCAGGATGCCCCTCAGGGGTTCCCCTTTTTGCACATGTCCACTTCCCCTTTGACCTTCTTCACCACGTTGTGATGCAGCACGAAAGCCCTCACCAGAAGCCAGGGCCATGCCCTTGAACTTCTCATCGTGTAGAACCATGAGCTAAATAAACCTCTTTTCTTTATAAATTGCCCAGTGTCAGGTATTCCTTTACAGCAACATAAAATGGGCTAAGGCACCTTCTTTCTCTCCCAACTCCCCTACTCCAGGGAACAATGTGCAGCTTAAGAACTGGAGTCTGAGTCCCAGGGAGTGAGGCTCCTGCCTTCCTTTACCCTCTCACTACTTGTTTAAGCCAAAAGGTTAATTATGTTCTTAGCAGGGGACCACTGCCCCAGTATGTTGAAGACAAGAGAAAAAGTTTACTATACAACTTACGCTTCTGGTGCTCAGTTCAAACCATCCCCTGTATCTTGTGCTATATCAAATCACATCATCTTCTTGTTTATTTTTGTTTTCAGTGTTGGCTTGACACCTTCCCTTTTAGATTCATCACCTTCCAGACAGGAGTGCAAATGATGTTTTTAATATGAATATATAGTTGACCCTTGAACAACATGGGTTTCAGTTGTGCCGGTCCACTTGTATGTGAATTTTTTTCAATAAATATATTGGAAAATTTCTTGGAGATTTGTGACAATTTCAGAAAACTTACTAATGACCTGTGTAGCCTAGAAATATCAAAGCATTTAATAAAAAGGTCATGAATTCACAAGATACATGTAGTTACTAGTCTATTTTATCATTTACTATCATAAAATATACATAAGTCTATGACAAAAAGTTAAAATTGGCTGGGCGCAGTGGCTCATGCCTGTAATCCCAGCACTTTGGGAGGCCGAGGCATGCAGATCACTTGAGGCCAGGAGTTCAAGACCAGCCTGGCCAACATGGCGAAACCCCATCTCTACTAAAAATACAAAAATTAGACAGGCATCGGCCAGATGCGGTGGCTCATGCCTGTAATCCCAGAACTTTGGGAGGCTGAAGTGGGTGGATCACCTGAGGTCAGGAGTTCGAGACCAGACTGGCCAACATGGTGAAATCCCGTCTCTACTAAAAATACAAAAACCAGCCAGGTGTGGTTGCAGGTGCCTGTAATCCCAGCTACTGGGGAGGCTGAGGCAGGAGAATTGCTTGAACCTGGGAGGCAGAGGTTGCAATGAGCTGAGATCAAACCACTGCCCTCCAGCCTGGGCGACAGAGCAAGACTCCATCTCAAAAAAAAAAAAAAAAAAAAAAAAAAAGAAAAACGAAAAAAAATTAACCAGGCGTGGTGGCACATGCCTGTAATCCCAGCTACTCAGGAGGCTGAGGCAGGACAATTGCTTGAACCTGGGAGGCGGAGGTTGCATTATGTCACTGCACTCCAGCCTGAGCGATGGAGTGAGACTCTGTCTCAAACAAAACAAAACAAAACAAAACACCCACGGACCTTGCATGGTGCTATTCATAGTTGAGAGAAATTGCTATAAGACATGCAACCTTAAGCTTTAACAAATAGGGCCAAATTTTTTCCAAAGTGTCACCAGTGTGACCAGCCATATATGAGAGTTTCAGTCGCTTTACATTCTTGTCAACACTTGATCTTTTTTTAATGTGGAACACTTCATAAATATATGTGTCATCCTTGAACGGGCCACGCTAATCTCTGTAACCTTTCAATTTTAGTATATATGCTGTTTAAATGAGAATAATACTTGGTCTTAATCAAACTTGCTCTAGCAGCCGTATTGGTGGGGAAGTGGTTGTATCCACTGCTGTTTTAATTTGCATTCCCCTGATTATTATTTTTGTTTGGCAGCTTTTCAGTGTTTATTTTCATTGGACTTTCTTCTTGGTAAATTGACTGTTTACATCTTTTGCCCATTTTTCTATTGAAAAATGAGTAGTCTTATTTTTCCTAAAGACTACTTTTATTGAGTAGTCTTTTTTCTTATTAATCTATATAAGTTCTTTTGTCCATGTTTTAGTTACGAGTTCTTCTCAGTTACATGCATTGCAATATTCAACCACTCTGTGGGTTGTCTTTTCTATGGTGTATTGTGAGAAAATGGCTGAATGACAGCAAATCTTGAAAATATTCGATCCTTTTCTTAAGAAAGAGTGAATAGTTCTTGAAGAAAATTATTAAGACATTCAAGCATTAGTCTTTATATTTCTTCTGGCAATGTAAGACCAGTGCTTTTGCCATGTCTCCTGTTATTCTTTAGAAAATGGTTTCTTTTCCTAATTTATATTTCCTTACATTTTTTTGTTCTTGTTGCACGGTTAATGACCTTCTCCACAATTTTTATGTGGTGATCTTCAAGGAACAATTTTAAAGTTTAGAATTCCACTGTACATTGTTGGAGACTGATTCTGGCTGTTTGCAAATATTTTTGTATATGATTAACCTCTAGTTTACACCGGAAAACAAGATAACTCAAAAAAGAAAAATCATATATTTTCTTTTGAATTACACAAAACTTCAAAGGTTGAGATTCGCGTTTTAAAATTTCTCTTTATTGCTGCTGGGTGCCATGGCTCACGCCTGTAATCCCAGCACTTTGGGAGGCTGAGGCAAATGGATTGCTTGAGGTCAGGAGTTTGAGAGCAGACTGGGCAACATGGCAAAACCCCATCTCCACCAAAAATACAAAAAATTATCCAAGTGTGGTGGTGTACACCTGTGGTCCCAGCTACTCAGGAGGCTGAGGTAAGAGGATCACCTGAGTCCAGGAAACGGAGGTTGCAGTCCATGAGCTATCGCACCACTACACTCCCACCTGGGTGTGGTTGACAGAGTAAGACCTGTCTCAAAAAATAAAATAAAATAAAATTTATCTTTATTGCATACACAGTGTATTAATCCATTTTCATGCTGCTGATAAAGACATACCCAAAACTGAGTGATTTATAAAGAAGAGGTGGGTTTTTTTGTTTGTTTGTTTGCTTTTTGTTTTTGTTTTTCTTTTTTGAGATGGAGTCTCGCTCTGTCACCCAGGCTGGAGTGCCGAGGCAAAATCTCAGCTCACTGCAACCTCCACCTCCCAGGTTCATGTGATTCTCCTGCCTCACCCTCCTGGGTAGCTGAGATTACAGGCATGCACCACCATGCCTGGCTAATTTTTGTATATATGTATTTTTAAATAGAAATGGGGCAGCACCATGTTGGCCAGGCTGGTCTCAAACTCCTGACCTCAAGTGATCTGCCCGCCTCAGCCTCCCAAAATGCTGGGATTTACAGGCATGAGCCACTGTGCCCAGCAACGAAAAGGAGGTTTAATGGACTCACAGTTCCACGTGGCTGGGGAGGCCTCACAATCATGGCAGAAGGCAAAAGGCGTGTCTTACATGGTGGCAGACAAGAGAGAGAACTTGTGCAGGGGAACTCCCGTTTATAAAACCATCAGATCTTGTGAGACTTATTCACTGCCATGAGAACAGCATGGGAAAGACCTGCCCCCATAATTCAATTACCTCCCACCGGGTCCATCCCATGACATATGAGAATTGTGGGGAGCTACAATTCAAGATGAGATTTGGGTGGAGACACAGCCAAACTATATCATGCAACTTCATAATGAGCACTCTGTCTTATCCTTTTACTATTACATCTATATTATCCAGCATTTTCTATTAATGAGACAGAAAAGAATGGACAATTGTTTCCAGTTTCCAAAAATGTTATAAGTGAAGAAAAACTGCTTCTGAAACAGTAAACTCTACAAACGATCAGATTATTTTTTAGGGGGTAGTACTTTATAACTAATATAGTTTAAGTTTACAACTGTGAACAAAAACTTGATCGACCTTTGGTCAGTATTATTATTGTATTAAAATTTTCTACAAATTAAACATTTTTAAAAAGGAAAAAAATGTCTACAGTCCCACATCCCTTTATTGCCTGCACCGTGGGCAGATTACTCTCACTGCCCCACTCTTGGTATGTCTCTGCTGGCAAGTATGATATTTTCTGTAAACTTTTGGCAAATACTTTGTCACCTAAGAAAGTTCCCTGCTGTTCCTGAGGGATTACTACTCACCCAGTATATGGTCAGCTCTAACTACATAATGTCATGAGGAATGAAGGATATATTTGGAAAAGAATGTAGTGTGATTAACAATCTGTAAATTCTAAACTTGAGAAAGTTTTATTCCTATGGCAAAGAATCTGGAAAAGATGTTTTCCTGAAATCCGTGCAGCCATCAGCATTCACCATTGGTCTAAAACTAACAGACAATCCTATAAGCACTTAAAGACACAGAAAGGAGATGAATTTATGCACTGGTTTTTCAAGCAGGAAGATAATTAACGATGACTCTGTACATTTGTTTAAACTTCTTTCAGAAGAGGCTTGTGAAAGGTATATTAGAACGACAATGGCAAGCTGATTCTACTTTTACCTGGATGTTTCCATTAATAGGTGTATTCCTTTAGCAGAACATTCTTGAATTCCACCAATCCCTGTGAACGATAGTAAAGAAGAGTCACAACATGCTTTCCCTGAAAATGGATTTATCCTACTCTTTTCAAGCTTTACTTTCAGACTCATGTGCATTGACAGACACTAAAAAGGTAAAATCTTTATTTTCAATGTATTAAACGATTTAACATTTCTTACTAGAGTATGATATACAGTATATCAGGAAAGAGTATGACATATATGCACTAATCGTAAATTATACAAAAGTCATTGATTCAACTCCCATTTTTGTAATATTCTAATGTTTACTAACTTGGGAGAAGCCCAACAAAATTATAAAGTTTAGTTTACTTTTCTTATTGACTGGTTATGGTAGCCAGCCTTTAAGATGGCCACAATGATTCTTGCTTCCTGGTATTCACACCCTTGCATAGTCTTCTGTGACATTAGTCATATAGGATTAGTTTATGTAACCAGAAGAATACAGCAGATACGCTGGTGTGTGACTTCTGAGGACAAGTCATAAAAGACATCACTCCTTCTGCTTTCCTTTCTTGGATCACCTGCTCTGGGGGTACTAAGTCCCATATTGTAAAGATAACTAACCCTAAGAAGATGTCAATGTGGCAAGAAACTGAGGCATCCTGCCAATAGTCAGGGCCACTTTGAGATATGTGCATAAATCATCTTAAAAGCAGGTCCTCTACCCCTGTCAAGCCTTTGGATTACTATAGCTCCAGCTGATCTTGACTGCAACCTCATGAGAGACCCCTAGCTAGAATCACCAAGCTAAGCCATCCCCAAACATCTGACCCACAGAAACTGTGAGAATAATAAATATTTACTATTGTATTAATGCATATGTTTTGGGATAATTTATTATACAGCAATAGCCGACTTACACACTAGATAAATGTATCTCTCTTCAGTTTAATGTGGAACATTGGCCCTCACTAATTTTCCCCTCTTTTCTCCCAGGATAAGACACACTATTGTTAATAACACTGGCTCATAGTGGTAGAAGGGGTGGGGAGTAGGGGGATAAATCTGAATTCCTTGAGATTCCTTCTAGAAAAGAAAAACACAATTTCTTAACACTCAGATACTCTTCCTTAGGGAATATAAGAATTTCCTCCTCATTCTCTGGGAATCAGTGATGTGAAATATTAACATACAGTTGAAAAACAGGTTTTCTCCTTAAAATCCAGTTTCATTGTAGATATTTCTGACAGTGTGAGTACATCTACTGCTGGCAGTGTAGGGCTTGGCTTTAAAACTGGACTTCTTTGAGAAAAGCAAGGGAGGCTTGTATCCCTTTCAAAAGAAGAAAAAAATGGTCTGTCACATAGTTATATTGGAAGAGAAGCCATTGAGATAAATGCTAAAGTTTGTACAAATATACTGCATTTGCTCATTGCTTCTTTCTATCCCTTGGTTTGAGTTCTACATTTTAGAATAATATAGAAAAACTTTTTATTAACTTTATAAGGACTCTGTGAGTATTTGAATTACTATGCCCTAAAGTTAAACATCTCTGTTTTATTATCCACTGTCCAGTTAGCATTGGAGCTCCCATCTGTGGCTGGAACCCTGTGTTTCCTGGAATCCTCTTCCATTTGTGATTCCAGATTGGTTTTCCAATAAGAGAAACTCATTAGTTTTTAAAGCAAAAGACATTCTCCTTAGAAGGTAGTGGTGGTTGGTCATGGCAACTTCCTCAGGCTCAGTAACTTTACAGGCATCTCCATTTTGTTTTTCTACTTTTGCAAATATATGTGACATGGTGAAAAAGTCTAATATTCACATAATTTGAGTTTCATAAGGAGAGTAAAGAGAGACATAATTAGAACAATACTTGAAGAGATCATAGCCACGAATTTTCAAAACTGGTAAAAGACATCAAACCACAGACTCAAGAAACTCTACAAACACAAGCAGGATAAAAAACAAAAAACAAAACACTCTATTCCTAGGCACATAGTAAAACTCCTGGAAACAAAAAGAAAAGAGAAAATCTTAAAAATAGTTTCACTAAATTCAAAGGAGTAATAAATAAGACAGACAGCTGACTTTTCAAAAGCAATTATGGAACCAAAAGACAATAGTGGTATCTTTAAAATTCTGAAAGAAAATATCTGCCAACCTAGACTTCTATACCTGAGAAATATCCCTCAGTAGTGAAGGTTAAATAAAAGAGGTTTCAGATAAACAAACGCTAAGACAGTTTATTATTAGTAGACCCACACTACAGAGGTCTTCAGGCAGAAGGCAAATAATCCCAGAGAAAAGTGTGAAAACTCATGAAGGAATAAAGAACAGTGGAGGGTAAAAGTGGGTAAATCTAAACAAATATTGACTGTATAGAACAATGATAACAATGTCTTGTGAGGCTAAAAATACATATAAAATTAAATATACAACCCCAATAGCACAAAAATCAGGAAAGAGGTAAATGAAATTAAAGCATTGTAAGATCCTTGCATTGGATGGGAAATAGAAAACTAGTTTAGAGTAGATTTTTATTATATCAAGAATGTACACTGTAATAATTACTATAAACAGAAGAATGGGTAATAAATTATGGTATATTTATGTAACTAGAATCAAAATGAGTAGAATACTGCTACACACACCAATAAGGATGACACTCAGCAGGCATGGTGGCTCAAACCTGTAATCTCAGCACTTTGGGAAGCCCATGTGGGCAGGTCACTTAAGCCTAGAAGTTTGAGATCAGCCTGGGCAAAATGGTGAAACCCTGTCTCGACAAAAAAAAAAATAATAATGATAAAATAAAATAAAATAGCTGGACATGGTGGCATGTGCCTGTAGTCCCAGCTATATGGGAGGCTGAGGCAGGAGGATGGACTAAGCCCAGGAGGTCAAGGCTGCAGTGAGCTGTGTGTGTGCCACTACACTCCAGCCTGTGTGAAAGAGCAGAGCTTGTCTCAAACACACACACACACACACTCTCTCTCTCTCTCAAAAAGGAAAAAAAAGGATGACGCTCATGAACATAAAGTTGAGAGGAAAAAAAGCCAGACACAAAAGAATACATATTGTATGATTCATTTATGTAAAGTATTCTAATGGAAAAACTAATCTATAGTGATAAAAGCCAGAAAAATACTTAACTTTAGGGAAAGAGTGGGAGGAATGAAAAGGGAGGCTTCTGGGTGATGGTAATTTCTACTTCTTGATCTGGAAGGGAGGTAGATATATGGGTGTATTCACTTTGTAAACTTCATTATTTCTATGCTTTTATGTATATAAACTGTATGTTAAACTTCAATTAAAAGTTTACTTTAAAAATACTATGTTCAGGCCAGGTGCAGTGGCTCATGCCTGTATTCCTAGCACTTTGGGAAGCCGAGGCAGGAGGATGGCTTGAGGCCTGGAGTTCAAGACCAGCCTGGGTGACATAGTGAGAGCCCATTTCTGCAAAAAAAAAAAAAAAAAAAAAAATTTTAAATGAAATAGCTACGCATGGTGGTGCACACCTATAGTCCTAGCTACTCTGGCTAAGGCAAGAGGATTGCTTCAGCCTGAGAGTTCAAAGTTACAGTGAGCTATGATCATGCCACTGCACTCCAGTCTGGGCAACAGAGCAAAACTCTGTCTCTTAAAAAAAAATTATGTTGGTTGTGCAGTGAGCAGGGTAAAATAATTCTGGCTTCACCATGTACTAGCCAGGTCACTATGGGCAAGGACTTTTGCTGTCATAGGTAAGGGATGAGTTACTTCTGTGAGACGGAGATAATATTTGCCTCACAGGGTTGTCAAAATTAGCAAATGAAATAATCTATTAGACATTCCATAAGCTATGTTTATTTCATCATTAAGACCAAAGGGTATGCACTTTTATCATCCTCATTTTATAGATAAGGCAGCTGAGAGACAAGAGTTTAAGTAGGTTGCCCAGGGTCCCTTAGATGATAAACAGCAAATATTAGGATTCAAACTCTCATAGTCTGGTTCCAGAATCTTTTCTTTTGCTCACTATGTGAATGTCATAAAGACATAGATTTTTTATTTTTTATTTTTTGTTCACTGATAATTTCATATGCTTAGATCTGGCAAATCATATGACTTCATTAAAATAAACAGTACCTCACTCCTGTAATCCCAGCACTTTGGGAGGCCGAGGCAGGTGGATCATGAGGTCAGGACATCAAAACCATCCTGGCTAACACGATGAAACCCCTTCTCCACTAAAAAAACTCAAAAAATTAGCTGGGTGTGGTGGCGGGCGCCTGTAGTCACAGCTACTAGGGAGGCTGAGGCAGGAGAATCACTTGAACCCAGGAGGCGGAGGTTGCAGTGAGCTGAGATTGCGCCATTGCACTCCAGCCTGGGTGACAGAGAAAGACTCCATCTCAAAAAAAAAAAAAAAGTACCTTTCACTAAATTAAAATTAAAAAATAAAATAAAATGATGACTACTTGGCTGTAGTTTAACTGTTCTAAGAAATGTGTTTTGATGTTTTGCTATAAGATAGTACTGCCATTCATAATTTTAAATCTGCAGAAGTGAATCATTTGACTTTGCTGGGTGCTCATCAAACATTCCTGCCACCTGGTGGTAACATATATAAATTGCAAGGGGAGATATTTTTAAGAAGTAAATTCCCTTTGAGACCTGAATTGGCACAAGACCTCTCTGAGGTAATGGCTGTTAAGGAGAGAGCTCCTCCTGTAGCCTGAATTTTATGTTTATTGAGAATTTAGAGAAAAGCAACTTTGTAAAGATTAAGATTTTTAAAAGATTTTCCCAAACAACCTTACAAGGAAAAATCAAGAGCCTATTACTAATCTCACGTTGACATAGGCCATGGAGATGTAGATGTTGGACTACTAATGAATACAGCCCAGAAGAAATCAGTCATATAGTCCCTACCTATGCTGATCCCCTTTCCCTTCTCTGGAAAGTCACTGTTGACTTAGATTAGTAAATGGGTTCATAAAGAGGAAATAAAACAGTTCATAATAATAAAGATAATACCTATAGCTACCATTCATTATGCTAAGAGCTTTGGATGTATTGTCTCATCTAATCCTAACAACTCTATTGATCCACTTATTTAAAAAATATTATGTGTCAGGCACTCTTGTAGGTGCTAATAATATAGCAGTAAACAAATAAGAAAAAAATCCCTGGCCTCATAGAACATAACTTCTAGCAATAGAGGCAGATGACAAACACATAAATAAGTAAACCATATTGTGTGTTAGATTGTTTTCTGTTATACTGAGAAGAATTAGAGCAGGGAGAAGGGATAGGGAGTGCTGGGGAGGATTACAATTTTAAATAGATTGGGGAAAGATCTGGCTGAGAAAATAACATCTGAAGGAGGTAAGAAGTTGCTATGAGGACATTTGAAAGAAGAGCATTTTAGGTGAGGAATAAGCAAATCAAAAGCCCCTATCAGGGAGCATGACTGGTAGGCTTGAAGAGCAACAATAAAGAGGCCTGTGATTAGAGTAACACAGGCAGAAAGAGGGGTTGAAAGTAAATGTCAGAGAGGTAATCCGGAGCCAAATGACAGAGACTTACAAATCATATGATGGTCTTTGGCTTTTACTTTGAGCAAGCTGGGGAGCCACGTGAAGGTTTTAGCAGAGGCAGGAACACAATTTGGCTTATATTTTAATAAAAACACAAAG
Source organism: Homo sapiens (assembly GCF_000001405.40). Classification (NCBI taxonomy): domain Eukaryota; kingdom Metazoa; phylum Chordata; class Mammalia; order Primates; family Hominidae; genus Homo; species Homo sapiens. The sequence continues at coordinate 78,587,734 of NC_000011.10, forward strand.
GCTGCTGTATTAAGAAAGATCAAAGGGGAGGGGCAAGGGCAGAAGCAGAGAGAGCAGTTTGGTTACTGCAATAATCCGGAAGAGAAATGACAGTGGTTTGCACAGATTGTAGCACTGGAGGTCTTAAGAAGCGTTCTGATTCTGTATATAATTTGAAGTAGAACCAAAAGGATCTCCTGAGGTATTTGGATGTGGGGTGTGGGAGAGGTGTAAAAAAATGGGATGACGGGCGCGGTGGCTCACGCCTGTAATCCCAGCACCTTGGGAGGCTGAGGTGGGCGGATCACAAGGTCAGGAGATTGAGACCATCCTGGCTAACACGGTGAAACCCCATCTCTACTAAAAATACAAAAAATTAGCAGGGCGTGGTGGCGGGCGCCTGTAGTCTCAGCTACTCAGGAGGCTGAGGCAGGAGAATGGTGTAAACCCAGGAGGTAGAGCTTGCAGCGAGCTGAGAAGGCGCCACTGCACTCCAGCCTGGGCGACAGAGCGAGACTCCGTCTCAAAAAAAAAGGCACGAAGATGTGAAGGAACAATGAGATGATCATTTGTAAGATGAAGACTAGAAGAAGCAAGCTTTTGCTGAAGTAGACGTTGGCAAGATTAAGAGCTTGTTTTTAAACCTGTTAAGTCTGAGATGCTTTTGGTTATCCAAGTGGGGAAGTTTAGTAGGCATTTTAATGTATAAGTCTGGAATTCAGGGGATTTGTTTAGGTTGGAGATAAGTTTAGGAATAATTGGCATGCTGATGGTATTCAAAGTCATAAAACTGATGACACCTCAAAGAAAGTCAATGTAGATAACAAGTGAAAAAAGATTCAAGGACTCAGCACTGAGGCACTCAACATTAAGAGGTTAAAAAGATGAGGAAAAACCAGCAACAGAGACCAAGGAGAGGTGCATAAAGTAGGAGAAAAGTCAGGAGAGTGTAGTGTTCTTGGAAACCAAGCGAAGAAACCGTTTTCAGGAGGAGGAGGGAGTGATTAACCTTGTTAAAAGCCACAGATAAGTCAAGTCAGATAAGAACTGCTAAGTGACCCCCGGATTTAGAAAGATGGAGTCTTTGGTGACAGTGACATGCTATGTCAGTGGAGTGGAGGTGGCAACAGCCTTTGCTGAGCTACCAATGGAACTAGGGCTCCTTGGAGAAATTATCAATTCCAGATTTGAGGGAAGAAATGTACAAAAAGCAAGGAATCTATCAAATACTAATGAGGCCTTTTTAAAAGAACACACACACACAAACAAAACAACTTTAAGGGGCCCCTAAAGTTGGCACACTTTGGGCATTAAAACTATTATCTGTAATTACTGGAAACATCAAATACATAAACCTCTAAGAAATTATAAGTATTAATACTTACAAAAAGCACTTAATGGCCACTTCTAGAGATTGTTAGGACACCAATTTATTATTCTAAAAATTGGTAAATAATAGCAAAAAAACAAGCATTTGTCTGACCTTTCCTAAACTGAGTTTCAGGGTAACCAAATAGTTAATACAGTTGTTGAACCTTATTTTTCTACACTGAAAAATTCCAACTAATAAATGCAAAGGGAATGATGAAAGTAGAAAATAAGCATTTTACAATATTTAGTGAAACATCTAAGCAACAATCATCAGTGGATGCCGAAACCATTAGGACAAATAACAATAGGGAGCTTTATAAGCAATGGACCAGGCTTATAAAGCTCACTAAAAGTGTGACAATGAAACATTACAGTATATGCCTCCCAGTGTGATGCAGCAGGACATACTTAGTATACCTAGAATATGATGTGAAGTATTCTTACAAATAAAAACAAACAAACAAAAAATAAAACTTAAATTGGATCAAGTCTTTAGATCTGGGGTGGACAAACTTTCTGTAAAAGGCCAGATAGTAAATATTTCAGGCTTTGTGGGCTACATGCAATCTTATTAAATATTCTTGTTTTTCCTTGTGTTTTAACAACTCTTTAAAAATATAAAAATGTCCAATGGAACAGAATAGAAAACCCGGAAATAAATCCACCTATTTATGGTCAATTGATCTTTGATGAAGATACCAAAAACATCCCGTGGGGAAGGGAAAATCTCTTCAATAAATGGTGCTGGGAAAACTGGATATTCACATGCAGAAGAATCAAATTGGACCCTTATCTCACCCCATATACAAAAATCAACTCCAAATAGATTAAAAACTTAAATTTGAGACCTGAAACTGTAAACTACTAGAAGAAAACATAGGGAAATAGCTTTTTGACATTGGTGTTGGCAAAGATTTTAAAAATATAGCCCCAAAAGCACAGGCAACAAAAGGATGGGTACACAAATCGAATTGCATGAAACTAAAAAGCTACACAGCACAGGAAACAAGTAACAGAGTGAAGAGACAACCAAAAGAGTGGGAGAAAGTATTTGCAAACCATACATCTGATATGGGGCTAATAGCCATAATATATAAGGAACTCAAACAATTCAATTGCGAAAAAACAACCAGATTTTAAAATGGGCAAAGTACCTCAATAGAGACGTCTCTAAAGAAGACACAAAATAGTCAATATATATATGAAAAAATGTTCAACATTCCTAATCATCAGGGACATGCAAATTAATTAAATATCACCTCACACCTGTTAGAAGAACTACTATCAGAAAGATGAAAGACAAGTTTGGAGAGGATACAGAGAAAAGGAACTCTTATACATTGCTGGTGGGAATGTAAATTAATACAGTCATTATGGAAAACCAGTATGAAGATTCCTCTTCAAAAAATTAAAAATAGAACTATTATCATATGCTTCAACAATTCTACTTCTGAGTATATATCCAAAGAAAATGAAAACAGTATATGAAAGACATATCTGCACTCCTATGTTCAATGAAGCGTTATTTACAATAGCCAAGACACGGAATCAATCTAAATGTTCATTAACAGATTAATGGATAAAGAAAATGTACATGCACACAATGGAATACTATTCAGCTCTTTAAAAGAAGGAAATCCTGTCATTTGTGACAACATGAATGAACCTGGAAAACATTATGCTACGTGAAATAAGCAAGGCGTAGAAAGACAAATATTGCATGGTCTTATGACTCTAAAAACAGTCAATCTGAGATGCAGAGAGTAGAATGGTGATTACCAGGGTCTGGTTATGAGGAATGGGGAGATGCTGATAAAAAGGTACAAAGTTTTAGTTAGACACAAGTAAGTTCGGGTGATCTATTGTAAAAATGGTGACTACAGCTAATAATAATGTACTGTGTACTTGAAAATGGCTAAGAGAGGCTGGGCGTGGTGGCTCACGCCTGTAATCCCAGCACTTTGTGAGGCCAAGGCCGGTGAATCACTTGAGGTCAGGAGTTCTAGACCAGCCTGGCCAAGATGGTGATACCCCATCTCTACTAAAAATACAAAAATTAGCTGGGCATGGTGGCACGTGCCTGTGATTCCAGCTACTTGCAAGGCTGAGGTGGGAGAATCGCTTGAACCCAGGAGACGGAGGTTACAGTGAGCCAAGATCATGCCACTGCACTCCAGCCTGGGCGACAGAGCGAGACTCCATCTCAAAAAAAAGAGAGGAGACATTATGGATTAAAGGAAAAATAAAACACATAGCAATCAAATGTAATGCATGAATGCTTACTTGGATTATGACTTAAGTCAACAGAGAAAAGATATATTTTTTAAAGACATAAAAATAGTTCAACAGCACAGAGTATTATTTTTTGAGTTTCTCTAAGATTGATATTATTTCCTTTTTAAGTGTTTGAATATAATTCATTGTGTAGTCATGTGGGCCTAGAGCTTCCTTCATGAGAAAGTTAAATTAAATTAAATTAATTAATTATTTTAGAGACAAGGTCTTGCTATGTTCCCCATGCTGGTCTTGAACTTCTGGGCTCAAGCAATCCCCTCTCCTCAGTCTTCCAGAGTTCTGAGATTATAGGCATGGGCCACTGCACTCGGCCTATGAGACGGTTTTGAATTACAGATTTAACATGTTTAATAAATATGATGTTGTGCAGATTTTGTATTTCTTTTTCCGTCAGTTTTTGTAAGTTGTATGTTTTGAGAAATTTATCTAAGCAGCTAAATTTCTTGGCATAAAATTGTTCATATTATTCTTTCAGTGTCTGTAGGATCTGTAATGACGTCCTTTAATTCCTAATATTAGTTGATATTGAGGAATTATGCACAAAATTCTTCGCTGTTAAAGATACAATCCTAAAGAATTTATGGGTGAAATGTGATATCTAGAATTTGGTTTTAGATATTTCAGAAAAAAAATAAAACAGTATAGATGGAATAGATGAAATAGGACTGGTAAAATGTTGAAAAATATTGAAGTTGGGTAACATACACAGGAATTCATTGTACTATTCATGTTGGAGATTTTTCTATAATAAAAATGGTATGTAAAAAAGAATGGGAGAAGAGAAATTGGAGACAGGGTTTTCAAGAAGTTTTGTTGTAAGGGGAGCAGAAAAACTGAGGTGGTAACTGGTGGAAGAATGTGGTCATGAAAGCGGACTTCTTTAATATGTGAGAAATAATAGCATGTTTGTCTGGTGATAAGAAAGATCTGATTTTTCCATTAGAGCCCTTAGCATATTAATCACCATTGTTTTAAATTCCTGGTCTAATAATTCTAACATCTCTGCCATATCTGAGTCTGATTCTAATGCTTGCTCTGTCTCTTCAAACTGTGTTTTTTTTTTTGTCTTTTAGTTTATCTTGTAATTTTATTTTTTTTAATCTTTATCTTTAATTTTTTTGTTGAAAGTTGGACACAATGTAGTGGATAAAAGGAACTGAGGTAAATACATCTTTATTTTCATTTATTTATTTATTTATTTTGAGATGGAGTCTCGGTCTGTTACCCAGGCCGAAGCGCAGAGGCGTGATCTCGGCACACTGCAACCTCCGCCTCCTGGGTTCAGGTGATTCTCCAGCCTCAGTCTCCCAAGTAGCTGGAACTACAGGCACGAGCCATCACACCTGGGCTAATTTTTGTATTTTTAGTAGAGATGGGATTTCACCATGTTGGCCAGGCTGGTCTCAAACTCCTGACCTCAAGTGATCCACCCTCCTTGGCCTCCCAAAGTGCTAGGATTACAGGTGTGAGCCACCACACCCGGCCTGTAAATAAGTCTTCAGTGGGAAGTTGTATATTTATCTTATTTATCTAGTTAGAAGTTAGGCTGTGTTTACTGTTTGTTGTAGCTGTGGGAGTCAGAGGCAAAAATTTCCTCCGGTGTCCTTGTTTTTGTCTCACCTGTTATCTTTGGATTTCCCTAGAGACTTCTTGGGAGGTCTCAGAAATAACATGCAGTTATTTCTGTTGTACTCCCTTATTATCATACAGATAAGTCCTGTTGATATAGTGGTGAGGTGTGGAGAGAGAGGAAGAATTCTATAGACCTGTGATTAGGTCTTAGACTTTAGCGAGCCTGTGCTCCTGGGCTGCACCTTTCACAAGCGCTTCTCAGTTCTTTCCCGCTTTAGTTGGCAAAAAGGGGCTGGAGTTGGGTATTTTCCTTCTCCTGTGATTAGTCTCTGGTAAAATCCAGTCAGCTAGCCTCTGATAACATAGTTTCCATTGAGAGCAGGCTTTGTTAAGAAGAGCTGGACACTTTGGCATATTTCGAATGGCTATTTTTCCCCTCCTCTTGCCAGAAGCATGAGGATTTTTTTTTTGTTTTTTTTTTTTTTGCTGATCTTCACCCTGAGAACCTGGTAGGGTTCTTGGAGGTAAAACTCACGAAAGTGGAGGTAAAATCCAGTATGACTGGCCACATGCCCTGGAGTTTTTAACTTTCAAACTTGTCCACACAGAGCCTCCAGCAATTCATCTATTATAGTTTGGGTTTTTCGTTCCCCAGTACTCGTTCTTGCAGAGTTTTCTGCCCCTGGGCTTCTATTCCAGTAAGTTGTGATTCTCTGTATTTACCCATTTGTCTCTCCAGTTTGGGGGACAGAAGTGTGCCCTGTTACTTCAACTGATTTTCAGTTTATTTAGCTTTTTTATTGTTGTGAAGACAGGAGTGATGACTTCCAAGCTCCTTACTTGCTAGACCAGAAACCGGAAGGGAAAGATCTAGAAGAGAGGAAAACTTGACACAGGAAAGACAGAAGAAAATTCCTAGTGTTGATGAGTTTGAATTGGTGAAAGGGGGTGTGATCTAGTGTTCAAGTGGAGGACTAGCCTTAGCTGATAACATCATGAGCACTTTATATTAGCACAGAGAAGGTAGAGGACATGGGCGCACATGAAGATTGATGGGTATGTGGGGGTATATATGATAGTGGGAACTTGTAGAGACATCCTCTTTAATTTGCTTCTATTTCACAATGAAATAGGAAGGAAGGTTTTCTGTAGAGAAAGACGGATGGACAGACACACACACGAGAGAGAGAGAGAATGGCAAAGTAGATGTTAGAGTTTTGAAAAGAGGAAAAAGATTATGAAAGAATTATTTGGATCATTTAGGAGAGTGGGAGAGTTAATGGACTAGAGAAAGATTGCCAGGCAGAATTGGGGCCCATCTGAGGCTTATGGGTCACAGTTTTGAAGTGATGCCCCTGGACTCAGAAAACAATATTTTAAATTCATTAGAGTAAAATGTACTAGTATTATCCAATATCCATTTTCCTCCTTTTAATAACAGAAGCCCAGAATTGTAGCTGGGTACATGTCCCTCCCCCACCCCCCACAAAGACATTTCTCAGCTTCCGTTGCAGGTAGGTGTGGTCATGTAACAGTCAACTGTGTTCTGGTAAATAGAATATAGCACAAGTGGTTTGTGTAATTTCTTGAAACTGTCTTTACAAAATTGTATCAGAGAGAAAATTATGTCAATGGGGGAGATCTGATCTAGTCAACCCCCGTCTTGCCTTTATTTTAGCCTTTGGGCTGCCTTTGATTATTCCTGGGCTGGCTTTGGGAGACATCTAGTTTAAAGTTTAAGTGAAAATAACCCTTCCCCCAAAACTCAACCACCTTTATAAAGCTGAGAGGTCACCAGGCTAGGAGGATAGAGGACCCTGAATTTTACTAAGGTGTAGACATAAATGACTGCCAGCCATTATTCCAGAGGTCATGAGATTTGCAACCTCCCCAGTTGCTCCTGCAGATAACGTCACTATTGTAGAACCTAAGATTGGCCTTTTGAAATATCCTCTCAGGTTTCCTGCATGTCTGACACGTGTGACCCCATCAGGATCCACAGACCAATGGTGGCTCCATCTGGACCTACCCACTGCTCCTGTCCCACCCAGAAGCCACTTAGCATGCTGGAGGGTCATTCCTGACACGCCTATGATTGTACCCCTGAGCCAATCAGCAGCCACCCTCACCCCTTCTACCTTTGAAAAACCCTAGCCTCTGAATTCTTGGGAAGACTGATTTGGGTAATAATAAAACTCCAGTCCCCCATTCAGCCAGCTCTTCATGAATTAAATTCTTTCTCCACTGCAATTCCCTTGCCTTGGTAAATTGACTCTATCTGGGCAGTGGGCAATAAGAACTCATTAGGCAGCTGCATTCTAGGAAGAATCATTAAAGGGAGGGTTTATCACTAAGAGTGAGGATGGAGAAAGATGTAAATGATTGAAAGAGAGAAAAGCCATGAAAGTATTATCTAGGAGGGTAGAAGAGTGAACAAACTGGAGAAATGTGTTATGATTATTAGGCAGCATTAGGAATTTCTCTTGGAAGTTAGTGGCCATGATGGAAGGACTATTTAACAGGCTATTTTATGCGAGTTGGTTGACATGGAGGAAAAAACATTTTTTTTTCCTCTGCTTTCATGCCACAGCAATCAACAAAGAAGACTTCTGTGACCTCTGGTTGTTAGAGTAGTTAGCGAGGCAGACGTGAGCAGGTCAGGAGAGGCCCCCTAACCAACCCCCAGGAATGTCAGGCGACCATCACGTGATCGTCAGGCGGTTGTTAAACTGTCTCTCTAAAATGATAATTGGTCACAGCTGGCATCAGCGGACGACCGTCTCCCAAAAGATAGAAAACATCTTGAGCTGGTGATCAGCAGCTTCCACATAAGATCTCAGGAGTTGGGCAAGTGGGCTTGAGTATGTGCTCTAACCGGCAAAATATCAGATGTATGACCTTCCTTTGGGGGTGTTAGACTGGTAAAATAAAATCGCCCCTACAGAGCATGTGCACAACCTCAGTAAATGCACTATGCATGTGGTCACCCCCTTGAGTGCTGACTGACACCTCGCATGCAGCGGTTGAACAACAGCCCACCCCAAGGGAAAAATTAAGGGAGGAGAAAGTAAAGCCCCCAAACCATGCCAACGTATAAAACCCCAAGTCAAGGACCAAATGGGGTACTTGGATCTCTCAAGTTGCCCGCTTGTCCCTCTTCCAAGTGTACTTTGCTTCCTTTTGCTCCTTTTCTAAAACATTTTTTTTTTTAATTTGAGAGGTTTTATTAGATGGTGGGAGTTTGAAGCTTTTAATTTTTTCTAATTTTTTTTTACAATGAACACATACAGCTTCTGTAATCGTTAAAGTAGTCATTTTAAAATGAATGATGGATTTTTAGAAAATTTTTTCTTAAGCACCTACAGTGAACTAGGTACTGTTTTTGATGTTTGTTCACATCGCTGCATGGAGCTTAATGTTCTAGCATGGATGGAGACGATAAATAATGCTCCCTACACATAATAAACACATTATTAGGATATTAGAATCCACTGAGAACATGGAGAAAAGAAAAAGTAAAGTAGAGCAAGGGGGGTTGGGAGTGCTCAGTGGGGTGGGAGTGCAGATTGCAGAATGGGCTTCATTGAGGAAAAAGCAGGAAGTCAGGAGTTGGCCCTGGGCATGTTCCAGGTAGAGGAAGCAGTGGGTGCAAAGGCCCTAAGGAGGAAACACAGCTGGGGTGTTCCAGCCACAGCCAGGAGTCTGTGCTGGAGCAGTGATTGGGAAGGTCAGGTCCACAGGAAAACATGACACTTCTTGGTTTAGATGATTAAGAAAGGTTGCCTTGTTTTCTTCCTGTCTACCTGATTTGTTCTGTTTCTTCTGCAGTTAAAGGACACTTACTCCCCCCACCCCCAACACACACACACACACACACACACACACACACACACACAAAATACATACATTAGGCCTCTAGTACCATATTAATTTGCTAGGGCTGCCATAACGAATTAGGCAAAGAGAAAGAGCTGAAAACAACAGAAATGTATTGTTTTACAGGTCTGTCGGCTAGAAGTACAAAATCAAGTTAGGGCCATGCTCCCTGTGAGACACGTCAGCAGGAAACCTTGCTTGGCTCTTCCTAGCTTCTGGTGGTTGTTGGCAATCCTCAGCGTTCCTGGGCCGCAGCTGCATTCCTCCAATCTCTGCTTCCATCATCACCTGGCATTCTCACTGTGTGTCTGTGTCTTTACTTCGGTATCTTCCCTCTCCTTTTTTTTTTTAAAGGCAAATGAAGAAAGTATTTATTTATACTAACACAGTATAAAGCAATTAATCCTCGCTGTTAGCCATAATTAAATTCCTCAAAACGAAGAATTTCAACTTGTGAGCTGGAGCAAATCTCCCTCTATGGCTTCCTGGGGAGGGCAGGCATCTTCTCCGGCTCCTCTCTGCACTGCCACACTGGGCTGGTGCTACTCTGTTCCTATTGATTCCAAAGAGTTCCTCAAGGTGAGAGACTGGTGAATTGACTTTGCAAGTTTTTTTTTTTTTTTAAATTATACTTTAAATTCTGGGATACATGTGCAGAATATGCAGGTTTGTTACATAGGAATACATATGCCATGGTGGTTTGCTGCACCCATAACCTGTCATCTACATTAGGTATTTCTCCTAATGCTATCCCTCCCCTAGCACCCCCCACCCCAAACAGGCCCCGGTGTGTGATGTTCCCCTCCCTGTGTCCATGTGTTCTCCTTGTTCAACTCTCACTTATGAGTGAGAACATGCGGTGTTTGGTTTTCTGTTCCTGTGTTAGTTTGCTGAGAATGATGGTTTTCAGCTTCATCCATGTCCCTGCAAAGAACATGAACTCATCCTTTTTTATGGCTGCATAGTATTCCTGGTGTATATGTGTCACATTTTCCTTATCCAGTCTATCACTGATGGGCATTTGGGTTGGTTCCAAGTCTTTGCTATTGTGAACAGTGCCACAATAAACATACATGTGCATGTGTCTTTATAGCAGAATCATTTATTATCCTTTGGATATATACCCAGTAATGGGATTGCTGGGTCAAATAGTATTTCTGGTTCTAGATCCTTGAGGAATCACCACCGTGTCTTCCACAATGGTTGAACTAATTTACGCTCCCACCAACAGTGTAAAAGCGTTTCTATTTCTCCACATCCTCTTCAGCATATTGTTTCCTGACTTTTTAATGATTGCCATTCTAACTGGCATGAGATGGTATCTCATTGTGGTTTTGATATGCATTTCTCTAATGACCAGTGATGGTGAGCATTTTTTCATATTTTTGTTGGCTACGTAAATGTCTTCTTTTGAGAAGTGTCTGTTCATATCCTTCACCCACTTTTTTGGGGTTTTTTCTTGTAAATTTGTTTAAGTTCCTTATAGATTCTGGATATTAGCCCTTTGTCAGATGGATAGATTGCAAGTTTTCTCCCATTCTGTAGGTTGCCTGTTCACCCTGATGATAGTTTCTTTTGCTGTGCAGAAGCTCTTTAGTTTAATTAGATCCCATTTGTCCATTTTGGCTTTTGTTCCCATTGCTTTTGGTGTTTTAGTCATGAAGACTTTGCCCATGCCTATGTCCTGAATGGTATTGCCTAGGTTTTCTTCTAGGGTTTTTATGATTTTAGGTCTTATGTTTAAGTCTTTAATCCATCTTGAGTTAATTTTTGTATAAGATGTAAGGAAGGGGTCCAGTTTTAGTTTTCTGCATATGACTAGCCAGTTTTCCCAACACCATTTATTAAATAGGGAATCCTTTCCCCATTTCTTGTTTTTGTCAGGTTTGTCAAAGATCAGGTAGTTGTAGATGTGTGGTGTTATTTCTGAGGCCTCTGTTCTGTTCCATTGGTCTGTATATATGGTTTGGTACCAGTACCATGCTGTTTTGGTTACTGTAGCCTTGTAGTGTGGTTTGAAGTCAGGTAGCATGATGCCTCCAGCTTTGTTGTTTTTGCTTAGGATTGTCTCAGCTATATGGGCTCTTTTTTGGTTCCATACGAAATTTATAGTAGTTTTTTTAAAATTCTGTGAAGAATGTCAATGGTAGCTTGATGGGGATAGCACTGAATCTACAAGGTACTTTGCGCAGTATGGCCATTTTCATGATATTGATTCTTCCTATCCATGACCATGGAATTTTTTTTCCATTTGTTTGTGTCATCTCTTACTTCCTTGAGCAGTGGTTTGTAGTTCTCCTTGAAGAGGTCCTTCACATCCCCTAAAAGGTGTATTCCTAGGTATTTTATTCTCTTTGTGGCATTTGTGAACGGGAGTTCACTCATGATTTGGCTCTCTATTATTGGTGTATAGGAATGCTTGTGATTTTTGCACATTGATTTTGTATCCTGAGACTTTGCTGAAGTTGCTTATCAGCTTAAGGAGACTTTGGGCTGAGACGATGGGGTTTTCTAAATATACAATCATGTCATCTGCAAACAGAGACAATTTGACTTCCTCTCTTCCTATTTGAATACACTTTATTTCTTTCTCTTGCCTGATTGCCCTGGACAGAACTTCAACAATAGTATTCAACAATACTATGTTGAATAGGAGTGGTGAGAGGGCATCCTTGTCTTGTGCCGGTTTTCAAAGGGAATGCTTCCAGCTTTTCCCCATTCAGTATGATATTGGCTATGGGTTTGTCATAAATAGCTCTTATTATTTTGAGATACATTCCATCGATACCTAGTTTATTGACAGTTTTTAGCATGAAGGGGTGTTGAATTTTATTGAAGGCCTTTTCTGCATCTATTGAGATACTCATGTGGTTTTTGTCATTGGTTCTGTTTATGTGATGGATTACATTTATTGATTTGCATATATGTTAAACCCGCCTTGCATCCCAGGGATGAAGCCCACTTGATCATGGTGGATAAGCTTTTTGATGTGCAGCTGGATTCGGTTTGCCAGTATTTTATTGAAGATTTTCACATCGATGTTCATCAGGGATATTGACCTGAAATTTTCTTTTTTTTTGTTGTGTCTCTGCCAGGTTTTGGTATCAGGATGATGCAGGCTTCATAAAATGAGTTATGGAGGAGTCCCTCTTTTTCTATTGTTTGGAATAATTTCAGAAGGAATGGTACCAGCTCCTCTTTGTACCTCTGGTAGAATTCGGCTGTGAATACATCCAGTTCTGTTTTTTTTTTTGTTTTGTTTTGTTTTTTTTTTTTTGGTTGGTAGGCTATTAATTACTGCCTCAATTTCAGAACTTGTTATTGGTCTATTCAAGGATTTGACTTCTTCCTGGTTTAGTCTTGGGAGGGTGTATGTGTCCAGGATTTTATCCATTTCTTCTAGATTTTCTAGTTTATTTGCATAGAGGTGTTTATAGTATTCTCTGATGGTAGTTTGCATTTCTGTGGGATCAGTGGTGATATCCCCTTATCTTTTTTATTGTGTCTATTTGATTCTTCTCTCTTTTATATTAGTCTGGCTAGCAGTCTATCTATTTTGTTAATCTTTTCAAAAAACCAGCTCCTGGATTCATTGATTTTTTGAAGGGTTTTTCGTGTCTCTATCTCCTTCAGTTCTCCTCTAATCTTAGTTATTTCTTGTCTTCTGCTAGCTTTTGAATTTCTTTGCTCTTGCTTCTCTAGTTCTTTTCATTGTGATGTTAGGGTGTTGATTTTAGATCTTTCCTGCTTTGTCTTGTTGGCATTTCATGCTGTCAATTTCCCTCTACACACTGCTTTAAATGTGTCCCAGAGATTCTGGTACCTTGTGTGTTTGTTCTCATTGGTTTCAAAGAACATCTTTATTTCTGCCTCCATTTTTTATTTACCCAGTAGTCATTCAGGAGCAGGTTGTTCAGTTTCCATGTAGTTGAGAGGTTTTGAGTGAGTTTCTTAATCCTGAGTTCTAATTTGATTGCACTGTGGTCTGAGAGACCGTTTGTTACGATTTCTGTTCTTTTGCATTTGCTGAGGAGTATTCTACTTCCAATTATGTGGTCAATTTTAGAATAAGTGCAATGTGGTGCTGAGAAGAATGTATATTCTGTTGATTTGGGGTGGAGAGTTCTGTAGATGTCTATTAGGTCCACTTGATTCAGAGCTGAGTTCAAGTCCTGAATATCCTTGTTAATTTTCTGTCTCATTGATCTAATATTGACAGTGGGGTGTTAAAGTCTCCCACTATTACTGTGTGGGAGTCTAAGTCTTTTTGTATGTCTCTAAGAACTTGTTTATGAATCTGGTGCTTCTCTATTGGGTGCATATATATTTAGGATAGTTAGCTCTTCTTGTTGCATTGATCCCTTTACCATTACGTAATGCCCTTCTTTGTCCCTTTTGATCTTTGTTGGTTTAAAGTCTGTTTTATCAGAGACTAGGATTGCAACCCCTGCTTTTTTTTGCTTTCCATTTGCTTAGTAAATATTACTCCATCCCTTTACTTTGAGCCTATGTGTGTCTTTGCACGTGAGACGGGTCTCCTGAATACACCGTTGGGTCTTGACTCTTTATCCAATTTGCTGGTCTGTGTCTTTTAATTGGGGCATTTAGCCCGTTTACATTTAAGGTTAATATTATTATGTGTGAATTTGATCCTGTCATTATGATGCTAGCTGGTTATTTTGCCCGTTAGTTGACGCAGTTTCTTCATAGTATTGACAGTCTTTACAATTTGGTATGTTTTTGCAGTGGCTGGTACTGGTTGTTCCTTTCCATATTTAGTGCTTCCTTCAGGAGCTTGTGTAAGGCAAGCCTGGTGGTGGCAAAATCTCTCAGCATTTGCTTGTCTGTAAAGGATTTTATTTCTCCTTCACTTATGAAGCTTAGTTTGACTGGATATGAAATTCTGGGTTGAAAATTCTTTTCTTTAAGAATGTTGAATATTGGCTCCCACTCTCTCCTGGCTTGTAGGGTTTCTGCAGAGAGATCCGCTGTTGTCTGATGGGCTTCCCTTTGTGGATAACCCGACCTTTCTCTCTGGCTGCTGTTAACATTTTTTCCTTCATTTTAACCTTGGTGAACCTGACAATTATGTGTCTTGGGGTTGCTCTTCTTGAGGAGTATCTTTGTGGTGTTCTCTGTATTTCCTGAATTTGAATGTTTGCCTGTCTTGCTAGGTTGGGGAACTTCTCCTGGAGAATATCCTGAAGAGTGTTTTCCAACTTGGTTCTGTTCTCCCCGTCACTTTCAGGCACACCAATCAAATGTACATTTGGTCTTTTCACATAGTCCCATATTTCTTGGAGGCTTTGTTCATTCCTTTTCATTCTTTTTTCTCTAATCTTGTCTTCACACTTTATTAAGTTGATCTTCAATCTCTAATATCCTTTCTTCCACTTGATTTATTTGGCTATTGATACTTGTATATGCTTCACGACATTCTCGTGCTGTGTTTTTCAGCTCCATCAGGCCATTTATGTTCTTCTTTAAACTGGTTATTCTAGTTAGCAATTCATCTAACCTTTTTTCAAGGTTCTTAGCTTGCTTGCATTGGGTTAGAACATGCTTTTTTAGCTCGGATAAGTTTGTTATTACCCACCTTTTGAAGCCTACTTCTGTAAATTAATCAAATTTATTCTCCGTCCAGTTTTGTTCCCTTGGTGGTGAGGAGTTGTGATCCTTTGGAGGAGAAGAGGTGTTCTTCTTTTTGGAATTTTCAGCCTTTTGCGCTGGTTTTTCCTCATCTTTGTGGATTTATCTACCTTTGGTCTTTGACGTTGGTGACCTTCAGATGGGGTTTCTGTGTGGACGTCCTTTTTGTTGATGTTGATGATATTCCCTTCTGTTTGTTAGTTTTCCTTCTAACAGTCAGGTCCCTCTGCTGCAGGTCTGCTGGAGGTCCACTCCAGACCCTTTTTGCCTGGGTATCACCAGCGGAGCCTGCAGAACAGCAAAGATTGCTGCCTGTTTCTTCCTTTGGAAGCTTCATCCCAGAGGGGCACCTGCCAGATGCCAGCAGGAGCTCTCCTGTGTGAGGTGTCTGTCGATTCCTGCTGGGAGGTGTCTCCCAGTCAGGAGGCACGGGGGTCAGGGACCCACTTGAGGAGGCAGTCTGTTCCTTAGCAGAGCTCAAGTGCTGTGCTGGGAGATCCGCTGCTCTCTTCAGAGCCAGCAGGCAGGAACATTTAAGTCTGCTGAAGCTGTGCCCACAGCTGCCCCTTCCCCCGGGTGCTCTGTCCCAGGGAGATGGGAGTTTTATCTATAAGCTCCTGATTGAGGCTGCTGCCTTTCTTTCACAGATTCCCTGCCCAGAGAGGAGGAATCTAGAGAGGCAGTCTGGCTACCGCGGCTTTGCCGAGCTGCAGTGGGCTCTGCCCAGTTCGAACTTCCTGGCGGCTTTGTTTACACTGTGAGGGGAAAACCACCTACTCAAGTCTCAGTAATGGTGGATGCCCCTGCCCGCACCAAGCTCAAGTGTCCCAGGTCGACTTCAGACTGCTGGGCTGGCAGCAAGAATTTCAAGCCAGTGGATCTTAGCTTGCTGGGCTCCATGGGGTGGGATCTGCTGAGCTAGACAACTTGGCTCTCTGGCTTCAGCCCCCTTTCCAGGGTAGTGAATGGTTCTGTCTCACTGGCATTCCAAACACCACTGAGGTACGAAAAAAAACTCCTGCAGCTAGCTCGGTGTCTGCCCAAATTGGCTGCCCAGTTTTGTGCTTGAAACCCAGGGCCCTGATGGCGTAGGCACCCGAGGTAATCTCCTGGTCTGCGGGTTGCAAAGACTGTGGGAAAAGCATAGTGTCTTTTTCAAATGGCTTTGGAAAAAAGTATTTACATGTATATAAATGATTACATGTATATAAAATGTACATATATGTGACATATATACATGTATATATAATGCATGCTTACACATAGAGACAGAGAGAAAGCAAAAAAGTAAATATGGCAAAATATTAACAATTAGTGTATAATATACATCCATATGTATATGTATATGTATATGTAAAAAGAAATTTCTTTTTCCTGGGATTGTGAGTCATGTACAAAATGATGAAAAAAAAGGAAGAGACTTATTTTTACCAGTGTTATACTCTGATAGTTGAATAGTACCTGTCCTGGTTCCCAAGTAGTTTCTAAGCCTGATGTAACTGCCCAGTGGGTTCTTCTGGCCCACTGCCCAGATAGAGCCAATTTATCAAGGCAGGGGAATTGCAATAAAGAAAGAGTTTTACACACATAGAGCTACTAAACAGAAGACTGGAGTTTCATTATTATTCAAATCAGCCTCCCTGAAAATTCGGAGGTTAGGGTTTTTCAAAGATAGTTTGGGAGAAGCAGGGGACAGGGGGATGGCCAGGCAATGGGTGCTTATTACTGATTGGTTAGAGGTACAATCACAGGGGTGTGCGAAATGGTCCTCACGTGTACTGAGTTGCTACTGGGTGGGGTCACAGGTTGGCATGTCCAGATGGAGCCATCTGCTCTCAGACATACACAAAACCTGAAAAGATATCTCAAAGGCCAATCTTAGGTTCTACAATAGTGATGTTATCTGCAGGAGTAATTGGGAATGGGGAAGTTGCATATCTTGTGACCTCTGGAATAATGGCTGGCAACTGTTGATGACTACACCTTAGCAGAATTCAGGGTCCTCTATCCTCTCAGCGTGGTGACCTCTCATTAGCTTTACAAAGGCACTTGAGTTATGGAAAAAGGCTATTATCACTTAAACTAAACTCAATGTCTCCCAAAGTTAGCTTGACCCAAGCCCAGGAATAATTAAGGGCAGCTTGAAGACCAAAGGCAAGAGGAGGGGTGGCCACATCAGATCTCCATCACTGCCATAATTTTCACACTGTTATAATTTTCCATTCTTCCTTTTCGAGAGCTCCAAGTTTCTTCCAATATATTAACCCTTTTTTCTTTTTAAAATTTTTATTTGGAAATTATTTCTAAGTCATATATATGAATAGTTCAAAGAATTCCCACATTCTTTACTCAGATTCGCTAATTATTACTATTTTGCCATGTTTACTTTATTGCTTTCTCTTTGTCTCTTTATATATGTGTGTGCATGCATTACATATGGATGTATATTATACACTAATTGTTAATATTTTGCCATATTTACTTTTTTGCTTTCTCTCTGTCTCTATGTGTAAGCATGCATTATATATACATGTATATATGTCACATATATGTACATTTTATATACATGTAATCATTTATATACATGTAAATATTTTTTTCCAAAGCCATTTGAGAGTTTCAGACATCATGCTCTTTAGCCTCCATATCCTACATTGTGTGTTTCCTAAAAGCAAGGATATTCTCTTATATAAATGCCATATAATGATCAAATTCAGAAAATATAAGATTAGCTAACACTATTTCATAAGATATAGTCCATTTTTCAGATTACGCTAATTGTTCCAATAATGTCCTTTATATAAATTTCCCTCTCTGACCCAGGATCTAATCCCAGATTACACATTGCATTTTGTTGTTATGTCTTCTTTCCCCACTCAAGTTAGCCAGAGTTTATTTCTATTGCTCATAACCAAAGAATCTTAAAAATACAATTTCCTTTTGTTTATGATACGGGAGTGCTGGGAAGGGAACAGTGTGGTCACTTTAAATGATACAGACGCAGGGAAGGGAAGTGCTGAGTAGAGGAGGGCATGGTCCCTGGCTAGGGCTCCACCCCCACGGACCTAGGTGAGGACAGGCACTCCTGCTTTCGCTCCCAAATGTTGCATTTTCCAAGACCACCCTGTCCCGTCATGCCCTCATCCTGGGCCTATAAAAACCAGAGACCCTAGCGGGCACACAGGCAGCCAGATATTGAGAGGAACACTTTGGCGGAAGAAGACACGAGTGGCTGGTCGAGAGCACGCTGGAGGAAGAGCCCACCGACAGACGTCAGCATGCTGGCACACCATCAACAGGTGGGATAAGGCAGAGTTTGGCTGGGACCACCGAGCAGCCCAAATCCAGGGAAAACCATCTCCCTTCTGGCTCCCCCATTGGCAGAGAGTTACTTCCACTCAGTAAAACTTTGCAGGCATTCTCCAAGCCCACGTGTGATCCGATTCTTCCGGTACACCAAGGCAGGAACTCGGCATACAGAAAGCGCTCTGTCCTTGCGGCAAGGTGGAGGGTCTAATTGAGCTGGTGAACACAAGCTGCCTATAGACGGCAAACTAAGAGAGAACCCTGTAACACCATGTCCACTGGGACAAGCTGTAAACATCCACCCCTAGACACTGCTGTGGAATCGGAGACCCACAGCCTGCCCATGTGTATGCTCCTCTAGAGGTTAAGCAGCGGGGCACTGAAGAAGTGAGACACACCCCATCGCATGCCCTGGGAGGGGGACAAGGGAACCTTTCACGTTTCACTTATAACCATTCATTTATAACCTTTATGATATAGTAAATCATATCATTTAATCTTTTCTTTTTTCTTTTTGGTTGAGACAGGGTCTTGGCTTTTTCACCCAGGCTGGAGTGCAGTGGCACGATCTTGGCTCACGACAGCCTCGGACTCCTGGGATCAAGCCTTCCTCCCACCTCAGCTCCCCAAGTAGCTGGGACTACAGGCACAGGCCACAGTGCCTGGGTAATTTTTTTTTTTTTTTTGTATTTTTTTGTAGAGATGGGTTTTTGCTATATTTCCCAGGCTGGTTTCGAACTACTGAGCTCAAGCAATCCACTTGCCTCAGCCTCCCAAAGTGCTGGGATTACAGGTGTGAGTCGCTCTACCTGGCCTATTTCATTTATTCTTAATCAAGTCTTCTAGGTAGTTATTTAAATCCCTGTTTTAAAAATCAGTACTATGAGGCTCAGAGAAGTTAAAAAACTTGCCCATCATGACACAGTTAAATTCTAGGGTCAGGATTTTAATCCAAGTCTTTTTTATTCTGAATTCCCTCTTTATTCCATTGCAGGCCTGGCAGATATTCGTAAACCACAATCCTTGCATCAGGAATCCTACAGGCTAGTGTGAAGTGAGACAGATAAACAGATAATGTTATTTGTTTGGCAGTAACACCTAACCACAACGGTATGTACAAGGTATAGTGGAACACAGTCAATGAACTGATTTCAAGAATGATGAGAAATACGGGCAGGGCTTCAACAGGAATAGAAGGAAATAATATCTGTTTTATTCCTTGATGCAAACTGGGTGTTTATAGATTGTATGTCTACTGTCCAAAGCATGATTAAAATCAATGCTAATCCACTAACCTCCAACGTATGCTCAGGAAGTTCCTCGTTTAGCTGGCTAACATTGTTAACTTTGACATCTACTAATGCAACATTACCTCCTGAATGTTAGGGACTCAAAGAGTTCCTATACCATTTCAATTCTTAGGTGGCTATTTTGATTAATGTTGACATTATCTAGTTCTGACATTTAGCTGAAACATATTGCTAAGATCCTAATCTGTAAACTTGCTTAAAATATGTCCTGTTTAGTTTGATAGTTTTAAAATATTGACATTATAAAAGGAGTTCTGAAGGTAAAGGGTCTGATCCCTTCAAGAAATCTAGAGTCCTTTCCTTTCTCTTTGTGTAAAAAATCAAATGAAAAGTATTAGGAGTAGGGAAAACCGGAGTTACAAAATGAGAGCAAATAGCATCTCCCATTTTGTGGCTTTAGATCCAAACCTGGTGACAAAGAGAACATACGTAAAGGTCAGGAGCTTAGATGGCATCCAGGGAGCTGAAGCTTGGAACGGTTATGAGTAGTCTCAGAGTAATAGGAAGGTGTTAGTCCATCAATGGGCCCCTGTGCTCTGTCAGAAGTCTTAGAATTTTCTGGGGACCCTTAAAGGGACCTGAGCAGTCTAGGAAGAAGAGGAAGATCTGGATAAGTATTCATTGATAATTATCTGTTACTGATAAGAATATTTCATTTGTATTTAGTAGACAGGTCTTCTTTTAGTACTTAGCTCTCATGGTAAGTTATTCATAAGTAACATGCCTGGCAACAGTTGGTGCTCAAGTAACATTGAATTGGATTAAGCTAAAAGTGGCTGATAAGGCTATCCACACAGATTTATCTTAGTGTGGCAGGGGCCAGGCACTCAACCACCAAAGGCAAGGTGGGAGTGGTCACCACAATAAACAGCAGAATCAAAGCAACCAGCTGAATAGTCTGACTCCTGCAGAACTACAGCATTGCTAGTTGATCATGGTGTTCCTGGAAGTGAAATATTTGGTTAGTACAAGGGTAATTTCAATTACAATAGAAAGTAATGGCAAAAAACTGGAATTACATTTGCACCAACTTAATAGATAGGAAGCCTACCGAATTTTTACTTGATCTATATAAGTTGAAAAGTTCCAGGTCAAGTGAAAAAAAAGTCTAATCTGAATCCTAAAAACAGAGAATTATGGCCCTTAAACAATTCCCAGACTTGAGCCTGTTTATAGACCTAGAATGAAAGGAAGACCAGGTCCCCTGGAGGAAAGACCCCATATACTACTGAATATTTATACTGTTAATCTTTCCCCTGGCCTTCCCCAAAGGGACCTACAGCCTTTTATGGAGTAACTCCGCATTGGGGAAGGGAAATAATCAGACCTTTCAGGGACTACTAGACACTGGTTCTGAACTGACACTAATTCCGGGAGACCCAAAATATCACTGTGATTCACAGTCAATGTGTGGAAGTCAGGTGATTAATGGAATTTTAGCCTAGGTCTATCTTACAGTGGTCCTGTACCTTCACAGTGTGAAAATACATAGTGGACCAGTGGGTCCGTGAACCCGTCTTGTGGTTATTTCCCCAATTCTAGAAGGCATAATTGGAATAGACATATCTAGTAGCTGACAGAAGCCCCCACATTAGTTCCCTAACCTGTGGAGTGAGGGCTATCATGGTGGGACAGACCAAATGAAAGCTGTTAGGGCTGCTTCTACCTAGGAAAATAGTAAACCAAAAGCAATACTGCATTCCTGGAGGAATGGCAGAGATTAGCGCCACCATCAAAGACTTGCAAGATACGGGGGTGATGATTCCCACCACATTCTCATTCAACTCTCCTATTTGGCCTGTGCAGAAGACAGATGGATCTTGGAAAATGATAGTGGATTATTGTAAGTTTAACCAGGTGATGATTCCAATTGTAGTAGCTTTACCAGATGTGGTTTCATTTTTTACACAAATTAACACATCCCCTAGTACCTGGCAGACAGCTAATGAATTTGGCAGCTGCTTTTTCTCCATTTCTGTTAATAAAGATTTCTAGAAGCAGTTTTCTTTCAGCTGGCAAGGCCAGTAATACACCTTCACTCTCCTACCTTAGGAGTGCATGAACTCTCCAACTCTGTGACATACTTTTTTTTTTTTTTTTTTGAGATGGAGTCTGTGTCGCCCAGGCTGGAGTGCAATGGCATGATCTCGGCTCACTGCAACCTCCATCTCCCAGGTTCAAGTGATTCTTCTGCCTCAGCCTCCAGAGTAGTTGGGATTACAGGTGCCTGCCACCATGCCTGGCTAATTTTTTTATTTTTAAGTAGAGACGGGGTTTCGCCATGTTGGCCAGGCTGGTCTTGAACTCCTGACCTCAAGTGATTCACCCGCCTTGGCCTCCCAAATTGTTGGGATTACAGGCATGAGCCACCACGCCTGGCCTGTGACATACTTTAGTTTGCAGGAATCTTGTTCATCTTTCCCTTTCTCAAGATATCACACTGGCCCATCACATTCCTGACACTATGCTAATTAGTCTTAGTAAGCAAGAAGTAGCAACTACTCTAGACTTGTTCGTAAGACATTTGTGTGTCAGAGAGTGGGAAATAAATTTGACAAAAATTCAAGAGCCTTGGTGAAATTTCTAGGGGATCAATGGTATGGGACAGGTCATATCACTCTAAGGTGAATAATAAGTGTTGCATCTGGCCCCTTCAACAACCGAAAAAGACATACAATGCCTAGTGGGCCTCTTTGTATTTTGGAAGTGATATATTCCTTATTTGGGTGTCTGGCTCACTTACCCAGTGACCCAAAAAGCTGCTAATTCTGAGCAGGGCCCAGAACAAGAGAAGGCTCTTCAACAGGTCCAGGCTGCTGTGTAAGCTATGCGATTTGAGCCATATGACCAACCAGATACAATGGTGCTTGAAGTGTCAGTGGCAGAGAGGGAGGCTGTTTGGAACCTTTGGCAGGCCCCTATAGGTGAATTGCAGTGGAGGACCTTCAGATTTTGGAACAAAGCCATGCTATCCTCTTTGAATAACCTCCTCCTCCTCCTCCTCCTCCTCGTCCTTCTCCTTCTTCTCCTTCTTCTTCCTCCTTCTCCTTCTTCTGATGGAGTCCTGCTCTGTCTTTAGGCTGGAGTGCAGTGGTGTGATCTCAGCTCACTGCAGCCTCTGACTCCCTGGTTCAAGCGACTCTCCTGCCTCAGCCTCCGGAGTAGCTGAGATAACAGGCACGCACCACCATGCCCAGATAATTTTTGTATTTTTAGTAGAGACAGGGTTTCTCCATGTTGGCCAGGATGGTCTCTATCTCCCGACCTCGTGATCCGCCTGCCTCCGCCTCCCAAAGTGCTAGGATTACAAGCATGAAACTATTCTTCTTTTGAGTAACAGCTCTTGGCCTGATACTGGGCCTTAGAGGCTGGACACTTAACTGTAGGCCACCATAGTATCATCCACCTGAGCTGTCTATCATGAACTGGATGTTATCCAACTCACCAAGCCATAAAATTTGGCATGCACAGCACACTCCATCACCAAACGGAAGTGGTATATACATGATTGGACCTGAGCAGGCCCTGAAGGTACAAGTAAGTTATTTTATTTATTTATTTATTTATTTATTTATTTATTTATTTATTTATTTATTTTTGAGGCAGAGTCTTGCTCTGTTGCCCAGGCTGGAGTGCAGTGGCGCGATCTCGGCTCATTGCAAGCTCCGCCTTCCAGGTTCACACCATTCTCCTGCCTCCGCCTCCCGAGTAGCTGGGACTACAGGCGCCCGCCACCACGCCCAGCTAATTTTTTTTTTTTTTTTGGTATTTTTTTAGTAGAGATGGGGTTTCACCGTGTTAGCCAGGATGGTCTCAATCTCCTAACCTAGTGATCTGCCCGCCTCGGCCTCCCAAAGTGCTGGGATTACAGGTGTGAGCCACTGCGCCCGGTCACAGATAAGTTATTAATACGTGAAGTAGTAGCCCAAATAAATGTTCATGGTCCCCATTCCTGCTATTAGGTTGGTGCAAAAGTAATTGTGGTTTTAACCATTACTCTTAACAGCAAAAACAGCAGTTACTTTTGCATCAACCTAAATATATCATCCTCTCTTTCCTAGCCCACACCCATGAGGCCATAGGGAGTTCCCTCCAATCATTTGACAGAAGAAAATAAAACTTTTAGGCCTGGTTTACAGATAGTTCTTTAAGATGGCCTGGAATCATATGAAAGTACACAGCTGCAGCACTGCGGTACCTTTTCTGGGACATTCCTTAAGACAGTGGTGAAGGAAAATCCTTCCAGTGGGCAGAACTCTGAGCAGTGTGCCTGGATGTTCATTTTGCTTGGGAGGAGAAATGGCCAGATATGATTATATACTAATTCATGGGCTGTAGACAACAGTTTGGCTGGATGATCTGGGACTTGGAACGGACGTGATTAGAAAACTTTTGACAAGGAAATTTGAGGAAAAGGTATGTGAATGGACCCTCCATAATAGGCAAAAGTCATGAAGACAGTTGTGTCCCATGTGAATGCTCACCAAAGGGTGACCTCAGCAGAGGAAATTTTAATAATCACGTAGATAGAATAACTTGTTCTGTGGACACCAGTCAGCCTCTTTCCAGCAACCCCCTATCACCTAGTGTGCTCATGAACAAAAGTAACCATGTTGGCATGGCAGGGATGGAGGTTATGCACGGGCTCAGCAATATGGACTTCTACTCACCAAGGCTGACCTGGCTATGGCCACTGCTGAGTGACCCATTTGTTAGCAGCAGAGGCCAACACTGAACCCCAGATATGGCACAATTCCCTAGGGCAACAAGCCAGCTACCTGGTGGGTAGTTGGTTACATTGGGCCATTTCCATCATGGAAGGGGCAGTGTTTGTTCTTACTGGAATAGACACTTACTCTGGGTATGTATTTGTCTTTCATGCAAAACGTGCTTCTGTCAAAACTACTATTGTGGACTTACAGAGTACCTTATCCACTGTCATGGTATTCCATACAGCACTGTTTTATCAAATAATTTACTTTATAGCAAATGAAGTGCAGCAATGGGCCCATGAGCATGGAATTCACTGTTCTTACCATGTTCCCCACCATCCTGAAGCAGCTGGCTGAGTAGAACATTGGAATGGTCTTTTGAAGTCTCAATTACAGGGCCAGGTAGGTGTCAATACTTTGCAAGGGCAGGGCAAGGTCCTCCAGAAGGCCATATATGCTCTGAATTAGTGCCCAATATATGGTGCTATTTCTCCCAAAGCCAGGATTAATAGGTCTGGAAATTAAGGGGTAGAAATAAGAGTGGCACCACAATTACCCCTCATAACCCACTAGCAAAATTGTTGCTTCCTCTTCCTATGACTTTATGCTTGCCTGGCCTAGAAGACTTAGTCCCAAAGGGAGGAATGCTTCCACAAAGAGACACAGAATGATTCCATTGAACTGGAAGTTAAGACTGTTGCCCACCCATCTTGGGCTCCTTGTGCCTCTGAATCAACAGGCAAAGAAGAGAGTTACTGTGTTGGCTGAGTGTTAATCCTGACTACCAAGGGGGAAACTGGACTACTATTTCACCATGGAGATAAGAAACAGTATGTTTGGAATACAGGATATCCCTTTAGGACATGTCTTAATGTTACCATGCCCTGTGATTTAAGTCAGTTTCAAACTACAATGTACCAATCCAGGCAGGACTACTAATGGCCAGACCCCTTAGGAATGAAGGTCTGGGTCACCCCACCTGTCAAAAAACTGACTAGTTGAGGTGCTTGAAGGCAAAGGGAATAAGGAATGTGTACTGGAAAAAGGTAGTTATATATACCAGCTATGACCACATGACTAGTTACAGAAATGAAGACCTTAGTTGTCACGAGTATTTCTTCCTTATTTTGGTATGGAGGAAGTGTGTGTGTAGGCAAATATCTTTTTTTCTTCCCTATATCATCCCCTTATCATGTAACTAAGATGCATGACTTTATATCATAGTCTTTAAGTATTGTTAACTTTACGTAACAGTATTTAAGTTTTGAGATAGCAAGAAGATTAAACATCACTCAAGGAAAGGGGGTTAGTGTGTTTTGGTTATACACAGTATCATGTTAGGTGGAATTATGTTCTTGCTATTGACTTCGTTTGGAGATTAAGTATGCATAGGAGTGCCAAGTTGGCAAGGGTTGGACTTGTGATGGTTAATTTTGTGTGTCAACCTGACTGACCCTCAGGGTACCTAGATATTTAGTCAAACATTATTCTGAGTGTTCCCGTAATGGTGTTTTTGAATGAGATTAACATTTAATTTACCTTGGTAGATTGAGTAAGCAGATTGCCCTTCCTGACATGGGTGGGCCTCATCCAATCAATTGAAGTCCTAAGTAGAACCAAATGGCTGACATTCCTCATGTAAGAGAGAATTCCTCCTGCTGGCCTGTCTGCCTTTGAACTGGGACGTGGACTTTTCCCTGCCTTCACATTCAAACTCAAAGATAGGCATTTCCTGGTTCCCAAACCTGCCAGTCTTTGGACTGGAACTACGTCATCAGTTCTGGGTCTCAGTCCTTTGGACTCAAACCAGAACAACATAATTGGCTCTCTTGAGTCTCTAACTTCCCGACTCACCCTGCAGGTCTTGGAAATTAAGACCAGCCTGGGCAACAAAGCAAGATCTCGTCATTACAGATAATAATAACAAAGTTAGCCCGGCATGGTGGCATGCACCTGTAGTCCCAGCTACTTGGGAAGCTGAGGTGTGAGTATTGCTTGAGCCCAGGAGGCCGAGGCTGCAGTGAACTATGATTGTGCCACTGTACTTAAACCTGGGTGACCAAGTGAAACAGTGAGACCCTGTCTCAATTTTTTTTCTTTTTGTCTTTGATTTTCTGCAGTTTCAATATAATATGCCTGTGTGTAAATGTCTTGATATATATCCTGCTTGGTGTTTTCTGGGCTTCTTGGATCTGTGGTATGGTGTCTATCATTATTCTGGAAAATTCTTAGTCATTTGGAGTAATTATTTTGTTCCTTTCTTCTCCTTCTGATATTCCCTTTACATGTATGTTATACCATTTGTCATTGCCCCACATTTCTTGGCTATTACATTCTATTCCTCCCCCCCTCCACTTGCTTCCAATTTGCTTTTCATTTTGGGGTTTTTATTGACATATCTTTAAGTTCATTGATTATTTCCTCATCTGTGTCCAGTCTACTGGTGAAGCCATCAAAGGCATTCTTCATTTCTGTTATATATTTTTTTGATTTTAAAGATTCCTTTTGAATTATTTTTAGAGTTCCCATTTCTCTGCTTACATAACCATCTGTTTTACATGTTGGTAACATTTTCATTAGCGCTCTTAGCATATTAATTATAGTTCTTTCAAGTTTCTTGTCTGATAGTTCCAAATTTTGTGTCATACCTGAGTCTGGTTCTGAAGCTTGTTCTAGCTCTTAGACTATGTTTCTGCTTTCTAGCATGCCTTGCCATTTTTGTTCAAAGCTGGACATGATGTATTGACTAAAAGAAACTGAGTTAAATAGGCTTGTATCGTGAGGTTTTGTGTTTATCTGGCTAAAAGCTAGGTTAGGTTTACTATTTGCCATAGCTGTAGGTGTCAGAGGCTAAAACTTGCTCTAATGTCCTTGTTTCTGTCTCCCTGTTGTCTTTGGATTTTTTTCCTTCTTTTCTTTTTTTTTTCTTTGAGACAGAGTCTTACTCTGTTGCTCAGGCTGGAGTGCACTGGCGCAATGCAACTTCCGCCTCCTGGGTTCAAGCAATTCTCCTGACTCAGCCTCCCAAGTAGTTGGGGTTACAGTCATGCGCCACCACGCCCAGATAATTTTTGTATTTTTAGTAGAGATAGGGTTTTGCCATGTTGGCCAGGCTAGTCTCGAACTCCTGACCTCAGGTGATCCACCTGCCTCAGCCTCCCAAAGTGCTGGGATTATAGGCATGAGCCACCGTACCCAGCCTGTCTTTGGATTTCTTTAGAGACTCCTTCCAAAGCCAGCCTGAGCCTTGAAGTTATTTCAGTTGTAATCCCCTGTTATTATGTAGGAGCCTGACTGATGTGGTGGTAAGGAGAGGTATATTAGGATTCTCTAGAGGGTCAGCATTAATAGAATAGATATATGTATGAAGGGGAGTTTATTAAGGAGTATTGACTCACACGATCACAAGGTGAGTCCCGTAATAGGCGGTCTGCAAGTTGAGGAGCAAGGAAGCTAGTCCAAGTCCCAAAACCTCAAAAGTAGGGAAGCCAACAGTGCAACCTTCAGTTGTGGCTGAAGGCCCGAGATCCCCTGGCAAACCACTGGTATAAGTCCAAGAGTCCAAAAGCTGAAGAACTTGGAGTCCGATGTTCAGGGACAGGAAGTATCCAGCACAGGAGAAAGAGGAAGGCCGGAAGATTCAGTAAAGTCAAGTCCTTCCATATTCTTCTTCTACCTGCTTTTATCCTAGCCATGCTGGCAGCTGATTAGATGGTGCCTATCCAGATTGAGGGTGGATCTGCTTCTCCCAGTCCACCCACTCAAATGTTAATCTCCTTTGGCAATACTCTCACAGACACACCCAGGAACAATACTTTGTATCTTTCAATCCAATGAAGTTGACACTCAATATTAACCATCACAACAGAGGAAGCATTCTATAATTCTAATGTTATGTCTTATTCTGCTAGTCTTTTATTGAGCCTATGTCCTAGGGCTATAACCTTCCCAAGTGCTTCTCAGCTCTTTTTCCTCCCTTAGGTAGGGCAAGAAGGCTAGAAGGTTTTGGAATTGGGTATTTTTCATTCTCTGGGTAGGTAAGGCTCTGGAAAATAATTTCCCTGAGGGAAGGCTTTTGTTAAGAAGAACAGAATGCTGTAGGTGTATTTCACAATCATTGCTTTTTCCTCCCCCTGGTGGAAGCGTGAAAGGATTTTTCTCTGAGAACCTGGTGGGGTTCCTAAGGACAAACTCATAAAAGTGTGGGGATCTCCCTAAAATTGAGCCCCCAGAGTTTTAACTCTCAAACTAGTACACAGGGAGCCTCCAGTGATTTGCCAATTACAGTTTGCTTAAGCATTCCTACCACATTAACAACTTCAGTGAGATAATTTTCATGTGACTCAAAATTGAGAAGAAACGAAAGAAAATATTGATAATTTGTATATTAAAAATTCCTTTGCACAGCAAAACTCATTGCAAACAAAGTTAAAAGACAAATGACAACTAGGAAAATATTTGCTACTCAAACGACAAATAAAGGCCTAAATATTTTAAAAATTGAGAAAAAAGGACAATTATTTAGAAAAGTGGACAAAAGATAGAAACATACATTTTACAGAAACAAAAGCTTTTCCATATGTGAAAACTTGCTTAACCTCAGTCATGAGATATACAAATTAAAACTTGCTTATGTTGTTGATTTATCAGTTTTCATTTATCAGATTGGTAAACATCCAGAATTTTGACAACATAGTCTATTGGGAAGGCTGTATGGGAATTAGGCACTCTGGCACTCTAACACATTTCTGGGAGAATTGTGAATGACACAACTTTGGAATGGAATTTGGCAACATACTAGCAAAATTCATTTACTTTTTTATTGTTGTTTAGAGACAGGGTCACCAAGGCCCCCAGGCTGGTCCTGAACCTCTGGCCCCAAGTGATCCTCCCACCTTGACCCCACAAAGTGCTAAGACCACAGACATGAGCCACCAAGCTTGGCCTCATTTACCTTTTGACTCAGCAATCTTACTTCCAGAAGTATGGAAGTGTGATTCCAGAAGTGTGATTCCAAAGATATTATCAACAAAAATAAAATACAACTTATGCATTTCATTGTGATTTAATTTATAATAACAAATGATTGGGGATATCTCAAATGTTTGTTAATAGGGGACTAGTTGAAGAAATGATGGTACAACCACACAATGAAGTACTAGGAAGCCGTGAAAACTGATGAAAAGATCACTGTGTATTGATATAGAGTGATTTCTAGAATATATTGTTAGGTGGGGGAAAAATTAAGGTACAAAACAAGGTTTAGTATGCCAATTTTTGCAAAATAAAATAAAATAGAATAAAATAAAATAGCAAACCAAAATCTATTAAGGTGTTCCATGTGAAGAGAGAGAGAACAGCATGTAGAAGATAGGCATAGTAGTGAGATTTCTGTAAATTTAGGTTATATAGTTTTGACTTTGAAACCATGTAAATGTTTTACATGCTTAAGAAAAGATTAAATGAAGAAAAAATCATACCAGTCCTTAACAATACAAAATTTCTTCAAGTGATGCAATTTTGTTTTGATACAACAAGAACAAAAAAAGCTATAAAAATCTTAAATGATATTCAGTAGTCTTATCGTCATTTTGAAACTCTAAGTTTATTGTAGAATAAAGCAAATAAGTAATTATGTTGTGTTTTGAAATCAAGGTTTTCAACATAAGAAAGAAAACTAAGTATGAAATCAAAAGAGTTTAGTAAAAACCATGTAATTTGTCCAGGCACAGTGGCTCACACCTATAATCCCAGTACTCAGGGGACCAAGGTGGGAGAATTACTTGGGTCCAGGAGTTTGAAACCAGCCTGGGCAACATAGGGAGATCTTGTCTCTACCAAAAAAAAAAAAATTAGTTGAGTGTGGCGATATGCACCTGTAGTAGTCCCAACTACCTAGGAGGCTGAGGTGGGTGGATAGTTTGAGCCCAGAAGTCTGAGGCTGCAGTGAGCTATGATGGTGCCACTGCACTCCAGCCTAGGCAACAGACTGAGACCCTGTGTCAAAAACAAACAAACAAAAAACTATATAATTTTATATTTAAACCAGAAATACAGTAAGAATTTTATTCCCATTAAAAAATAATTTTTCTAGTTCTGTTCACCGAAAAAGTCTGTAAGCCATGACAACCCTGTGGCAATAAGCATTCATATATTCCAGAATGTCATATATGAACACAGTTTCTCAATAAAAGGAACCAGGGATCTGATTCCAATTCTTTGGCTGTACTAATTTTCATTCTGAAACACAGCGTATAAGGGTTTTCCTTTCCTACATCCTCAGTAACGTGTTATTTCTGTCTTTTTGATAATGGCCATTTAAACCAGGGTGAGATGAGATCTTGTGGTTTTGATTTGCATTTCTCTAATCACTAATGATGTTGAGCATTTTTTTCATATATCTGTTGGCCATTCGTATGTCTTCTTTTGATAAGTATCTATTCAGATCTTTTGCCCATTTTTATGTTGGATTATTTGGTTTTTGGTATTAAGGTGTTTGAGATCCTTATATATTCTGGTTATTAATGCCTTGTCGAATGAATAGTTTACAAATATTTTCTCTCATTCTTTAGACTGTCTCTTCACTTCATTGATGCTTTCCTTTGCTGTACAGAAGCTTTTTTATCTTGATTTGATCCCATTTGTCAAGTTTTGCTTTGGTTACTAGGGCTTTTGAGGTCTGCGATGTTTAATACTGAGTTTCAACTTGATTGGATTGAAGGATACAAAGTATTGATCCAGAATGTGTGTGTGAGGGTGTTGCCAAAGGATATTAACATTTGAGTCAGTGGGCTGGGAAAGGCAGACCCACCCTTAATCTGGGTGGGCACCATCTAATCAGCTGCCAGTGAGACTAGAATATAAGCAGGCAGAAAAATGGGAAAGGAGAGACTGGCCTAGCCTCCCAGCCTATGTCCTTCTCTTGTGCTGCACGCTTCCTGCCCTCAAACATTGGACTCCCAGTTCTTTAGATTTGGAACTTGGACTAGCTCTCCTTGCTCTTCAGCCTGCAGACAGCCTATTGTGGGACCTTGTGATCATGTGAGTTAATACTTAATAAAATCCCCTTTATATATATATCGATTCCATTAGTTGTGTCCCTCTAGAGAACCCTGACTAAGACAGATTTTGGTACCAGGAGTGGTTCTATGGGAACAGAATATTAAGGATGGAGTTCTTTCATTGGTTTTGGGGTTTCTGGAGTTGGCTGCTTAATATAATTCGACCCCTAAATGCTAAGGACTGTACTTCTCATAGTATGGAGAACAGTGATAGTCCTTGGCATAAACTATTTAGAGAGTTATACAAAATAAATGCATTCGGCACTCGTGATTCACCACTCGTGAGAGGCAAAGGGTTTAGTTACTCTATACATAATACCTTTGACCATATGTGGAGAACCAAGGAACATAACAAAGCTGGTTGGTTGCTCCTAAGTTCAGTGGACAAAGTGATGAAAGAAAATGATCAACTCAGGGATTCTGTCTCCTGGCTTCAGCAGCAGAAACTGAGCCTCAAATCTGCTAAGATTGCCCTGAATGAGAGCCTTATCTCCTGTAGAGTAAGAGCTGAAATTGTGGAAAAACAGACACAAGCTTTTATCATGCAAGGGGCTGACCTGTAAGGAAAGGTGCATGGACAGCCTTGCCAGGTGTCTATTGTTAAAGTGAGGGCATTAATTGGAAAAGAATGGGACCCTGCAACTTGGAATGGGGGTGTGTGGGAGGACCCTGATGAAACTGGGGACACTGAGTTTGTAAACTCTGATGAACCTTTTTTTGCCAGAAGAAACAGCTCCCCGACCTCCAGTAGTGGCAACATCCCCTCCCCAACCCATGCTGCCATCAGTCTTTCCACTTTTGTCTGAGGAGATAAACCCTGCACTGCCTGAGGCAACAGTGATGGCCTCCCAAGGCAATTGCCAGGCAAGATAATGCTGATTCTCCTCAGAAGCCACCCCCAACACCTGTTTGCTTCTAGACCTATGACTAAAGTCCCAGTGGGCCCCTAGAGGCGAGGTTGAGCATGTGACCCATGAGGAAGTACACTTGAAAAGAACTGCTTGAGTTTTCTAATTTATATAAACAGAAATCTGGGCAACAGGCATGGGAATGGAGATTAAGGGTGTGGGATAATGGTGGAAGGAACATAGAGGTGGATCAGGCTGAAAGTATTGATTTGGGCCCACTAAATAGGGATTCTGCATTTAATGTTGCAGCTTGGGGAGTTAAAAAAGATTCTGATAGTTTGTTTGCTTGGTTAGCTGAAATATGGATTAAAAGATGGCCCACTGTGAGTGAGTTGAAAATGCCTGACCTCCCTTGGTTTAATGTAGAGGAAGGGACCCAAAGGCTTAGGGAGATTGGGATGTGAAGTGAATTAGTCACTTTTGACCTACTTATCTCAGCTGGGAGAGTCCAGAATTTACACACTTGATTAATGCCTTGTGAAATAGATCTGTGAGGGCAGCACCTGCATCTTTGAAGAGCCCTGTAATTGCTTTTCTCTGTATGTCAGATCTAACAGTGGGAACCACAGTCACTCAACTACAAAATTTAAATACAATGGGAATAATAGGATCCCAAGGTTGCAGGGGCCAAGAGATCGCACTCAACAATCAAAGGCAAGGTGGGCATAGCTGCCATAATGGACAGTAGAGGCAAAGTAGCAATCAGAATAGTCGGACTTGTGTAGAGCTCTCACATTGGCTAATTAATCATGGTATTACTAGAAGTGAAATTGATAGGAAGCCTACTGTATTCTGACTTAATTTATACAAGCAGAAAATTTCTAGGTCGAATGGACAAAAGACTAATTTGAATTATAAAAACAGAATCATGGCTCCTCGATCAATTTCCAGACTTAACCCATTTTACAGACCCAGAATCTCTTGAATGATGGGGAGGCTGGGTCCCCTTGAGGAAGGACCCACTACATTACCAACAATTTATCTGGTGAATTCTTCTTCCATCCTTCCCCAAGGAGACCTCTGGCTTTTTACCAGGGTAACTGTGCACTGGGGAAAGGGAAATGATCAGACATTTCAGGGAATACTGGATAATGGCTCTGAGCTGATGTTGATTCCGGGGGACCCAAAATATCACTGTGGTCTTCCAGTTAAAGTAGGGGCTTATGGAGGTCAGGTAATTCATGGAGTTTTAGCTCAGGTCCAACTTACAGCGGTTCCAGTGGGTCTCCGGACTCATCCTGTGGTCATTTTCCTAGTGCCAGAATGCATAATTGGCATAGACATACTTAGCAGCTGGCGGAACCCCCACAATGGCTCCCTGACTGGTAGGGTGAGGGCTGTTATAGTGGGAAGGGCCAAATGGAAGCCATTAGAGCTGCCTCTATCTAGAAAAATAGTAAATCAAAAACAGTATCACATCCCTGGAGGGAATGCAGAGATAGTGACACCATGAAGAACTTGAAAGACACGGGAGTGGTGATTCCCACCACATCCCCATTCAACTCTCTCATTTGGCCTGTGCAGAAGACAGATGGATCTTGGAGAATGACAGTGGATTATTATAAGCTTAACCAAGTGGTGATTCCAATTGCAGCTGCTGCACCAGATGTGGTTTCATTGCTTGAGCAAATTAACACATCTCCTGGTACCTGTTGTGCAGCCATTGACTTGGCAAATGCCTTTTCCCCCATGCCTATCCATAAGGCTCACCGGAAGCAATTTGCCTTCAGCAGGCAAGGCCAGCAATATACCTCTACTGTCCTACCTCAGGGGTATATCAACTCTCCAGTTTGTGTCATAATCTTATTTGGAGAGACCATGATTGCTTTTCGCTTCCACAAGCTATCACACTGGTCCATTACATTGATGACATTATGCTTATTAGATCCAGTGAGCAAGAAATAGCAAACACACTGGACTTATTGGTGAAATATTTGTGTGCCAGAGGATGGGAAATAAATCTGAGTAAAATTCAGGGAACTTTTACCTCAGTAAAATTTCTAGGGGTCCAGTGGTATGGGGCCTGGCAAGATATGCCTTCTAAGGTTAAGTTGCTGCACTTGGCCCCTCCTACAACCAAGAAAGAGGCACAACGCCTAGTGATCCTATTTGGATTTTGGAGGCAACACATTCCTCATTTGGGTGTTACTTTGGCCCATTTATCGAGTGACCTGAAAAGCTTCCAGTTTTGACTGGGGTCCAGAGCAAGAGAAGGCTCTGCAACAGGTCCAGGCTGCTGTGCAAGCTGCTCTGCCACTTGGGCCATATGACCTAGCAGATCCAACGGTGCTTGAGGTGTCAGTGGGAGATAGGAATGCTGTTTGGAGTCTTTGGCAGGCCCCCCCATAGGTGAATCACAGTGGACACCTCTAGGATTTTGGAGCAAGTCCCTGCCATCTTCTGCAGATAAGTATTCTCCTTTTGAGAGACAGCTCTTGGCCTGTTACTGGGATTTGTTGGAAACTGAACGTTTGATTATGGGTTATCAAGTCACCATGTGATCTGAACTGTCTGTCATGAACTGGGTGCTTTCTAACTCATCTAGCCATAAAGTGGGTCATGAGCAGCAGCATTCTATCATCAAGTGGAAGTGGTATATATGTGACTGGGCTCAAGCACGTCCTGAAGGCACAAGTAAGTTACATGAAGAAGTGGCTCAAATGCCCAAGGTCTTCACTCCTGCCACCCTGCCTTCTCTCCCCCAGCCTGCACAGATGGCCTCATGGGGAGTTCTCTATGATCAGCTGACAGAGAAAGAGAAGACTAGGGCCTGGTTCACAGATGGTTCTGCATGATATGCAGGCACCACCTGAAAGTGGACAGCTGCAGCACTACAGCCCCTTTCTAGGACATCCCTGAATTACAGCAGTGAAGGGAAATCTTCCCAGTGGGCAGAACTTCGAGTGGTGCACCTGGTTGTGCACTTTGCATAGAGGGAGAAATGGCCAGATATGTGATTATATACTGATTCATGGGCTGTAGCCAATAGTTTGGCTGGATGGTCAGGGACTTGGAAAAACCACAATTGGAAAATTGGTGACAAAGAAATCTGGGGGAGAGGTATGTGGATGGACCTGAATCATCAAAAACTGTGAAGATATTTGTATCCCATGTGAGTGCTCACCAGCGGGTGACCTCAGTAGAGGAGAATTTTAATAATCAAGTGGATAGAATGACCCATTCTGTGGACACCACTTAGCCTTTTTCCCCAGCCACTCCTGTCATCACGCAATGGGCCCATGAACAACGTGGCCATGGTGGCAGGGATGGAGATTACGCATGGGCTTAGCAACATGGGCGTCCACTCACCAAGCCTGATCTGGCTACAGCCACTGCCGAGTGCCCAATTTGCCAGCAGCAGAGACCAACACTGAGCCCTCGATGTGGCACCATTCCTTGGGTGATCAGCCAGCTACCTGGTGGCAGGTTGATTATATTGGACCTCTTCCATCATGGAAAGGGCAGAGGTTTGTCCTCACTGGAATAGACACTTACTCTGGATATGGGTTTGCCTATCCTGCACGCAATGCTTCTGCCAAGACTACCATCCATGGACTAACAGAATGCCTTATCCACCGTCATGGTATTCCACACAGTATTGCCTCTGACCAAGGCACTCACTTTACTGCTAAAGAAGTGTGGCAGTTGGCTCATGCTCATGGAATTCACTGATCTTACCATGTTTCCCACCATCCTGAAGCAGCTGGATTGATAGAATGGTGGAATGGCCTTTTGAAGTCACAATTACAATGCCAACTAGGTGACAATACTTTGCAGGGCTGGGGCAAAGTTCTCCAGAAGGCCGTGTATGCCCTGAATCAGCATCCAATGTATAGTACTGCTTCTCCCATAGCCAGGATTCATGGGTCCAGGAATGAAGGGGTGGAAGTGGAAGTGGCACCACTGACCATCACCCCTAGTGATCCACAAGCAACATTTTTGGTTCCTGTTCCCGTAACATTATGTTCTGTTGGCTTAGAGGTCTTAGTTTCAAAGGGAGGAACACTGACACCAGGAGATACAACAACGATTCCACTAAACTGGAAGTTAAGATTGCCACCTGGACACTTTGGGCTCCTCTTACCTTCAAGTCAACAGGCTAATAAGGGAGTTACAGTGTTGGCTGGGGTGACTGACCCAGACTATCAAGATGAAATCAGTCTACTACCCCACAGTGGAGGTAAGGAAGAGTATGCATGGAATACAGGAGATCCATTAGGGCACCTTAGTATTAACATTCCCTGTAATTAAGGTCAATGGGAAACTACAGCAGCCCAATCCAGGCAGGACTACAAATGGCCCAGACCCTTCAGTAATGAAGTTTCGGATCACTCCACCAGGAAAAAAACCACGACTTGCTGAGGTGCTTTCTGAAGGCAACGGGAATACAAAATGGGTAGTAGAAAAAGGTAGTCATCAATACCAGCTATGACCACATGATCAGCTGCAGAAATGAGAACTGTAATTGTCATAAGTATTTCCTCCTTCTTTTGTTAAAAACATGCTTATGCATGTATATACTTGTACTAAGAAAATATCTTCATTTTATTTCCTTTCTCCTTTATCATATGACATAAGATTTAATGACCTCACATCAGCATTTAAGTATTGTTAACTTCATGTAATAGTATTTGGGTTGGGGACTGGTACATTTCTGATTATACAAAGGATAGTTATATTATGTTAGAAGCAATTATGACCTTATTATTGTCTTTATTTGAAGATTATATATGACCTCAGGAGATGCGTATGGGTCCGAATTGACAAGGAGTGGACTTGTGATGGTTAATACTGAGTGTCAACTTGATTGGATTGAAGGATACAAAGTATTAACCCCAGGTGTGTGTGTGAGGGTGTTTCCAAAGGAGACTAACATTTGAGTCAGTGGGCTAGGAAAGGCAGACCTACCCTTAATCTGGGTGAGCACAATCTAAGCAGTTGCCAGCATGATTAGAATATAAGCAGGCAGAAAAATGTGAAAAGACAGACTGGCCTAGTCTCCCAGCCTACATCTTTCTCCCGTGCTGGATGCTTGCCGCCCTCGAACATCGGATTCCAAGTTCTTCAGTTTGGGAACTCGGACTGGCTCTCCTTGCTCCTCAGCCTGCAGATAGCCTATTGTGGGACCGTGTGATCGTGTGAGCTAATGCTTAATAAATTCCCCTTTACATATTTATCTATTCTATTAGTTCTGTCCCTCTAGAGAGCCCTAATACGAGGTCCTACTCAAGAAATCTTTGCCCAGACAATGTACTGAAGTATTTCCTCAATGTTTTCTTCTAGCAGTTTCATAGTTTCAGGTCTTACATTTAAGTCTTTAATCCATTTCAGCTTGAGTTTTGCATATAGTAAAGGATAGGGGTCTAGTTTCATTCTTCTGCTCATGGATATCCAGTTTTCCCAGCACCATTTACTGAAGAGGGTATTCTTTACCCAGTGTATGTTCTTGGCATCTTTGTAAAAAATGAGTTGGCTATAAATACATAGATTTATTTCTGCATTCTCTATTTTGTTCCCTTGGTCTGTGTGTCTGTTTTTATGACAGTACCATGTGGTTTTGGTTACTACAGCATTGTAGTATATTTTGCAGTTAGGTAATGTGATGCCTCCAGTTTTGTTTTGTTGCTCAAGATAGCTTTGGCTATCTGGGGTCTTTTGTGATCCATACAAATTTTAGAATTGTTTTTTTCTGTTTCTGTGAAGAGCGTCATTGGTATTTTGATATGGATTGCATTGAATCTGTAAATCGCTTTGGATTAAGCAGACATTTTAATAATATTAATTCTTCCAACCCATGAATATGGGATATCCTTCCATTTTTTGTGTACATTCAATTTCTTTCATCAGTGTTTTATAGTTTTCACTGTAGAAATCTTTCACTTCTCTGTTGAGTTTATTCCTAGGGTTTTTTTTGTAACTATTGTAAATGGGATTGCTTTCTTGATTTCTTTTTTAGATTGTTTCCGGTTGGTATACAGAAATGCTATTGATTTTTGCATGTTGATTTTGTATCCTGCAACTTAACTGAATTCCTTTATCTCAATTGAAACTGTTTTTTGGTGGAAACTTTCATTTTTTCTTTTTCTTTCTTTCTTTCTTTTTTTTTTTTTTTGAGACAGGTTCTTGCTCTGTTACCTAGGCTGGAGTGCAGTGGCATGATCTCGGCTCACTGCAGCTTCTGCCTCCCAGGTTCAAGCAATTCTCCCACCCTAGCCTCCTGAGTAGCTGGGATTACACGTGCACCACCACGCCCAGCTAATTTTTGTATTTTTAGTAGAAATGGGGTTTCACCATGTTGGCCAGGCTGGTCTTGAACTCCTGACCTCAGATGATCCACTCTCCTTAGCCTCCCAAACTGCTGAGATTACAGGCGTGAGCCATCGCACCTGGCCAACTTTTGCTTTTTCTAAATATAAGATCATATCATGTGATACGATCAAACAA
This sequence comes from Homo sapiens, assembly GCF_000001405.40. Lineage (NCBI taxonomy): Eukaryota > Metazoa > Chordata > Mammalia > Primates > Hominidae > Homo > Homo sapiens. The sequence continues at coordinate 78,626,217 of NC_000011.10, forward strand.
GGACAACTGAACTTTTTCCTTTACAATTTAGATGCCCTTTCTTTCTCTTGCCTAATTGCTTGAGCTATGACTTCTAGTACTATGTTGAGTAAAAGCGTTAAAAGTGAGCATCCTTGTCTTGTTCCAGTTCTTAAAGGAAAGGCTTTCAATTTTTCCCAATTCAGTATGATGCTAGTTGTGGGTTTGTCATATATGGCCTTTATTGTTTTGAGGTATGTTCATTTCCTACCCAGATTGTTAAGAATTTTTATCAAAAAGAGATACTAAATTTTATCAAATGCTTTTTCAACATTTATTGAAATGATCAGTTTTATCCTTGATTATATTAATGTGATATATAACATTTAGATTTTTTATATGTTGAACTATCTTTGCATCCCTGGAATGAATCCCACTTGATCATGATGAATGATCTTTTTAAAGTGTTGTTGAATTTGGTTTGCTAGTATTTGTTGAGGATTTTTGCATCTATTCTCATCAGGGATATTGACCTATAGTTTTCTTTTCTGTGTGTGTCCCTGTCTGGTTTTGGTATTAGGATAATGTTGGCCTCGTAGAATGAATTTGGAAGTATTTCCTTCTCATCAGTTTCTTGGAACAGTTTAAGAATAGTTGGCATTAATTCTTTAAATGTATGGTAGAATTCAGCAGTGAAGCCATCTAGTCCTCAGCTTTTCTTTGTTGGGAGACTTTTTATTACTATGTCTGATTACTTGCTATTGGTCTGTTCAGGTTTTCTATTTCTTCCTGGCTCAATGTTGGTACATTTAATACATCTAGAAATTTATCCATTTCTTCTAGGTTTTTCAATTTGTTGGTATATAGTTGCTCATAATAGCCTGTAATAATCCTTTGATGTCTTTTTTTGTCTCACATTTTGTTTATTTGGGCCTTTTCTCTATTTTTCTTAGTTTAGCTAGTGGTTTATTGATTTTCTTTATCTTCTCATAAAACCATCTTTTCATTTCATTTATCATTTGTATTGTATTTTTAGTCACAATTGCATTTACACTTGTTCTGATCTTTATTATTATTTTTTGATACAGAGTCTTGTTCTGTCTCCCAGGCTGGAGTGCAGTGGCACAATCTTGGCTCACTGCAACCTCCGCCTCCCAGGTTCAAGCAATTCTCCTGCCTCAGCCTCCTGAGTTGCTGAGATTACAGGCACCTGGCACCATGCACGGCTAATTTTTCTATTTTTAGTAGAGATGGGGTTTCACCATGTTGGCCAGGCTGGTCTTGAACTTCTGACTTCAAGTAATTCACCCGACTCAGCCTCCCAAAGTGCTGGGATTACAGGCGTGAGCCACCATGCCTGGCCCCGATGTTTAATATTTCTTTCCTTCTATTAGTTTTGTGTTTGGTTTGTTTTTCTAGTTTGTTAAGGTGCATTGTTAGGTTGTTTATGTGAAGTCTTTATACTTTTTTTCCTTTTCTTTTCCTCACCCATAGACTCAGGTCACAATCTACTTTTTTGGTGTAGGCATTTATTCCTATAATGTTCCTCTTAGTACTGCTCTTTCTGTATCCCATAAATTTTACTATGTTGTGTTTCAATTTTTGTTTAAAGAACTATTTTTATTTCCTTCTTAATTTCTTCATTGACCCAATGGTAGTTCGTGAGAATGTCATTTAATTTCCATGTATTTGTTTAGTTTCCAAAGTTCCTCTTGTTATCAATTTCTCATTTAATTCCATTTTGGCTAGAAAAGATACTTGATATGATTTTGATAATTTTAAATTTGTTGAGATTTGTTTTGTCGTCTAATATATGGTCTATCCTGGAGAATGTTCCACGTGCTGATGAGAAGAATGTCTAGTCTGTAGTTGTTAGATGAAACGTTAAGTGGAATTTAAGTCCAGTTGGTCTAGATTGTTAATTCTGACATTTCCTTGTTGATTTGCTGTCTGGATGATGTTTTTTGAGTGATCTATTGTTGAAAGTGGGTTTCTGAAGTTCCCTACTATTATTGTACTGCAGTCTATCGCTCCCTTTTGATTTACTAATATTTGCTTTATATGTTTGGGTGCTCTGATGTTGGTTGCGTATACATTTACAGTTGTTATATCCTCTTGCTGTATTGTTCCCTTTATCATTATATAATGACCTTCTTTGCCTCTTTTTATAGTTTTGACTTCAAATCTATTTTATCTAATGTAAGTACAGATACTCCTGCTCTTTTGTGATTTCCATTTTCATGGAATACCTTTTTCTGTCCCTTTACTTTAAGTGTATGTATGTCTTTATAAATGAAATAAATGAAGTAAGTTTCTTGTAGGCAGCATATAGTTAGGTTTTTTTAAACTTTATTCAGCCACTCTATGTCTTTTAATTGGAGAATTTCGTCAACTTACATTCATTGTTATTATTGATGGATAAGAACTTACTACTGACATTTTCTTATTTGTTTTCTAGTTGTTTTGTAAGTCATCTTTTCCTTGATTACTGGCTTTGATTGTGGATAAGTGACTCTCTCTGGTAGTATGTTAGTATGTTTCAATTCCTTGTTTTTTTTTTTTGTTTTTTTGTTTTTTTTGAGACAGAGTCTGCTCCATCATGCGGGCTGGAGTGCAGTGGTGTGATCTTGGCTCACTGCAACCTCTGCATCTTGGGCTGAGTAGCTGGGATTACAGGCGCACGCCACCACATCCAGCTAATTTTTGTGTTTTTAGTAGAGATGGGATTTCACCATGTTGGTCAGGCTGGTCTTGAACTCCTGACCTCGTGATCTGCCCACATTGGCCTCCCAAACTGTTGGGATTATAGGCGTAAGCCACTGCACCCTGCCCCTTTTTAAAAAATTTTTGGATACTTACTGTAAGTTTTTCTTTGTAGTTACCATGAGGCTTGCCAAAAAAACATATTATAGTTATAACAAGTTAAACTGAGGACTATGTAACATTGATCACAAAGAAAAGAAAGAAAGCGAAAACTCTACACTTTAATTTCACTTCTCCACTTTTGGACTTTTTATTGTCTATCTTTTTATATTGTCTACCGCTTAACAAATTGTTGTAGTTTTTGATAGATTTGTCTTTTAGCCTTCATACTAAAGATATCAGTGGTTTATATTCCGCAATTACAGTATTAGAGTTTTATGAATTCATCTGTGTACTTATTTTTACCAATCAGTTTTATACCTTCAGATGATTTCTTGTTGCATATTAGCATCTTTTTCTTTCAGATTGAAGAACTCTCTTTAGCATTTTTTGTAAGATAGGTGATGAATTCCCTTGGCTTTTTTTTTTTTTTTCTTGTCTTGGAAAATCTATTTCTCACTCATGTTTGAAGTGTAGCTTTGCTGGATACAGTATTCTTAGCTGGAAGCTTTTTTCTTCTTCTTCTTCAGCTCTTTAAATATGTCATCCCACTCCCTCCTGGCCTATAAGGTTCCCACTGAGAAATGTGTTACCAGATGTATCAGATCTCCTTTATAAGTTATTTGCTTCTTTCCTTTTGGTGCTTTTAGGATACTTTTGATGCTTTACCCTTGAGAGTTTTATTATTATATGACTTGAGGTAGTCTTTTTTTTTTTTTTTTTTGAGACGGAGTCTCGCTCTGTCACCCAGGCCGGACTGCGGACTGCAGTGGCGCAATCTTGGCTCACAGCAAGCTCCACTTCCCGGGTTCACGCCATTCTCCTGCCTCAGCCTCCCGAGTAGCTGGGACTACAGGCGCCAGCCACCGCGCCCGGCTAATTTTTTGTATTTTTAGTAGAGACGGGGTTTCACCTTGTTATCCAGGATGGTCTCGATCTCCTGACCTCATGATCCACCCGCCTCGGCCTCCCAAAGTGCTGGGATTACAGGCGTAAGCCACCGCGCCCGGCCGAGGTAGTCTTATTTGGGTTGAATCTGCTTGGTGTTCTTTCACCTTCTTGCCCCTGGATATTCATATCTTCCTCTAGGTTTGGAAAACTCTGTGTTATTATTTCTTTGAGTAAACTTTTACCCTGATCCTTTTCTCTACATCTTCTTTAAGGCCTGTAACTCTTAGGTTTGCATGTTTGAGGTTATTTTCTAGATCTTGTAAGTGTACTTCGTTATGTTTCATTCTTTTTTCTCCTTTCTGTATTTTCAAATAGGCCGACTTCAAGCTCACTAGTTGTTTCTTTTGCCTGATCAATTCCGCTAGTGAGAGAATGATGCATTTTTCAGTTCATCAACTGAATTTTTCAGCTCTAGGATTTATGTTAGAGTTTTAAAATTTCACTTTTTAAGTTTCTCTGATAGAGTTCTGAATTCCTTCTCTGTGTTATGTTGAAACTTATTGAACTTTCTCAGAACAGCTATTTTGAATTCTCTGAGAAGTCACATGTCTTCATCACTTTAGGATTGGCCACTGGTGTCTTATTTTGTCTGCTTGGTGAGATCATATTTTCTTGGGTGTTCTTATTGCTTGTGGATGTTCACTGATATTGGGTCATTGAAGAATTATATATTTATTCTGGTCACCACCGTCTGGCTTTGTTTGTACCTGTCCTTCTTCAGAGGGCTTTCCAGGAATTCAAAGGGGACTGGGTGTTAAATTACCTAAGCCTGTGGTCATTGCAGCGTTACAGCATTAGAGGGTGCTGTAAGCCCAGGTACAATGTGACTCTTGCAGACTCCTTGATACCCAGCCCTGATGGACTTGGGTAGTACAAGGGAGAATTTCCTGGGTTCTCAAGCACAGTTTCTCACTCTTTTCCCTTTCTTTGTCCCCTGTGGAAGGAATCTGTCTAATCATTAGGCTGCCTGGAGTTAGAGGGGTGATATGAACACTCTTGTGGCCACCACAGCTGGCACTGTTTTGGGTCACACGTGAAGCCCATGATCTCCCAGACCAGCACAGTACTGGCACTCACCCAAGGCCTGTAGCCACTAATGCTAGACTGGCAGTGATGTTTATTCAAAGTCAGAGGTCACTTCAGTCAGCAGGTGGTGAAGCTTACTAGGACTCGAGTCCATTCCACCAGGGCAGCTGATTCTCTTCTGGCCTGGGGTGGACCTAGAAGCACCATCTGGGAGCAATGGCCTGAAATCAGGGGCTTCTGGATTCTATCTGGTACTATATTTTACAGTTGCTGGGCTGGTAACCAGTTGCAAGACAAAGTTTCCTGTACTTGTCCCTTCTTTCCCACAAGTGGAAGGAGCCTCTCTTTGTGTTTCACTGCCTGGAGTTGGGAGAGGGGTGATGCAGGTACTCCTATGGCTGCCACAACTAGTGTTGCATTGGGTTGCACAGCAAAACTAC